>NC_000005.10:156064354-156367384 GCF_000001405.40 Homo sapiens
TTTTGCATCAATGTTCATCAAGGATATTGGTCTAAAATTCTCTTTTTTGGTTGTGTCTCTGCCCGGCTTTGGTATCAGAATGATGCTGGCCTCATAAAATGAGTTAGGGAGGATTCCCTCTTTTTCTATTGATTGGAATAGTTTCAGAAGGAATGGTACCAGTTCCTCCATGTACCTCTGGTAGAATTCGGCTGTGAATCCATCTGGTCCTGGACTCTTTTTGGTTGGTAAACTATTGATTATTGCCACAATTTCAGAGCCTGTTATTGGTCTATTCAGAGATTCAACTTCTTCCTGGTTTAGTCTTGGGAGAGTGTATGTGTCGAGGAATGTATCCATTTCTTCTAGATTTTCTAGTTTATTTGCGTAGAGGTGTTTGTAGTATTCTCTGATGGTAGTTTGTATTTCTGTGGGATCGGTGGTGATATCCCCTTTATCATTTTTTATTGTGTCTATTTGATTCTTCTCTCTTTTTTTCTTTATTAGTCTTGCTAGCGGTCTATCAATTTTGTTGATCCTTTCAAAAAATCAGCTCCTGGATTCATTGATTTTTTGAAGGGTTTTTTGTGTCTCTATTTCCTTCAGTTCTGCTCTGATTTTAGTTATTTCTTGCCTTCTGCTAGCTTTTGAATGTGTTTGCTCTTGCTTTTCTAGTTCTTTTAATTGTGATGTTAGGGTGTCAATTTTGGATCTTTCCTGCTTTCTCTTGTAGGCATTTAGTGCTATAAATTTCCCTCTACACACTGCTTTGAATGCGTCCCAGAGATTCTGGTATGTGGTGTCTTTGTTCTCGTTGGTTTCAAAGAACATCTTTATTTCTGCCTTCATTTCGTTATGTACCCAGTAGTCATTCAGGAGCAGGTTGTTCAGTTTCCATGTAGTTGAGCGGCTTTGAGTGAGATTCTTAATCCTGAGTTCTAGTTTGATTGCACTGTGGTCTGAGAGATAGTTTGTTATAATTTCTGTTCTTTTACATTTGCTGAGGAGAGCTTTACTTCCAACTATGTGGTCAATTTTGGAATAGGTGTGGTGTGGTGCTGAGAAGAATGTATATTCTGTTGATTTGGGGTGGAGAGTTCTGTAGATGTCTATTAGGTCTGCTTGGTGCAGAGCTGAGTTCAATTCCTGGGTATCCTTGTTGACTTTCTGTCTCGTTGATCTGTCTAATGTTGACAGTGGGGTGTTAAAGTCTCCCATTATTAATGTGTGGGAGTCTAAGTCTCTTTGTAGGTCACTGAGGACTTGCTTTATGAATCTGGGTGCTCCTGTATTGGGTGCATAAATATTTAGGATAGTTAGCTCCTCTTGTTGAATTGATCCCTTTACCATTATGTAATGGCCTTCTTTGTCTCTTTTGATCTTTGTCGGTTTAAAGTCTGTTTTATCAGAGACTAGGATTGCAACCCCTGCCTTTTTTTGTTTTCCATTGGCTTGGTAGATCTTCCTCCATCCTTTTATTTTGAGCCTATGTGTGTCTCTGCACGTGAGATGGGTTTCCTGAATACAGCACACTGATGGGTCTTGACTCTTTATCCAACTTGCCAGTCTGTGTCTTTTAATTGCAGAATTTAGTCCATTTATATTTAAAGTTAATATTGTTATGTGTGAATTTGATCCTGTCATTATGATGTTAGCTGGTGATTTTGCTCATTAGTTGATGCAGTTTCTTCCTAGTCTCGATGGTCTTTACATTTTGGCATGATTTTGCAGCGGCTGGTACCGGTTGTTCCTTTCCATGTTTAGCGCTTCCTTCAGGAGCTCTTTTAGGGCAGGCCTGGTGGTGACAAAATCTCTCAACATTTGCTTGTCTATAAAGTATTTTATTTCTCCTTCACTTATGAAGCTTAGTTTGGCTGGATATGAAATTCTGGGTTGAAAATTCTTTTCTTTAAGAATGTTGAATATTGGCCCCCACTCTCTTCTGGCTTGTAGGGTTTCTGCCGAGAGATCCGCTGTTAGTCTGATGGGCTTTCCTTTGAGGGTAACCCGACCTTTCTCTCTGGCTGCCCTTAACATTTTTTCCTTCATTTCAACTTTGGTGAATCTGACAATTATGTGTCTTGGAGTTGCTCTTCTCGAGGAGTATCTTTGTGGCGTTCTCTGTATTTCCTGAATCTGAACGTTGGCCTGCCTTGCTAGATTGGGGAAGTTCTCCTGGATAATATCCTGCAGAGTGTTTTCCAACTTGGTTCCATTCTCCACATCACTTTCAGGTACACCAATCAGACGTAGATTTGGTCTTTTCACATAGTCCCATATTTCTTGGAGGCTTTGCTCATTTCTTTTTATTCTTTTTTCTCTAAACTTCCCTTCTCGCTTCATTTCATTCATTTCATCTTCCATTGCTGATACCCTTTCTTCCAGTTGATTGCATCGGCTCCTGAGGCTTCTGCATTCTTCACGTAGTTCTCGAGCCTTGGTTTTCAGCTCCATCAGCTCCTTTAAGCACTTCTCTGTATTGGTTATTCTAGTTACACATTCTTCTAAATTTTTTTCAAAGTTTTCAACTTCTTTGCCTTTGGTTTGAATGTCCTCCCGTAGCTCAGAGTAATTTGATCGTCTGAAGCCTTCTTCTCTCAGCTCGTCAAAATCATTCTCCATCCAGCTTTGTTCTGTTGCTGGTGAGGAACTGCGTTCCTTTGGAGGAGGAGAGGCGCTCTGCGTTTTAGAGTTTCCAGTTTTTCTGTTCTGTTTTTTCCCCATCTTTGTGGTTTTATCTACTTTTGGTCTTTGATGATGGTGATGTACAGATGGGTTTTCGGTGTAGATGTCCTTTCTGGTTGTTAGTTTTCCTTCTAACAGACAGGACCCTCAGCTGCAGGTCTGTTGGAATACCCTGCCGTGTGAGGTGTCAGTGTGCCCCTGCTGGGGGGTGCCTCCCAGTTAGGCTGCTCCGGGGTCAGGAGTCAGGGACCCACTTGAGGAGGCAGTCTGTCTGCCCGTTCTCAGATCTCCAGCTGCGTGCTGGGAGAACCACTGCTCTCTTCAAAGCTGTCAGACAGGGACACTTAAGTCTGCAGAGGTTACTGCTGTCTTTTTGTTTGTCTGTGCCCTGCCCCCAGAGGTGGAGCCTACAGAGGCAGGCAGGCCTCCTTGAGCTGTGGTGGGCTCCACCCAGTTCGAGCTTCCCGGCTGCTTTGTTTACCTAAGCAAGCCTGGGCAATGGCGGGCGCCCCTCCCCCAGCCTCGTTGCCGCCTTGCAGTTTGATCTCAGACTGCTGTGCTAGCAATCAGCGAGATTCCGTGGGCGTAGGACCCTCCGAGCCAGGTGTGGGATATAGTCTCGTGGTGCGCCGTTTCTTAAGCCGGTCTGAAAAGCGCAATATTCGGGTGGGAGTGACCCTATTTTCCAGGTGCGACCATCACCCCTTTCTTTGACTCGGAAAGGGAACTCCCTGACCCCTTGCGCTTCCCAGGTGAGGCAATGCCTCGCTCTGCTTCGGCTCGCGCACGGTGCGCACACACACTGGCCTGCGCCCACTGTCTGGCACTCCCTAGAGAGATGAACCCGGTACCTCAGATGGAAATGCAGAAATCACCGTCTTCTGCGTCGCTCACGCTGGGAGCTGTAGACCGGAGCTGTTCCTATTCGGCCATCTTGGCTCCTCCCCCCCACTTTTTTTTTTTTAATTGGCAAAATTCTTTCTTTAGAAATTTTGTTGAAACAAGTAACTGACCAACAGTCTTCACTGTTCAACCTTCCTCTCTACCTGCAGTGGCCTGTGATGTCCCTAGAATTTTATATTTTTATTTTTATTTTATTTTATTTTATGTTATTTTATTTTATTTTAAGTTTTAGGGTACATGTGCACAATGTGCAGGTTAGTTACATATGTATACATGTGCCATGCTGGTGTGCTGCACCCATTAACTCGTCATTTAGCATCAGGTATGTCTCCTAAAGCTATCCCTCCCCCCTTTCCCCACCCCACAACAGTCCCCAGAGTGTGATGTTCCCCTTCCTGTGTCCATGTGTTCTCATTGTTCAATTCCCACTTATGAGTGAGAATATGCGGTGTTTGATTTTTTGTTCTTGCGATACTTTACTGAGAATGATGATTTCCAATTTCATCCATGTCCCTACAAAGGACATGAACTCCTCATTTTTTATGGCTGCATAGTATTCCATGGTGTATATGTGCCACATTTTCTTAATCCAGTCTATCATTGTTGGACATTTGGGTTGGTTCCAAGTCTTTGCTATTGTGAATAGTGCCGCAGTATACATATGTGTGCATGTGCCTTTATAGCAGCATGATTTATAGTCCTTTGGGTATATACCCAGTAATGGGATGGCTGGGTCAAATGGTATTTCTAGTTCTAGATCCCTCAGGAATCGCCACACTGACTTCCACAATGGTTGAACTAGTTTACAGTCCCACCAACAGTG
The DNA here is from genome assembly GCF_000001405.40 of Homo sapiens. Classification (NCBI taxonomy): domain Eukaryota; kingdom Metazoa; phylum Chordata; class Mammalia; order Primates; family Hominidae; genus Homo; species Homo sapiens. Next base: position 156,068,745 of record NC_000005.10, read on the forward strand.
TCAAAGTGTTCCTATTTCTCCACATCCTCTCCAGCACCTGTTGTTTCCTGACTTCTTAATGATTGCCATTCTAACTGGTGTGAGATGGTATCTCATTGTGGTTTTGATTTGCATTTCTCTGATAGCCAGTGATGGTGAGCATTTTTTCATGTGTTTTTTGGCTGCGTAAATGTCTTCTTTTGAGGAGTGTCTGTTCATGTCCTTTGCCCACTTTTTGATGGGGTTGTTTGCTTTTTTCTTGTAAATTTGTTTGAGTTCATTGTAGATTCTGGATATTAGCCCTTTGTCAGATGAGTAGATTGCAAAAATTTTCTCCCATTCTGTAGGTTGCCTGTTCACTCTGATGGTAGTTTCTTTTGCTGTGCAGAAGCTATTTAGTTTAATTAGATCCCATTTGTCAATTTTGGCTTTTGTTGCCATTGCTTTTGGTGTTTTAGACATAAAGTCCTTGCCCATGCCTATGTCCTGAATGGTAATGCCTAGGTTTTCTTCTAGGGTTTTTATGGTTTTAGGTCTAAAGTTTAAGTCTTTAATCCATCTTGAATTAATTTTTGTATAAGGTGTAGGGAAGGGATCCATTTTCAGCTTTCCATATATGGCTAGCCAGTTTTCCCAGCACCATTTATTAAATAGGGAATCCTTTCCCCATTGCTTGTTTTTCTCAGGTTTGTCGAAGATCAGATAGTTGTAGATATGTGGCGTTATTTCTAAGGGGTCTCTTCCATTCCATTGATCTATATCTCCATTTTGGTACCAGTACCGTGCTGTTTTGGTTACTGTAGCCTTGTAGAATAGTTTGAAGTCAGGTAGCGTGATGCCTCCAGCTTTGTTCTTTTGGCTTAGGATTGACTTGGCAATGCGGGCTCTTTTTTGGTTCCATATGAACTTTAAAGTAGTTTTTTCCAGTACTGTGAAGAAAGTCATTGGTAGCTTGATGGGGATGGCATTGAATCTATAAATTCCCTTGGGCAGTATGGCCATTTTCACGATATTGATTCTTCCTACCCATAAGCATGGAATGAAAATGTTCTTCCATTTGTTTGTATCCTCTTTTATTTTGTTGAGCAGTGGTTTGTAGCTCTCCTTGAAGATGTCCTTCACGTCCCTTGTAAGTTGGATTCCTAGGTATTTTATTCTCTTTGAAGCAATTGTGAATGGGAGTTCACTCATGATTTGGCTCTCTGTTTGTCTGTTATTGGTGTATAAGACTGCTTGTGATTTTTGTACATTGATTTTGTATCCTGAGAGTTTACCAAAGTTGCTTATCAGCTTAAGGAGATTTTGGGCTGAGACAATGGGGTTTTCTAGATATACAATCATGTCATCTGCAAACAGGGACAATTTGACTTCCTCTTTTCCTAATTGGATACCCTTTATTTCCTTCTCCTGCCTCATTGCCCTGGCCAGAACTTCCAACACTATGTTGAATAGGAGCGGTGAGAGAGGGCATCCCTGTCTTGTGCCAGTTTTCAAAGGGAACGCTTCCAGTTTTTGCCCATTCAGTATGATATTGGCTGTGGGTTTGTCATAGATAGCTCTCATTATTTTGAGATACGTCCCATCAATGCCGAATTTATTGAGAGTTTTTAGCATGAAGCGTTGTTGAATTTTGTCAAAGGCCTTTTCTGCATCTATTGAGATCATCATGTGGTTTTTGTCTTTGGTTCTGTTTATATGCTGGATTACATTTATTGATTTGTGTATATTGAACCAGACTTGCATCCCAGGGATGAAGCCCACTTGATCATGACTGATAAGCTTTTTGATGTGCTGCTGGATTTGGTTTGCCAGTATTTTATTGAGGATTTTTGCATCAGTGTTCATCAAGGATATTGGTCTAAAATTCTCTTTTTTGGTTGTGTCTCTGTCAGGCTTTGGTATCAGGATGATGCTGGCCTCATAAAATGAGTTAGGGAGGATTCCCCCTTTTTCTATTGATTGGAATAGTTTCAGAAGGAATGGTACCAGTTCCTCCTTGTACCTCTGGTAGAATTCGGCTGTGAATCCATCTGGTCCTGCACTCTTTTTGGTTGGTAAGCTATTGATTATTGCCACAATTTCAAAGCCTGTTATTGGTCTATTCAGAGATTCAACTTCTTCCTGGTTTAGTCTTGGGAGGGTGTATGTGATGAGGAATTTATCCATTTCTTCTAGATTTTCTAGTTTATTTGCATAGAGGTGTTTGTAGTATTCTCTGATGGTAATTTGTATTTCTGTGGGATCAGTGTTGATATCCCCTTTATCATTTTTTATTGCATCTATTTGATTCTTCTCTCTTTTCTTCTTTATTAGTCTTGCTAGCGGTCTATCAATTTTGTTGATCCTTCCAAAAAGCAGCTCCTGGATTCATTAATATTTTGAAGGGTTTTTTGTGTCTCTATTTCCTTCAGTTCTGCTCTGATTTTAGTTATTTCTTGCCTTCTGCTAGCTTTTGAATGTGTTTGCTCTTGCTTTTCTAGTTCTCTTAATTGTGATGTTAGGGTGTCAATTTTGGATCTTTCCTGCTTTCTCTTGTGGGCATTTAGTGTTATAAATTTCCCTCTACACACTGCTTTGAATGTGTCCCAGAGATTCTGGTATGTTGTATCTTTGTTCTCATTGGTTTCAAAGAACATCTTTATTTCTGCCTTCATTTCGTGATGTACCCAGTAGTCATTCAGGAGCAGGTTGTTCAGTTTCCATGTAGTTGAGCGGTTTTGAGTGAGTTTCTTAATCCTGAGTTCTAGTTTGATTGCACTGTGGTCTGAGAGACAGTTTGTTGTAATTTCTGTTCTTTTACATTTGCTGAGGAGAGCTTTACTTCCAACTATGTGGTCAGTTTTGGAATAGGTGTGGTGTGTTGCTGAAAAAAATGTATATTCTGTTGATTTGGGGTGGAGAGTTCTGTACATGTCTATTAGGTCCGCTTGGTGCAGAGCTGTGTTCAATTCCTGGATATCCTTGTTAACTTTCTGTCTCATTGATCTGTCTAATGTTGACAGTGGGGTGTTAAAGTCTCCCATTATTATTGTGTGGGAGTCTAAATCTCTTTGTAGGTCACTCAGGACTTGCTTCATGAATCTGGGTGCTCCTGTATTGGGTGCATATATATTTAGATAGTTAGCTCTTCTTGTTGAATTGATCCCTTTACCATTATGTAATGGCCTTCTTTGTCTCTTTTGATCTTTGTTGGTTTAAAGTCTGTTTTATCAGAGACTAGGATTGCAACCCCTGCCTTTTTTTGTTTTCCATTTGCTTGGTAGATCTTCCTCCATCCTTTTATTTTGTGCCTATGTGCGTCTCTGCACGTGAGATGGGTTTCCTCAATACAGCACACTGATGGGTCTTGACTCTTTATCCAATTTGCCAGTCTGTGTCTTTTAATTGGAGCATTTAGTCCATTTACATTTAAAGTTAATATTGTTATGTGTGAATTTGATCCTGTCATTATGATATTAGCTGGTTATTTTGCTCCTTAGTTGATGCAGTTTCTTCCTAGCCTCGATGGTCTTTACAATTTGGCATGATTTTGCAGTGGCTGGTACCAGTTGTTCCTTTCCATGTTTAGTGCTTCCTTCAGGAGCTCTTTTAGGGCAGGTCTGGTGGTCACATAATCTCTCAGCATTTGCTTGTCTGTAAAGTATTTTATTTCTCCTTCACTTATGAAGCTTAATTTGGCTGGATATGAAATTCTGGGTTGAAAATTCTTTTCTTTAAGAATGTTGAATATTGGCCCCCACTCTCTTCTGGCTTGTAGAGTTTCTGCCGAGAGATCCGCTGTTAGTCTGATGGGCTTTCCTTTGAGGGTAACCCGACCTTTCTCTCTGGCTGCCCTTAACATTTTTTCCTTCATTTCAACTTTGGTGAATCTGACAATTATGTGTCTTGGAGTTGTTCTTCTTGAGGAGTATCTTTGTGGTGTTCTCTGTATTTCCTGAATCTGAATGTTGGCCTGCCTTGCTAGAATGGGGAAGTTCTCCTGGATAATGTCCTGCAGAGTGTTTTCCAACTTGGTTCCATTCTCCCCATCACTTTCAGGTACACCAATCAGACGTAGATTTGGTCTTTTCACATAGTCCCATATTTCTTGGCGGCTTTGTTTGTTTCTTTTTGTTCTTTTTTCTCTAAACTTCCCTTCTCGCTTCATTTCATTCATTTCATCTTCCATCACTGACACCCTTTGTTCCAGTTGATCGCATCGGCTCCTGAGGCTTCTGCATTCTTCACGTAGTTCTCGAGCCTTGGCTTTCAGCTCCATCAGCTCCTTTAAGCACTTCTCTCTATTGGTTATTCTAGTTATACATTCATCTAAATTTTTTTCAAAGTTTTCAACTTCTTTGCCTTTGGTTTGAATTTCCTCCTGTAGCTCGGAGTAGTTTGGTCATCTGAAGAGAATATGGCCATTATGACCCACCTCCCTTCTTTCTAGTTTCATGAATGAAATTCAGGAAACTTGCTTGTAAAAAATGACACGACGGAGTAGATGCAAAGTTAGGACAAAATGGCTGTCTTCTGTATCTTACCTGATTTCCCCTCTATTATATCATACTCTCTCACCCAGGCCAGTCTCCTACCTGTAATCCTAGCACTTTGGGAGGCCAAGGTGGGAGGATTACTTTAGCCCAGGATTTCAAGACCAGCCTGGGCAACATAGTGAGACCTTGCCTCTACAAAAATTGGCCAAAAAAAGTTAGCTAGGAATGATGGTTTATGCCTGTAGGTCTAGCTACCTGGAAGACTGAGATAGGAAGATTGCGTGAGCCCAGGAGGTGGAGGCTGCAGGGAGCTGTGGTTATGCCACTGCACTCTAGCCTGGGTGACACAGTGAGACCCTGTCTCAAAAAGGTAAAATAAATATGTCACACTATCTCATAAGATCTCTATTTTCTATTCGTGTACAGAGTAATTGGGTGACATAATTAGAAGTCCAGTTCTTGATGCTTAGGGCTGTGAGAAATTCAAGAGACTAAGCCACATGTTCTCTACCCATGAAGATCATATCATCTAAATCAGCAGAAAGATATAATACAGAGATATAGCCAGGTAAAGCAGTCAATTTCACCTGTGCTTTTAGCCACAGGGGTTTTCTTCATAACCCATTATTTGAAAGTCCCATATGTTCAGTTGAAAGAGTTGCTCAAGGGCTCTATGAAGCAAGGCTTGACAGGTCTGAAACCTGAGAGGAGAGAAAAGTGGCAAAGCACTGGGGTGGAGAGGAGCCATTTCATGGAAGAAGGACAACCCAGCTAGGTCTTGAAGGGTGAGTAAGATTCAAGTAAATGAGTAGAAGTAGAGAGGTTGTACCTAGAGCCCGAGCTAGGAATAAGGAAGAGAAATGGAGGGATAATATGTGAGCATCAGACTTATTTTCTTGAAGGCCTCAAATTGTCTGGTTTATATAAATGTTTACTTATTTATTATATATCTTTTGGAACCACATATGGACTACATGAGAGGCAGTGACCCTTTGATCTCAAATGTAGCTCAAGTACCCAGTGCAGTATGCACAGAAGGTTCTGTGGTATGGATGAAAGACTGAATATAGGGAACTGATGGGATTGTCATCTTGGGGTCAGATTGAAGGGAGCTGATCATAATCCCAAAAGACACAATCCAAATGCCATAATCCCAACTGTTGAAATACTGAAAGATCAAAATCTCAAAAATATAATTCTGAAAAAAAAATTGCAAAATTATTTTAAAAATGTGTATTTACTTGGGAGGCTGAAGCAAGCGGATCACAAGATCAGGAGTTAGAAATCAGCCTGGACAGCGTGGGGAAACCCCGTCTCTACTAAAAATATAAAAATTAGCCGGGCGTGGTGGCATGCCTGTAGTCCGAGCTACTTGGGAGGCTGAGGCAGGAGAATCACTTGAACCCAGGAGGCAGAGGTTGCAGTGAGCCAAGATTATACCACTGCACTCAAGCCCGGGCAAGAAAGCGAGAATCCATCTCAAAAAAAGAAAAAAGAATGTATTTATACTTTAAAAGGGGAATTTATCTGAGAAAAACAAAAACATGACAGAGCACTTCACAGACTACTTTGCACAATAAAATAGGTGATAATAGCATTCATGTTTTTGCAGGATAAACAGGTGTGCTAACAACAGTCACACTGGTTTAACAATTATGAGCAGATGAACCATATTCATGAAGAAATAGGTCAAAAAGGGAAATGTATAAGCACATATCATGGTAATCATGTGCACCCAGCTTCTAACTTCAGTCATCTGAGATACTGTGACAAACTGTCTTTTAAAGAAGTCTATCATGAACCTTGGTGGGTCACTGCATATGCAGTTGCCCAAAGAGCTGATATCTTGAGAAATTATATTTTTCACAAATACAAATGTACGAAAAGGACATCTCTTCATTTATTAAGGAAGTTTCAGTGTTTTTAGGTATGTACATAATGCTTACACACAAAGTCAACGTTAGCCTAGTGCACTTCCATGTAGTCAAATTTACAAAAAAAAAATGCAGAAAGTGAATTAGAACTCTTTAAAAGTCTCAACACAATGTATACCTACAGCATTGGAAATGATGCAAAGGTGAAATACATAGCATATTGAATAGTAAAACATGCTGACAATTTAAAATAATAGTGAAAAAACTTAAAAGAGTAAAAAAGAAAAAACTACAAACATTTGACATATAAAAAATAAAAAAATCATACTACAAGGATAGATTATGGGTAGATGCACAGAGGTAGTCTATAAGAGACTTTAGGGATTTTGATCTTTCAAGATTTCAACATTTGGGATTTGGAATAATCCAAACCCAGATTGAGGGCCCAGGAACATCAGGATTTAAGGGTTGGAATCAATCTGTATAAAGGTTGTTGAATAGAGAGGTGAACAAATTCTATTGATATTTTATAATGGTTAATATGACAGTGGGGTCCTGATGGATTTTGATGGGTAGAAAGAAACATAGTAATTATGGAAGACTTAAGAGTCCTTTGTAATAATTCAAGTGTGGGGTGATAACGATAGGTATTCTGGTGATGATGTTAAGAACAATACAGAAGTGTTTGATATAGAAAATCTCACAGAGGCAGAGTTAATGAGATCCCATAACTGGCAAGAGTACATTGAAGAGTCCATTGGATCATCTTCATCATTTTCTACTTGCAGCTCATCTCCAGATTTAGACTGCTGACTGTGATGAGAATCTGGGTAGCTATTCAAAAGCTGTTTTAGGCTTTGGGGCTTCCACACAGATGGAATCCTAAACTAATCTTTTTTATTACTCCAAAACCTGGAACTTTTTCCAGGTTTGTCCTTTTGATGTGAAAAATACTGTAGACTAGTAGCACTTATTTTGGATTTGGGTCTTCATTTTAGAATGAGATCACAGAATGAGACTGCCTACTATCTCGCGGTCGCCATACTGAAATAGGGAGTGATGAAAACTCTTGAGAAATCAAAGTGGGCCATTCTCTGCCATTTCTGTTTTGCTCTGGTTGCTTCAAAATTCACAGGTTTCTTTTTGTATGTTGTCTTCCTTCTTCCATGTGTCTTTACCTTGATACAGCAGGTGGTTTATTTTTTTTCCTGTTTTCCTTTTTCACTGCTATTTTTGTTCCTGTTTTTGTTTCACTTTCTAAGAGTTGCTGGGAATAATCCTCATTTTCACTATTTTAAATAGGTGCTTCATTTACCATAATTTTATGTAGTGTATGATATAAAACCTTACCACCTTGTTCAGTTCAAAATTAAACCTCTCAGTACAAAAGAAGGATTCAAAAGAATTTCTAAGGCATGTGGGAAGGATTGAAGTGAGGAAAACAGACTTTTTCCTGAGGCAATGTCAAACTCTGAAGCCAGCCTCTGGACTCTCTTGAAATTGTTAGCTAGCTATGGGATGAAGTTTGATATCTGATATTTCTTAATAATTAAATTCAGTTACTATATCAGTAGCAGATAGTCCCACATGTATGCCAATTTCTTCCCACCATCAGGTATTTTAATTTTTATTCATATTTTTGTAGGTTTCACAACAATGGAGCACCCTAGACTTGAACATTACATCTGGGTAATTAGCTATGAAAGGATTAGAGAAAAGAGGCTGTGTTGTAGAGCTCCCAAATGAACATTTGCTAGAGACACTTTTTGATGTGAATCTGGAGCCTTCTGTATAAGGCGTCAATGACTTCACAGAGAAACCAGTGAATAAAATTATTGCTATTTCTTTGTTGTTCACCATGGCCTTAAGATTGGGCCAAAAGCTTTATATACAATGTTTGTTTTACTGCTTTTAAGTCTCTGTATGGAAAATATAATTATTCATCCCATTTTATATTTGGGGACAATAAGTATACTTGGTCAACTGTTCTTTCCATCTCCTCCCTCATTTCTTTTACGTTTTTCTGGATCGTCACGTGACTGAAACCAATTAATTACATTCAAATTAAGATGTGTGGCTTAATGTGACCTCTTTTTGATAATATTTTGGCTTCAACTGCCTGAGCTGGCATCTAAGATTAAGGTGCCACGTGGCAAACTCTTTCCTATCCTTTAGGACCAATTTCTGATGTCACTGATTCTGTGAAGCCCTCTTGGATTGGAAACCTCAGAGTATAATCATTTACCCATTTCCCCCTCTTCTCAGTTACTTACCTCTATAACCCCAGCCCTATATTCTTATTATTGGGATGGAAGGACGATTGAGCAACAAAAATATTCCTGCTGTTAGTAATGAGGCCCAAATCCCAGGGAATATTAAATTTATCTTTATCTTTAGGATCAAAATTTCTATTAAAACTCAGAGTCCAGGGTGGTAGAAATTTGGGAGTGACTTCTTTGGCCTAGTCAACTTGTCCACAAGTGCCTTTCTCTGTTGTGGAGTTTTCACTTTTGACTCATGGGGTATATCATATGATAATTCCTGCCCTTACACACACACTGTACTAGGTCGAGAATCTCCTTCTTCTCCTCTCCAATAGTCTTGAAATCTTCATTTACTCTCATGACTCCTCAATACCACACCCCTAGATAATCTCTCCTTTCTAAGAACTTATCTGCCTGGAAATCCCATCTCCCTTGGTGTCTGACACTACTGTGTACTCAGGCACTCCCGGCAAGGTCGGTTTCTGCTCCTGGACAGAGGATTGGCTGTGGAGGTTGGAAACAAGGGAGAAGCGTTGAGTTCTAATATGGATTCTGAGGGTTCTGTTTTAGGCTTTAGAGAAGAGCATCTACAGGGCAATTAATCTTTCAATCTTACAAAGATTGACTTCTCACTGTCACTTTAACTTTACTTTCTTATGTTACACATCTGGCAGTCTTTTCATAACTTATGTTACAAACAATAACAAAAAGAATCCCTTCTTTTTGTTATCTTGTTGTAGGTGAGTAACCAAATCTAGGGAAGGTGGTAGAAGAGAAACTTTTCTGGCCTTATCTCTCTTGGAGCACTTTGCTGTACTACAGTTTGCTTATTTTTTTATTGAAAATTTTATTAAGATAATTGTGAATTCCCATGCAGTTGTCAGAAATAATACAACGCCGGGTGTGGTGGCTTATGTCTGTAATCCCAGCATTTTGAGAGGCCAAGGTGGGTGGATCACCTGAGGTCAGAAGTTTGAGACAAGCCTGGCCAACATGATGAAACCCCGTCTCTACTAACAGTACAAAATTCGCCGGATGTGGTGAGGCTCACCTGTAATCCCAGCTACTCAGGAGGCTGAGGCAGGAGAATCACTTGAACTTGGGAGGCAGAGGTTGCAGTGAGTTGAGATTGCACCACTGCAGTCCAGCCTGGGCAACAAAGTAAGACTGTCTCAAAAAAAAAAATATATATATATATATATTTATTTATATATATATTTATATTTATATATATATTTATATTTATATATATTTATATTTATATATTTTTATATATACACACAGTATATATACACACACATATTTATATACACACACACATATATATACACACACATATATATGCGTGTGTGTGTGTATGTATATATATATAGAAAGTTCCCTTGCATACTTTGCTCAGTTTTCCTTAATGGTATTATTTTGCTAAACTAGTATAATTTTACAAACTGGATATTAATATTGATGGAATCTACCAATTTTATTCAGGTTTTTGCAGTTTTACTTACACTTATTTGTGTGTATATGTTAAGTTCTATACAATTTTATCACTGTGTAGGTTCATGCATCACCACCATAGCCAAAATACTAAACAATTCCAACCTCACAACAGTTCTTCATGTTGCCTTTTGTGCTAGGCTGTTATTGCATTGGTATAAAGAAATAGCTGAGACTGGGTAATTTGTAAAAAAAAAAAAAAAAAAAGAAAAGTTTAATTGGCTCACAGTTCTGCAGGCTATATAGGTAGCATGTCACTGAACATGGTGGAAGGCAAAGGGGGAGGAGGCACATCACATGGTGAGAGAGGGAGCAAGAGAGAAAGAAAGAGTGAAGGCAAGATGCCACACACCTCTCTAAACAACCAGATCTCTTGGGTATTCACTGTTGTGAGGACAGCACTGAGCCACGAGGGATCTGCCCCGCATGACCCAAATCCCTCCCACCAGGCCCCACCTCCAATACTGATGATCACATTCAACATGAGACTTAGTGGGGACATATAATCAAACCATATCATTCCATCCCTGATTCCCCAAAGCTTATGTCCTTTTCATATTGCAAAATATAATCATGCCTTCCTAACAGTCCACCAAAGCTTAACTCATTCCAGCATTAACTCAAAAGTTCCGAGCCCAAAGTCTCATCTGGAGACGAGTTCCTTCCATCTGTGAGCCTGTAAAATCAAAACAAGTATTTACTTCCAGGATACAATGAGGGTAAAGACATTGGGTAAACATTCCCATTCCAAAATGGAGAAATAGCCAAAAGAAAGGGGCTACAGGCTCCATGAGAGTTCAAAACCGGGGATGGCAGTAACTAAATCTTAAAGCTCTGAAATAGTCTTCTTTGACTCCATGTCCCCCATCCAGGGCACAATTCTGCAAGAGGTGGGCCCCTAAGGTCTTGGGCAGCTCCACACCTATGCCTTTACATATTTTAGCTTCCACAGCTGCTCTCACAGATTGTTGAGTACCTGCAGCTTTTCCAGGCACAAGGTGAAAGCTGCTGGTGGATCTACCATTTTGGAATATGGAGGACCGTGGCCTCATTCCCACAGCTCCACTACACAGTGCCCACTGTGTGGGGCCTTCAGCCCCACATTTTTTCTTTGTACTGCCCTAGTAGAGGATTTCTGTGAGCACTCTGCCCCTGCAGCAGGCTTCTGCCTGGACACCCAGGCTTTCTGATACATCCTCTGAAATCTAGGCAGAGGCTGCCATGTCTCCTTCATGCTTTCACTCTGTATGCCTACAGGCTTAATACCACATAGGAGCCACCAAGGCTTACAGCTTGCACCCTCTAAAGCAGTTGCCTGAGTTGTATCTCAGGCTCTTTGAGCCATGGCTGGAGCTGAAAGCAGCAGGGATGCAGACATCAGCCTCCTGGGGTGGTGGAGTGCAGTGGCACCCCAGGCCTGGCCCATGAAATCATCTAGTCCTCTTAGGTCTCTGGGCTTGTGATTTGGGCTGTCTGGAAGATCTGTGAAGTGCCTTCTAGGCCTTTTTCCCATTGTCTTGGCTAATTGCACTTGCCTCCTTTTTAGGTATACAAATTTCTGTGGCAAGTAAGTCACCCTGCTTTAATTTATGCCTTGAAAACTTGCTTTTCTTTTCCATAATATGGCAAGGCTGCAGATTTTCCAAACATTTTTTGATCTGCTTCCTGTTTAAATGTAAAGTCTAACTTTGTTGTTTCATTGCTCCCACATCTGAGCATAAGCTATTAAAAGCAGCCAGGCCATTTCTTGAATGCTTTGCTGCTTAGAAATTTCCTTCTGTAGATACCCTAAATAATCCATTTGAAGCCCAAACTTCCACAGATCCCTAGGGCATGAACACAATGCAGCCCAGTTCTTTGCTATGGCATAAAATGGGTGACCTTTGTTGTAATTTCCAATAAGTTCCTCATTTCCATCTGAAACCTCATCAGCCTGGTTTTCACTGTCGATATTTATATCAATATTTTAGTCACAATCCTTTAACCAGTCTTTAAAAATTCCAAACTTTCCCCATCTCCTATCTTCTTCTGAGTCCCCCAAACTCTTTCAATCTCTGCCTGTTACCCAGTTCCAAAGTCACCTATACGTTTTCACTATTTTAATAGCAATACCATACTCCTGGTACCAATTTTATGTGTTAGGCCATTCCTGCATTGCTATAAATAAATACCTGATCATGGGTCATTTATAAAGAAAATAGGTTTCATTGGCTCATGGTTCTATAGGCTGTACAGGAGGCATTGTGCCAGGCATCTGTTTAGCTTCTGGTGAGGGCCTCAGGAAGCATACAATTATGGTGGAAGGTAAAGAGGGAGAAGGCATCTTATGTGCTGAGAGAGGCAGTAAGAGAGAGAGAGTAGTGAGGAGATGCCATACACCTCTAAACAAACTTATCTCATGAGTAGTCACTCACTGTTATGAGGACGCACTCACTATCATGAGGACAGCACCACGCCATGAGGGATCTGCCCTCATGATGCAAACCCTCCCACCAGGGCCCACCTCCAACACTGGGGATCACAATTCAACATGAGATTTGGTGTAGACATATATTCAAACCATAGCACTTTTTTTTTCTTTGAGACAGGGTCTCACTCTGTCACCTAGGCTGAGTGCAGTGGCACGATCATAGTTCACTGCAGCATTGATCTCCCTGGAATAAGCAATTCCTCCTGCCTCAGCCTCCTGAGTAGCTGGGACTACAGGTGCATGCTACCACGTGCAACTAATGTTTTGATTTTTACATTAAACACCAAGTCTCGCTATGTTGTCCAGGCTGGTTTCAAACTCTTGTGCTCAAGCAATCCTGCCTTAGCCCCCACAAAGTGCCAGGATTACAGACATGAGCCACTGTGCCCAACCATGTTCCCTTTTTATAAATATTCCCACCTCTTTTCTCTGTAAGGGCAAAGGGAAAACTTTCACTTAACTCTCTGAAAGTTTGTTGCAAATCAACTGACAAAAGGAAGAATAATAAGGAGAAAAATCATACAAATTTATTAATGTGCACGGAGGATACAAAAATCACAGAGTGATTGCCCCACTATGCAAATGGGGTACAGATGATTATATGTCCTTCTTCTTACGGGAAAGGGGGATAGGGAAATGTGAGTAATTTTAGAGATATAGTAAATGATTTTAGGGGTATTTAATGGGCTTGATAAACATACATTTGCCTGAGACAAAGTCTGTTGGGCTTGTAGAGCAGGCAGTGATTTATGACAAATGACTGTCCAGGTGTGTTAACAGATGTCAGCCTTAATTTTTTCAATCTGAGTTTAATTAATGAAAAATCAGAAAAGGGACCAGAAGTACTTGATTTTTTCTTTGGTGGGTCCAGATCTTAGGCAGATAAGAGAACTTCAGAGAACAATTTCATCCTGTGCTTTGGTAAGGAGGGTTGAGAGACAGGAGTGTGTGTGTGTGTAGGCTGGTGGGCGGGGGGGTCCAGGGGGTGGGGGTAGTGGTGGGGAAGTCAGAGAAACCTTGAGACTTCCTCAGTTCTGTATGTCAAAGTGCCATATTTTGGAGTATCTGTTTCTGAGCCCCAGTGCCTCTCAGCCCCTTACCCTCTATACCTTACCACTAACCTGTCTTCCATTTCTAAAAATTTGATCACTTCAATAGTGTTCTATAACTCAAATCATACAGTATTTAATATTTTGTGATTGGCTTTAACTCCACATAATCCTCTGCAGATTCAACCAAGTTGTTGCATATATCAGTAGCCTGTTCCTTTGTATAGTGGAATAGAATTTCATGGTATATACCACAGTTTGCTTAAACATTCATTTCTTGAATGACATCTGGCCTGATTTCAATTTTAGCTATTACAATTACAAGTACAATGAATATTCGTGTTCTAGTTTTTGTGTGAAGATAAATAAGATAAATCTTTATTTCTCTGAAATACATCAGGATCGCATAAATTGGATAAACGTCCAGGAGCACAGTTGCTGGGTCATATGGTAGTTGCATGTTTAATTTTTTTTGCAAAACTTCAAAACTGTTTTCCCAAAGTGGCTGTGCTATTTTATAATTCTGCCAGTATGTATATGTGATCCAGTTCTTTGTCATCCTTGCTAGCATTTGATGTTGTCGCTAATTTTTTTTTTAATTTTAGCCATCCTGAAAGGTATGTAGTGGTATCTCATTGTAGTTTTAATTTGCATTTTCCTAATGGCTAATGATATTGAACATCTTTTCATATGCTTATCTGCTATCTGTATATCTTCTCTGGTGAAATGTCTGTTTATGTCTTTTGCCCATTCTCTAATTGAATTGTCTTTTTTTTAAATTGTTGAGTTGTGAGACTTCTGTATATATTCAAGATACTAGTTTCATTGGATTGTTGTTTGCAAATATTTTCTCTCAGTTTATGCCTTGTCTTTTCATCCTCTTTGCTTGGAATTTCACAGAGCTGAAGTTTTAAATTTTGATGACATTAAATTTATCATTTTTTTCCTTTTTTTTTTTCTTTTTTTTGGAGTTTCGCTCTTGTTGTCCAGGCTGGAGTGCAATGGCGTGATCTCGGCTCACTGCAGCCTCCGCCTCCCAGGTCCAAGTGATTCTCCCACCACAGCCTCCCGAGTAGCTGGGATTACAGGCATGCGCCACCATGCCTGGCTAATTCTTGTATTTTTAGTAGAGGCAGGGTTTCTCCGTGTTGGTCAGGTTGGTCTCGAACTCCTGACCTCAGGTGATCTGCCCGCCTCAACATCCCAAAGTGCTGGAATTACAGGTATGAGCCACTGCACCCGGCCCATTTTTTTTTTTTTTTCCTTTTATGGCTTGTACTTTTGGTATCACATTTAAAGACTCTTTTCCAAGGCCTAGACCTTAAAGGTTTTCTCCTTTTTTCCTAAAAATTTTACAGTTTATATTTTTCATTTGTCTATTTCTTTGAGCTAGTTTTTGTGTAAAGTGTGAGCTTTAGATCAGGTTTTTTTTTTGTTTTGTTTTTGTTTTTTGTTTGTTTGTTTGTTTGTTTTCTTTTTTTGCCTGTCAATGTCCCGTTGCTCCAGTAACATTTGTTGAATGGGCATTCTTCAGTACCTTTATCACAAATCAATGGAGTGTATTTGTGTGGATCTATTTCTAGGTCTTCTGACTGTACCATTGATCTATGTGCCTATCTCCCCAACAATATCACATTGCTATGATTACTTAGCCATACAGTAAACCTTAATATGATGTAGAATAATTCCTCCTCCATTTTTCTTTGTAAAGATTGCTTCAAATAGTCAAGAACATATGTCTTTTCAATTAAATTTAGAATAAGCTTGTCTGTGTCTACAAAAATTTTGCTTGGAATTTGACAGGCATTGCATCAAACTTGTAGTTCAATTTGGGGAGATTTGACACATTTATTATGATAAATAGTCCATTCTATGGATGCGGTATGTTTTCCTATATAGGTACGACTTCTTTAATTTTTTCAACAGCACTTTATAATTTTTAGTATATAAGTACTATGCATAGTTTATAAAGTTTATGCCACAGTATTTCATTTTCTTATGAATGACTATAGATGGTGTTATTGCTTAATTTCAGTTTCTGCATGTTCATTGTTGGTATATAGAAATGGGATTAATTTTTTGGTTTTGATCTTATAATCTCTCATCCAAGTACCAACCAGGCTAGATCCTGCTTAGCTCCCGAAATCATAAGAGATCAGGCATGTTCAGTGTGGGGTGGCCTTAGAAATGTTTATCTTATAATCTGTGAACTTGATGAACTCATATATTCTAAGATTTTTTTTTGTGTGGATTCTTTGGGATTTTCTATGTAGACAGTGAAGTCCTCTGTAAATAGAGACAGTATTATCTCTTTCTCTTCGTTATGTCTGCTCTTTATTTTACTTGCCTTGTTGTGCTGACTAGGATTTCCAGTACCATGTTTAACAAGACTGGTGATAGTTGAAATCCTTATCTTATTCCTGATCTTAGAGAAAAAGCATTTATGTTTTCATTAAGTATGGTGTTAGATACAGGTTTTTCCGTGGATTCCTTTTATCAGTTGAAGTGATTTCCCTCTATCCTAACTTGCTGTGAATTTTATCATGAATGGATGTCACATTTGGACAAGTGCTTTTTATATGTCAATTGGTATTATCAAATGATTTTTCTTCATTCGCTTGTTGATATGATGGATTACACAGATTAATTTTTGAATGTTGAACCTACCTTGCATACCTGGAATAAATCTCAAAAATCAATTGGTCATGATGTGTAATTCTTTTTACATATTGTTGGAGTTGGTTTACTAATTTTTTTTTTGAGAATTTTTGCCTCTAAGTTCATGAGAGATACTTGTCTGTAGCTTTCATTCTTTTTGTTGTTGTTGTTGTTGTTGTTCTGTCTCTATCTGGTTTTGATATCAGGGTAATACTGGACTGATGCGGTTTCAATATGTGTCCCCTCTAAATCTCATGTTGAACTGTAACCCCCAGTGCTGGAGGTGTGGCCTGGTGGGAGGTGTTTGGGTTATGGGGGACGATCCCTCATGGCTAGGTGCTGTCCTCGTGATAGTGAGTTGTCAGGAGATCTGGTTGTTTTACAGTGTGGCACCTCTCCCCACTCCCCTCTCCCTCTTCCTCTGGCTTTTGCCATGTGAAGTGCCTGCTCCCACTCTGCTTTCTGCTGTGAGTAAAAGCTCCCTGAGGCCACCCCAGAAGCTGAGAAGATGCCAGTGCCATGCATGTACAGCCTGCAGAACTGTGAGCCAATTAAACCTCTTTTCTTTATAAATTACCCAGTTTCAGGTATCTCTTTATAGCAGTGCAAGAATAGACTAATACATGGACTCATAAGATAAGTTGAAAAGTAGTCTATTTTCTATTTTCTGAAAGATATTGTGTAAAATTACTATTCTTTAAATATGTGGTAGAATTCTCCAGTGACACTATCTGGGCCTGGAGATACCCTTTTTAGGGGCTTGGGTTGCAGGGAAGGTGATTGCCAGGTGATCCAGGGTTTCTTTATGGGGTAATGAAACTATTTTAAAATTGCTTGTGGTGTTGGAAAATTCACTCTAAATATACTAATACACTAATAGCCATTGGGCCCTGCACTTTAAGATGGTAAAACATTAAATTATTTGTTTCCATTTGTTTCCCATGTTTGTCTCTTCTTGTTTTCCTACAAGATACTTGAACGTTTTAAAAGGATTCCACCTTTACTTATACTGTGTTTGGGTGTATCTTTTTCTATAGTTTTCATAGTGGTTTCTCTGGCAAAAATAAACTTATGACAGTGTACTGTTATTAACATTTTATCACTTCAGGCAAGGTACGAAAACCTCTATTTTGGTCATTGTAACTTTCCCATTTGAAATAACATTGTCTTATATAGCAGAATGCTGTAATTTTAAAAAATAATCAAATATGATGTATACAATTTTGGGAAAAGGATAGTCTACTGTCTGTCCTGCATTTCTGCTCTTTTCCTTTTTCCTTCTTCCTTCCTGATACTTCTGTAACCAAACCCAGGTTCTACTGTTCACCACTTGCGAAGACAAATAACAGGTATGAGTGCAGTGGGAGGGCAGTGACTTATTGCAGAGCTAGCAGTAGAGAAATGGCAAAGGCTCTATGCCTTAAAGAAGCCATTTCAAATGTTGGACAAAATGCAAGAGTTTAAGAAGCAGAAATTGGTTCTTAAGGGCACTCAGGAGTGGTGAGGGGTTACAAGGCTACATGACTTGTTCTGATGACTTGAGTTATTGTCCCATCTGGTGAATGGGCTGGCATCATACCAGGCACAGTCAGGTTGTAAATTAACTGCAGTCTTCAGATAACTGCCTAGTGGGGAAGAATTTCATAGGTGCCTGGATTGTTTCAAGATTTAGTCCCTGGAACTTCTAAGTAAGCATTCAATTAGATAAGGGAAACATGGTGCAAGGGGGTACCTGGTGGAAGGAAAGTAAGCAAAGGTTACCATTTTGCTATTAAGAAGCTAAACATAAAATAAACAAGGAAGGAAAAGAAAAGATATTTAAAAATAGGGTATTTGGTTACAACTCTCTGCTGGCAGCTAATTCCATTCTCTTCCTATGGATAGTGGATATGCATTCTGGCTACTTCCTGCTGAATGGGGTGTAGTTAAAGGACATTGGAATGGAACTGATTTACTTGGAGTTGAAAATATTTTCAAGTACCTGGGCTCATGAAGGAAGCCTGTTGGAGCATTGTAATACAAGGGTTGCAAGCCTCTGGGAAAGTCTATCTTGCATTCCCATGCAGAATATTTAACAGTAGTAGGATCCACAGCAAAGAAGTATGCCTATTCCTGCAATTATCATCAAGGTCACAAGTAACTTTTTCCACCAGGATGGTCCTGACCTGAATCAGAGTGCAAATCATTGATCTAGTGGAAATGTAGGGTCAGACGTGATGTGAATTTGTTTATGCATATTATTTAGGGCTAATGAGATATTTCCCAAGTTGTCTAGAATGTATTATATAACACTTGGTTTTAATGTAGGCAAAGGTGCCCCCTTGAACAGCCATTAGAATATCTAGTGCCAGCTGGGCACGGTGGCTCATACCTGTAATCCCAGCACTTTGGGAGGCTGAGGCGGGTGGATCACCTGAGGTCAGGAGTTCGAGACCAGCCTCGCCAACATGGTGAAATCCCATATCTGCTAAAAATACAAAAAATTAGCTGGGCATGGTGGCATGTGCCTGTAGTTCCAGCTACTCAGGAGGCTGTGGCAGGAGAATCGCTTGAACCTGAGAGGCAGAGGTTGCAGTGAGCCGAGATCGAGCCATTGCACTCCAGCCTGGGTGACAAGAGTGAAACTCCATCTCAAAAAAAAAAAAAAAAAAAAACTAGTTCCTTCTGATTTTGTAAAACAGCTTTATGCATGTGGTACATTTTGCCACTTATCAGAGATGTATACTGTCATTTAGAGCCCCTTGGGTGTAATTAGCAAGGGCTTCCATGTGCCAGATGACATCATCCAGACCCAGGGATGGAGGAACATAGAAGCTAGGTGATTGTACCAGCGAAAAATGTACTTGGTTCATCTTTTAACCATGTGAGGAAGATTAGCGTGTTATTCTGTAGTCTTTGTCCAGTGTCCCTGAGCCCAGGAGAGGCCCACTGTACAGTGTCCTGGCCATCCTGATGATAGCCAGGTTTATACCACAAAACCACTGAATTCCATTAGAAGCATACCAGTTAATGCCAGGTCACTGGGATCAGTCGCTTGCAGCCATCCCCCTTTCCCATAGAACTATGATATGTCAATGCTGTTCTGAGGGAATCCAGCCCATGACTCGAGTATCTGGCCATGGTTTGAGGGGCTATCTGACTTAAGTGTCCTGCTGATTTGTCATCCATATAAAGCTTTCCTAGATTTGAAGAAACCTGTTTTTATAGTGAGAGTTCTGGGGCCTTACTTCTTGGGCCATCATTTTTGTATCTAGTAGAGGAGGGGCCAGTGTGGTTACTGTTTCTTGTGTTACATTTATCGAGAAAGGCTTCCCAAGTCCAGAGTCATTGAGAGTCTTATTTATGGGCCATTGGGCTGTATCTTTTCCAGTTACACCTGACATCTATTCCCCTGTCCACTACTTAAGGTCTTCTGTGAAGACTTGCAAGTGTGGCCAGGCATTTTCCTGTGTAGGTGATACCCAGCAGGGCAGAGAAATAAGGGTTTGTTTGTTTGTTTGTTTGTTTGTTGAGACAAGGTCTTGCATTGTCACCCAGGCTAGAATGCAGTGGTGCAATCATGGCTCACTCCAGCTTCGACCACCTGGACTCAAGTGATCCCCCCACCTCAACCTTCTGAGTATCTGGGACCACAGATGTGCACTGCTATACTCGGCTAATTGTTTATTAATATTATTATTATCATTATTATTTATAAAGACAAAGTCTCACTATGTTGCCCAGCCTGCAAGTGTTTCATTCTATTCATTCTACAGGAAATTAAAAATAGGGCTTTACTTATTTGTGGTTTTTCTTAAGTAGTATTTTAATCTCTTCTTTTGGCTCACATGTCCAAGCAGCCTCCTCTGTGGGGTCAAGCTAGGGTGAAGCCACCTTTATTTCAGAGTGGTGGACCCATGGTTTCGTTCTGGACAGGTTGACTGATGAATGAGAGGTCAGCATCTCATCATGGGATCCAGTCCATTTTTCAGCCAGTTGTTGATTTGGTCCTTGATTTTTCCAGGACTTTAATGGCACCTTGTCCCCTGGATGGAACAGGTAAAGAAGCTCATCTGTGGAGTAGGCAGACCTGGAAAGAGCAAATTGCCACATAGTAATGTCTGTTCTAATTATTGTACATATTATTTAACCCTGGACTCACTGAACAGATTCAAAGGTGGGATCCCTGGCAAAGGGGTCTGGAATGGTCTCCCATATGTAATTTTAAAGAGGCTCAATACAAGCCCACTTCATGGTTCTACTCTGATTTGGAGCAAGGCAACAGGCAAAATCTTATCCCAACTCAGATTGCCTTCCTGGCAGAGTTTGGCCATCATATTCTTTAAGGTGTAGTTCATCTTCTCTGTTTTCCCCATCGATTGCAGTCTCCATGACAAATGCAATTTTTATTAAATCTGTAATGCTTGACTTACCTTCTGGATAACTTCTGAAATAAAGGAAGAGCCGTTGTCATTTTGTATAGTGAATGGGTGTCCAAACCTGGAAATGACTTCCTTCAGTAATGCTTTGGCTACCTCTGTAACTCTCTCAAATTTAGCAAGATATGCCTCGACCCATCCCCAACAGGTGTCCACAAATACCAAAAGAAACCTATAATTCTTACTGGCCTTGGGTATTTGAGTGAGACTTGAGTGAAGTAAACCTGTTTGTCCTCAAAATGGCATAGCCTTTGTATTGCACACCCCTAGTGGGTGGGAGGGTAGTGATTTAAGTTTTGGGATTATTCTTACTGCATAAAACATGTCCTTGCATTATTTTCTGAATAGTCTTCTGGAGGTGTGGTCCCCTGAGGTAAGTCCATATTAGGTTGGCAAGAGTATCTCTCCTATAGTGTGTTCCCTTATGTAGATGTTTTAAAATCGGATAAACCAGGGCCTCAGGGAGCGAAATTATTCCATAGGCATCAGTTTTCCACAGTTAATCTGGGTCTGTTTTACTAAAGCCCCAGACCCTGGGGCACTTTTCATCTTTCTCAGTGGAATGGAGTTTAAAATCTGACAAATCCAAATGAATATGAAGGTCCCTGACATCTCTGCTTCCCAAGTGGACCACTTTGCAGCCATATGAGCTGTTCGATTTGCTTTGGCTTTTTGTGAGTCATCTTTCTGGTGTCCAGGAGGGTGCATGATGGAGGCCTGGGTAGGCACAGAAACTGCTCCTAACAGGGCTAAAATTCCCACTGGGTGTTTAATGTCCTTATTTCCTGATGTTAGGAGCTCTCTCTTTTTCCAGATGGCTCTGTGAGCATACACTACTATCGGGAGAACCAGCCTCCAATATTTCAACATAGGTTGCTTTCTATTTTCCCTAAGTGTCAGCTGGTCTGAGAAATAAAGAGAAAGAGTACAAAGAGAAGAATTTTACAGCTGGGCCTCCAGGGGTGCCATTACATATTGGTAGGACTGTGATGGCGACCTCGAGCTGCAAAACTAGCAAATTTTTATTAGGGATTTTGAAAGGGGAGGGGGTGTTACATGCTTCAAAGGGCAATAAAAGATCACAAGGCAAAGGGCAGAGCAAGATCACAAGGCAAGGGCAAAATTAGAATTACTGATAAAGGTCCATGTCCCACTGGGCACACATTGTCTTGATAAACATCTTAACAGGAAACAGGGTTTGAGAGCAGACAACCGGTCTGACTAGAATTCACCAGGCTGGAATTTCCCAATCCTAGTAAGCCTGAGGGCACTGCAGGAGACCAGGGTGTATTTCATCCCTTATCTCAACCGCATAAGACAGACACTCCCAGAGCTGTCGTTTATAGACCTACCCCTGGGAATGCATTCCTTCCCCAGGGTTATCAATTATTAATATTCCTTGCTGGGAAAAGAATTCAGTGATATTTCTCCTACTCACACGTCTGTTTATAGGCTCCCTGCCAGAAGAAAAATATGGCTGTATTCTTCCCGACCCCGCAGGCAGTCAGACCTTATGGTTATTTTTCCTTGTTCCCTAAAAATTGCTGTTATTCTGTTCTTTTTCAGGGTGCCCTGATTTGTTTGATTGTTCAAACACACGTTTTGCAAACAATTTGTACAGTTAATGCAATCATCACAGGGTCCTGAGGTGACATACATCCTCAGCTTACGAAGATGATGGGATTAAGAGATTAAAGACAGGCACAGGAAATTATAAGAGTATTGATTGGTGAAGTGATAAATGTCCATGAAATCTTCACAATTTATGTTCAGAGATTGCAGTAAACATAGGTGTAAGAAATTATAAAAGTTTTAATTTTGGGAACTAATAAATGTCCATGAAATCTTCACAATTTATGTTCTTCTGCCGTGGCTTCAGCCGGTCCCTCTGTTCAGGGACCCTGCCTTCCCACAACACACTACCATGAAGGCATATTTGCAGTCAGTGTAAATGTTTATTCACTTTCCTTGGGACAGCTCTAGGGCCCTGGTTAGGCCAGGTAGCTCAGCCCTCTGTGCAGCAGTACTGTCAGAGCATGAGTTTCTATTAACCTGTCAGTAGTCACCGCAGCATACCCAGTTCTGTGTTTTCCACCTTCCATGAAAGTACTCCTGTCAAGGTATAGCTTCCAATCTGGAGTATTCATTGGCTGATCTGACAGGTCCAGCCTCCTGGAATAGACTGCACTAAAGATTTCCAAACAGTCATGCTATCACCCAAGGTTGGGTTCCATGGCTGGAAACAGTGTAACAGGGTTTAAAGTGATAGTGGTTTGTAAGTTAATGTTTGCATCATCAAAGAAGATGGTCTGGTATTCGCCCATTCACCCTGCAATGAGCCAGTAGCCTCCTTTTGTTCCAGCAAAGTCAATACCTCATGAGGCATGAACACAGTGACCAATTGTCCCAGGCTAAATTTTTATGCTTCCTGTAGGATTTCACAGGTGGCTGCCACTGCCTAAAGGCAGGGGGCCACCCCTTGGTTGTTCAGTCCAACTGTTTGGAGAAATAGGCTATGAGTTGCAGGGTGTCTCCAAGCATTTGGAGAAGCACATCCAGATCTATGCCTTGTTTCCCATGGACATAGAGCATGCATGGCTTCTGGGGGTCCAGCAATCCCAACACTCAGGCTGTTATCAGTGTTTCTTTGATGACATCAAATGCCTGTTGACATTCATTTGTCCAGGACAGGAGTTCTGAGTATAGTTCCTGTAAATCTTCATAGAATACTTTAGCCATTAACCCAAAACTAGGGATTCAAATCTAGCAGAAGCCAGCTATTTCTGAGTCCTTGCAAATACCTTCTATTCTCTGGAGCTTTGATGGCCAACTTTCTGTCAGTCGTTAGGCTCCTTTTGCCCTGCTTCAACCTGAAGCTGAGAAAGGTTACTTTTTGTTTGAAGATTTGGGCCTTCTGCAGAGACACATTATATCCACATTGGGCCAGGTGATTTAGGACTAGAATCATGTTGGACATTCATTTTTCATAATCAAGGCTTGCTATTGGTAAGTCATCTACATATCATAGCAGAACTCCTTTATCTAGTTGTAAGCTTCTCAAGTTCTTTGCCAATATTTCCTCAAAGATAGTGTGCCAATTTTTGAACCCTTGAGGCAACACCATCAAACAATATTAGAAGGTTGTTTTGGTCTCTAAGGTTCTGTCTACCCAAATGCAATTACTTACCCTTTTGTAGATTTCCAAAGGAAAGGCTTTATCTTCCTTCTTCTCAGGGTGAGTGAGTAGTATTTGTAGCTGTAGTGCTTGTTCCAGCAGGACCTGTAAGTGTAATTGCTGCTTCTCAGGCAGAAAGTTACTTGAGCATTTAATTTATAGCAGGTCATATCCCAGTGGAGGGATTGGGCATTCTGACATATAGAGAAAGCTGTTTCTTTAGTTCCAGGCCTCCCAGTTTTCACTCTAGAGGTTGTGAGAAAGTTTTATTGTTCTTACAACTCCTGTTATAGGTACTGCCATTTGGTGCTTTGTGCTTCTGTTGTGTTAAGAACTGAGTAAGTGGCATCTGTATTGACCAGGAAATTGATTAGCTTGTTCCCCACTGTCAGTTGTACCTGGGGCTCCTGTGGGGAAATTTTAATTGGCTCGGAGAGATTTAAGGGAGCCTCCAGATATCTCTGTTCATCATCAAGGCCACAACCTTGTCCCATTATTTGCCTGTGTCCTCTATCCTGAGTGGATTCAGCTTTTCTCTGGCCCTCTGGGCCCTTTAATTTTGGGCAGCTGTCTTTCCAATGGCCTTCCTTTCTACAATAGGCCCATTGTTTGCTACCCAGAGTCATGTGCTGGTTTCTCAGAGGCTTTCCTGCCCATACCACATATGTAGTGGTGGGCTTTTGATTCTTTTCCTCCCTGCCATTGTATACTTTGGAAGCAACATCCATTAACTGGGAAGAGGCCATTCCCAGTGCAGCACCCTGTTTTTTTAACTTTCTCTTTATATTGAGATCACTCTACCGAATGAAAGTCATGTTCAGTAGTCTTGAATTCTTCAGATCATCTGGATTTTTACCAGTATATCTATGGAAGATTTGGTAAATATGTTCTAAGAATTCAGAGGGATCCTCATTCATCTTTTGGAGGACTGTCTGAACTCTGTTTAAACTCTCGTTTGGGCATTAGTCCTCTAACTCCTACCAGGATGCACATCAGTAACGTTCCAGGTGGGCCATGTCCCCAGTTTGATTGGGATCCCAATTTGGGTTTGTGCGTGGAGCAACTCCAGCAGGATCAGGATTATTATTTGGATTGGTCTCAGAGAGACCCTGAGATTCCTTATTTGCCTTCTCCATTACTAGTCTCCTTTCATCTGCAGTTAGCAGCCAGTTAATAGAGGCTCAAACATCTGCTTAAGTGGGCTGATGGGTGGCAAAAATACATTCAAAGAGGTCTGTCATTTTCTGAGGATCCTCTTTATAAGGTGGGTTGGAACTTTTCTGATTGAATAAAACAGGCATTGGAAATGGGTTGTAAGCCCAATAATGTCTGGCAGGCTGCTTGTTTTCATCTAAGCCACCCACGGATATTTGCCTAAGTGGGAATTGCCCTGCTCTGGTCATGGTATTGCTCTGTGCAAATCAGGTGCCCTACTGGGTCCTGGAGAGGGAGACCATTCCAGTTCCCTCATCATACTCTGGAAGGGCAGCAGCCCCTCCTTCTAGGTCTGGCTCCTTTTATGGTGGGGACAAAGCAGTTGAGACATTGGCCAGGGGGAGAGGCGGTACTGTGGTCATAGGCGGGGCTGCTGCTGCAGCCTTGGGAAGGGTTGCTGGAGCTGCTGCTGTGGCAGGATCTGTAAGGGGGAGGGTGGCCACAGGCTGAGCTGCAGCTGCAGGAACAGTCACTTCCAGAACAGCCAGATTCAGGGCATTTTAAAAGGGTGAGATCTTCCTCATCTTTTTCTTTCTGGATACAACTATCTGGAAGAATTTTCGTTCGGTCTTTCTGCACAGCTAAGAGTTGGTGCCCGCTCCCTTATCCTCCCATCCCAACTGGGATCCCGATTATGCAATAACATGAAAGCCTGGCATTATGGTATTTATTCTCATTTCCCAGTCCTTTGACAAAATAATTTTAGCTGGATTAGGGTCCAATACTGGGTACTTTCTTTCAGAAGCCAAAATTCATTATCATCTTCATGGTATAGAGTCCAGACAGTATTACAGTAACAAATCATCTTTCTCTTAGTCTTGGGCTCATAGCTGTAAGCCCTTCAGTTGCCCAGAATGTACCCCAAGGGGCTTCTGGGGAGGAAGGAGATAGAAATCTTGTTGCTTGGCTGGGCATGGTGACTTACACCTATACTCCCAGCACTTTGGGAGGCCGAGGCGGGCAGATCATGAGGTCAAGAGATCGAGACCATCCTGGCCAACATGGCGAAACCCCATCTCTACTAAAAATACAAAAATTAGCTGGGCGTGGTGGCACATGCCTGTAATCCCAGCTACTCAGGAGGCTGAGGCAGGAGAATCACCTGAACCTGGGAGGTGGAGGTTGCAGTGAGCCAGGTTCACACCACTGCACTCCAGCCTGAGTGAGACTCCATCTCAAAAAAAAAAGAAAGAAAGCAGTCCTTTTGCTTATTCTGACTTGGTTTCTGCACTTGTACTGTCTGACCTTGTTAAAACTGTGATGATTACTGTCCTTATTGCTTGGTGCTCTGCCTTTGTTCCACAAGCCACCTCCTGATACTAGACCCCTAGTTGTTGGATGGATCAGTCTGACTTTGCACAACCTGTGTAAAATAATGTTGTTTGCAATCCCAAGAGGTATGCCTACGCAAATCTCACCACATAGCCTATGCAGTTAGGGATATCAAAAAAGAGGTCCACGTGCAGGGGAGGGGAGATGGAAAATGACATCTGTTAGTACCTCAGTCTTATTCCAAGTCCCGGTCTATCTATTTTGATAGAGATAACTGAAGGGCAACAAGTGAGATAGTGAATCAGGCAGACAAAAAGGGCAAAGAGATTGGAATTGGGGTTAGAGATTTATCCCAGATATTTTTAACCTTCTGCTCACATAGACAACAGTGAGTGTGGTAAGAAGGGTGGGAAGCTTGTTTTGACAACCTGCAGAAGTGTTCACACTCTTCTTTTCCCCACAGAGTCTGGAACGGTTATGAGAGGTACTTTGGGACTTTAGACAGGGTTACCCATTCATAAGCGCGGTGGAAACTGTTCCCCTCCAGGGCTGGATCCCTGGATTTCAGTGAGCAAGATAAGAAAAGGAAGAAAGAAAGAAGAAAGAAAAATAAGGGCCCAAGCATAAATGTTCCCTACTCACACGGTCGCTCCTAAACAAATTGTCACTCAAGTGGCTGGGTAAAGAGTCCCACAGCCTTGTCTCAATTTTTAATAGCTCCACAAGTAGCTGAGTCCTAATGGAACAAAGCTCAGGTGGTGCCACAAATACAAATAGTGTACAAGCCCAAACGATGTCACAAGCAGCTAATTCTAAGTAAAGCAGAGCTCAAGTGACATCCCAAAAGAGAAAAAGGAAAGCTGGGTGCAGTCCAGCTGACATTCTGAGTTCTGAAGCCCATTGACTTCCTCAGATTCCACTTTCCTTGTACCAGTGAAACATAGAAGGCAGCCAGTGCCATGGCAGGAAGAGAAGGGACATTGCCCAAGACAAGACAAGAATATCTCAGCAGCTTCAAGGAAGTTCCCCAGAGCCCCAGCTATGAGGTCAGCTAGCCACCAGCAGCTCAGGGGAGACCCTTTGCCCTGTCCAGTAACATGGATGGACAAGCCCTGGTGTCCTTCCATGGCCAACCACCAGGCTTAAACCACTAGGATGCACAGATCTCCCATATGGGCCACCAAACATTGTAGCCAAATGCAGGTTCAGCTGCCTGCTACTTACAATGACAAATAACAGGGATGAAATGTGGTGGAAGGAAAGTGACTTATTCCAGAGCTAGCAGTGGGGAAATGGCTGAGACTCCATGACTTAAGCCATTTCAAATTTTGGACAGAATTCAAGGACTTAAGAATGGGAGCTTGGTATGATGGGTATGCAGGAAGGGTGAGGAGATGCCCTTCTAGATGACTTGTTCCAATAACTTATATTGAGTCATTGCCCCATCTGGTGAATGGGCTGACACAATCCTTGGCCCAATCAGGTTGTAAATCAACTGCAGCCGTCAGGTAATCTCCTAGTTGGGGAGAATTCTATAGGTCCCTGGACTGTTTCAAGATTCAGTCCCTGGATTTTCTAAGCAAGCATAAAATCAAATAAGGGAAACATTGTGCCTGGTGGAAGGAAAGAAACCAGACTAGCCTTTATTTCTTAAGAAGCTAAACATAAAATAAGCAAGATAGGAAAAGAGAAAAAAATTAAAAATGGGTGCTTGGTTATACTTCCTCAAATTCCAAGATTCTTTTATTCTTTCCTTTTTGTTTGGAGAACTTCTTTTAGTAAATCTTTAAGGGGAGCTCTGCAGACAACACACTGTCTTAGTTTTCCTTCATCTGAGAATATTTTTATTTCCCTTTCCTTCCTCAAGGATATTTTTACCTGATATAGAATTCATAGTTGATAGATTTTTTTTTTCTTTCAGTGCTTGAAAAATGTGCTACTTTCTTTTGGCCTTCATGGTTTCAGATGAGAAATCTGTTATTTAAATTGGCTTTTCCCTGTATGGAATGCATCATTTCTCTCTGGCTGCTTTTAAGATTTTTTTTTTCGTTGTCTTTAGTTTTTCATGTTTAATTATTATATGTTTTGTTCTGGTTTTCTCTAGGTTTACCCTGTTTGGTATTCGCTGAACTTCATAGATCTGTAGTTTGTATCTTTCACCAAATTTGCAAAGTTTTTAGCTAATATATTTTTAAATACTCTCAGCATCTCTCTATTTCCCCTCTCCTTCTAGGAGTTCAACGATACAAAATTGAATCTTTTATTAGCACCCTTTTGTTATTGGTCTCTGGGGCACTGTTTATTTTATTTTATTTTTATTTTCCGGTCTATTCTTTCTGTGTTGTTAAGATTGGGTGAATTCTATTATTCAGTCCTCAAGTTCAGAGATTCTGTCCTTCATCTTCTCTGTTCAGCTATTGAGTCCATTTATAAAGTCTTTCATTTTTGTTATAGTATTTTTTTGTTCTATAATTTCCATTTGATTCTGCTTTATAGTGTTTCTTTGCTGAGATTTCCTGTTTTTTCATTTGTATTGAGAGAGTGTGTAATTAGTTGTTGAGACATTTCTTCAACACTTACTTTCATATCTTGTCAGATGATTAACATTCAATTCGTCTTGGTATTAGCATCAGTTGATTATCTTTTCTTATTCAAGTTGTGATTGCCTTGGTTCTTGGTATGATGAGTAATTTTGCATTGTATTCTGGACATTTTATCTGTTCTGTCAGGATACTCTGGGTCCTGTTTAAATCTTCTTTTTCAGTAGTCAGTCACCCTGTTGACTTTCAGCACGTAAGTATTGGTCAAATTTTGTGGGCTTTGTTTCCAATGGCAGAAGCTTTGTGGTGTTATTTTGGCATGCTTGGTTTATTAGGTGCCATCGGAATTCTCACTTGCCCCAGCTTATACTGCCTGCAAGGGCAGGAGTTTCCCCAGGTCAGGCTGCCAGATATTTCTCTGAGTTGGGAGGGAATTGTGGTATTCTCTTACAGGCACCCCCTACTCCATTGTTTCTAGGCAAAGAAGAAGTATTTTGAGTCCACAGGAATAAAGCAGCTTCTCAATGTGGGCCTTTTCCAGTTATTGTTTCCCTTTATTTTGTTCTGACCACCCATCACAGAGTCAGTATTTCTGAAAAATTCTTTCATAGTATTTTTATTGTTTCTTATTTGAAATGGCTATTTCTGTCCAAATGTCTTTCTTCAGTAAAATAGTTCTATATATTGTGAGGTGTTGGTTGACTCAAGCAGATTATATATGCACCCAAATTCTAGAATTTTCTGAGAAATTTCTCAAAAGTTACTTGAATAAACAAGAGTTGATGCCTATTTGCTTAGAAGCACATACAATTCTGTGGATTCTCTGCAATGCTGGTGCTTTGTCTAGAAAAATAGATTATTTGTTCTATCTCTCTTTCATAATACAATTATAGTTTATATAGAGTATTACACATGCTTTTAAATAGCATTTTATTTTGGAATTAAATGAGAGCCTATGGTTGTGTGTATGTGTATATATATATATATATATTTATTTATGTTGCATGTGTATACACACACACACACACACACACACATTCTCTTTCACAATCTCCTCTTATAAAGTTTGTACTTCAAAAGAGGCAAAACCATGTTGGATTACATAGTATTTTTTCACCTATGCTCAACTTGTTTTAACAATGAAATGTGGCTTAATAATTTAATAATTTGGGGCAAATAGGTTTTCTGGTTCAGGCTGCTTACTGTAGCTGAGTCTCTCTTGCCAGCTCTGCCCACCCACCTTGGTATCTCTTGGCAGGAAAGAGATGCCTCAAGTTCATGCCTCTCCTACAAGCTTATGTCTGGCTGGCTTCCCAAATGATCCTCTTGCTGGTTGTGTTGGGTTTGCCAGATGTTGTCATAAGACTCCCATTGAATTCCAAGGAAGGGATGTGACCACCTGGGCTGCCTTCCCTCCTCATGCCCCCAAGTTTGGGGTTGTTGGTAAACACCAGATCTGCATAGCCTTCTTCTTTTTGATAAAAGAGAGACAATACATCTGGTTGCTATGCTGTTCCTCCCAACCTGGGATCCTAAGTCAGCTAGCCCCGTCTTTTTATCACCTATGACAGTTCTTTTTGGTTGTCTCTTGAAACATTTCTGGAGTTAATGGTTGTGCTTGGCATGGAGAAATGATCTATGCCATCTTATCCTGACCATAAATGTGTGCTGTACTCTTTGACTGCTTATTTGTTTATGTGTCAGATTCCTCTACCCAAATGCATTTCCCCATATCTCATAAACAGATGCTTACTATTATAACTCATCTTGCCATTTAATTCCTTTTTTTGTTGTTGTTTTGTTCTGAGACAGGGTCTCACTTTGTCACCCAGAGTGGAATGCAGTGGCGCCATCTTGGCTCACAGCAACCTCTGCCTCCCAGGCTCAGGTGACTCTCCTGCCTCAGCCTCCCAAGTGGCTGGGATTACAAGCATGTGCCACTACTGCTGGCTAATTTTTGTATTTTTAGTAGAGACGGGGTTTCACCTTATTGGTCAGACTGGTCTTGAACTCCTGACCTCAAATGATCCACCTGCCCTGGCCTCCCAAATTGCTGGGATTACAGGCATGAGCCACTGTGCTCGGCCTATTTAATCCTTTACTAGCACCTAATATGGTCTAGACTCATAGTAGATTCTCAGTAAAAACTTACAAGTAATAAATATATTATTATAAATAATAAATAATAAATGTGTGTTTAAGCCACTAAGTTTGTAGTAATTTGTCATGCAGAAACAGATAGCTAATATACCCAGCTGTTTTTATGTTAATATATGCAGTGAAAACATTGTCAAAATTTTTTTCTTTGTACTTTTCAATTGGTACAGGAATATTGCTTTTGTCCCACTTACAAATGCATATATTCATATATATGTCATAGGCTATATGTGTATTTTACTCTTCCACTTGTGTCTAATTTTCATTAGACCCCTATTGAGGCAGAACAGTCTTCAAATGATATAGTGACATACTACTGCAAAGTAACGACAAAAATATGAGGCTGGTGGTGGTAATCTAAAACAATTGTTTGTTCAGAGTTGTTCATGTGAGTGCTGTTATGTTAAATGGTGGTATGTGTTAGCTCCATGAATTTGGAGCCAAAAAACATTCATTCTGTTTAATACCCTCAAGAAGCTGACAAAAACTAGGATTGGCTTAAAACAAGCAAACAAAAAAAAAAACCATCTAAAGGCATATGGTGTTTTATACTTTATCAGAGTAGTATCTCCTGGGAATCCTGGGAATGTCCAAAACTTTAATTGGACATGAGATGAGGAATATGTTGAACTCATCAGTAGATGTCTCTAGTGCATTGCATGTATGTGTATGCATGTGTTTTGTGTTTTCATTTTTTAGCATATGGTGGGTGGCACTAGACATCTTTATTTCTTATAGGAGCTCTTCCTTTCGTTATAAGAAATCCAGAAATGATTATCATTGCAATGTCAAATTACTCAGCATCACTTTTCCCTATTGCAGTAGTGTTTTTCTTTATTCATGCATGTTAGATCAGAATTCCAGGTTTTAAAATAGACAAATTAGCAATTGGTAAATCATTTTTTGACAAATACTAATTGGGCAACCTGTAATGGGTGAAGGAAGATATAAAGATGAACTCTATTGATTTGTAATACATGCATTTTTAAATTTTATTTGAATACCTTTGATATTTCAAAGTGGTGTATACACTAGCAGTTAAGGCAAAGACTAGCATGATCTACCTACCGTACCTTGATTTTGGATGCTGCTGAGAACCAAATGCTTGTGTGCCCTCCCCACATTTACATGTTTATTTGTCAAAGCCTAAATCCCCCTAATATGATGGTATTTGGAGGTGGGGACTCTGGGATGTTATTAGGCCTGGAGAGTGGAGCCCTCATGAATGGGATTTGTGCACCTATAAGAAGAGACATGAGAAAGATGATCTCTGTCTCTGCTACCTAAGGATACAGTGAGAAGCCAGAATGAGGGCAATTGCCAAAACTCAATTATACTAGCACCCTGATCTTGGTCTTCCAGACTTCAGAACCATGAGATATAAAATTCTGTTGTTTACATCACCCAATCTATGGTATTCTGTAGTTTGACTGTGACAGAGGAAAAGCACTGAACACTAACTGCCTTCCTGAAAATAAAGTGCAAGAGCAGACAGTGGGCTGGCCTGGCGAAGCTTCATCTCCAGCTAATCAATTTAAGGCACACAGATTGAAACCTATTTGGGTACATGCAGTGAAATGTCATATTTCTTGTAGGTTCCTTACCTCACTGGTATGTCCTGAGTCAACTAGGAAACTAAGAAGCTAAGGAAAGCTGTGAGTCTGGTGCAGAGAATATTGTTTAACATTGAAGTGACACCCAGAATCTAGAAATATACCTTTGCCTTAACAAGAGAAGTTCTCCCCTAATGAATCGTTATTGCCCCTTTGATTTACTCATAGATGTCTATATCTTTTGTATTTGAAAATGAAAGCTTTGGAAGGCTACTATTGTGCCATTTCTGTAAATGTACTTTTATTGCTTAAATTACACAGCATTTTTCACCAGTTCTTTATTGCTTTCTTTGGTATATTTACTATAAGACACTGTAGCTTCTGGCTGTAACTCAAACTGCATGGAAGTTCTATATTTTCAGAGACTTTTTCAGTCAGATAGAAAATGTAATGGATAATAAAAGATCCAACGAAAATCTTAGAGTGGAATCATAAATTCTTTGATTAAATTCCAATATCAATAACTATAAACGTATAGGAGAATCTATTCACTGGTGTCTCCAGCTGTGTGTGTGTGTGTGTGTGTGTGTGTGTGTGTGTGTGTGAGAGAGAGAGAGAGAGAGAGAGAGAGAAGCTGTGAGTTGGTGGTAGTACTTGTTATAAAAGCAATGAGAGTTTATGGACTCATAGCATTTTTACTTCCCTTCATTACACTTGCAGGTCCATTATTACTAGGACTTTGAGTAGCCCTAGCCCATGTTTGATACATATTTGTGGAACAAATGTTACAGAAATAAGAATGTTTCTGATTGATTTTTTTTTTATTTTTGTGGCCAGAATTATAAAAAATATCATTGAGGTGTATTTCCAAAGAGTTGCCTTGGTAACCTAAAATGAAAGAAAATTAGAGGGTTGCTAATGTATCAAAACATTTAAAACATCATCTGTTTTATACCAGCTTCCATTGACTAAACTGTTATAACTCCATCCAGTGATGAATTTGCCCTCCAGATGCAAATAAAGATTTCTTGATTGTTCTCTCATGTGGGAGAATGTGCAATATGTAGAAAGGACATTGTTTAGTTGATTACCTAGAATTTTTCAATATTTCTGAAAAAAATCTTTCATCATTTTTTATTGTTCCTTATTCGAAATGTCTGTCGTCCAAATGTCTTTCTTCAGTAAAATAGTTCTGTATGTTGTGAGATGTTGGTTGACTCAAGCAGCTGATGTATGCATCCAAATTCTAGCAGTTTCTGAGAAATGTCTCCAAAGTCACTTGCATAAACCAGTGTTGATGACTATTTGCTGAGAAGCACATACAAGTCTGTGGCTTCTCTGCCAGGCTGGTGCTTTGTCTGGTAAAATAAACCATTTGTTCTATCTCTCTTTCATAAAGCAATTATAGTTTATATAGGGTATTACATGCTTCTAAGTAGCATTTTATTTTGAAATTCAATGAAAACCTATGATTGGGTGTGTGCGTATATACTTATATTGTGTGTGTACACACATACATACACACTATATAAATATACACATAACACACACATATAAATTGACATACATATTTTTTCTTTTATCTCCTCATAAAAATTTATCCTTCAAAAGAGGCAAAATCGTGTTGGATTACACAGTATTTAGATTTTAACAAGTAAAATGTGGTTTAATAATTTACCCCAAAGCCATATCTTCCGCTTTTATTATAATTT
The DNA here is from genome assembly GCF_000001405.40 of Homo sapiens. Lineage (NCBI taxonomy): Eukaryota > Metazoa > Chordata > Mammalia > Primates > Hominidae > Homo > Homo sapiens. Next base: position 156,103,050 of record NC_000005.10, read on the forward strand.
GCTATAAGGTTTTTATGCAATTCTTAACAGTAATCAGTATACAAGATTCATTAATTGGATTGATCTTCCAGTAAATTTTAGCTACTGCTAGTTGAATCTCAACATTTTACTAGTATTTCAAATCCAGATTCCCATGATATCAGAATAATTAGAAGAGTTGGATGAAGAGTAATGTCTAAGCCCCACTACTACTCCAGACTTCATAAATGAAAATGAAAGATTGGCCCATGGGGTGCCATGCCCAGTCCTGATGCTGACTAATGCTATTCTACTGTGGATGATGGTGATGAATTACTTTGACATTACAAGACATTACAAAGAATTATGTCATATGAGGTTTCCGGGTCTGAAAATCCTCTTAGTACTTAAATGCTGGATGCATTGATTCATGTCTTTATTTCTTCTCAGTTTAACACATAATAAAAAATTAAATGTTTCCATTTTAATGGTATAAGGGATATAAAAATGTACATGATCTTTTTTCTTTTTGAAAATGGCCTGTGTCTTCCCACAGACCAATAGACCGATATCCCTTAAACATTGAATTTAAAAGAATCAAAGTGTAATTTGGACCTAATTTGTTGGTTTCAGCCCCCAGCACCCAGCCAAACTCCATCATAATGAATCATATATGAAGTGTTCCAAGGCAGTCTAAGATAATTTATGATGATATATTAGATTTAGAACTACTGTAGAAAATCTCTAAAATCATCAGCTCACATTTGCAAATGTTGCCATGAGTCACCTGGAAATTGGAATATTGTTTTACTTCCCAATAGACTTGCAGACATTCAAGTATAATTTAAATCTCTCTTAAAAATGCAGAATTTTGCTTTTCATTACATATTAATATGGCCCTAATTGCTCTATAACCATTGGCAATTTAGCTGTATTATTTAAAGTGTGCATGCAGAAGTATATGCTTAATATTTTGTTTTTTCCTATGTATAAAAACTTGCTTAAAATATTAATGAATATAATGACCCAAGCCCTTTTGGAAACATTATTATTTTAGAATATTTTACTTAGTATTAATTAATAACTTTGGGCTAGTTGTCCCTGTTAAAGTCACATACTAATTAAATTTCTCTCTGGACCACATACTGGTTAAACTTACTACATATTAAAGAATTTGTAAGACTCTTAGGTTACATGAGAATATAGCTAAATTGTAATCTTCATATAAACTCAGGGTTAATTCCATGGGAATTCTTTAGGTGTAAGACAGTCTTACTCTAATTGTGCTAATTTGCATTTGCATAATATTTGATAATTTTCATAACTGTTTATCTTACTCCATATTTGATCTTCACGATATGCCCAAGAGTATAGTAATATGAGCATTTTAATCTTTAATTTCTAAGCCCCCTTGTTGAGTTACAGTCTAAGAGGGACCTGCCTGATATTGAATCTCACTTTAAAGATAAGGTGCAAGTTTATTTGCTGGATTTGTTTTCCCTTCTCTTATTCTGGATTTAGGTCATTGGGGTACATACTAATCTGTGATTTCTGTGCTTTTTATTATGCTCTATTGTTTTTGTTATGCCAATATCCAAATGGGGCTGTGAATAAAATTTTCATTACAAATCTGATGTTGACGTTAAAGCAGGTCTTCTTAGGGAATCATAATGTGTCAGCAGTTCAATCTGCTGGGAGTAACAAGTACTAAAACAGTATAGCAAAATTGATAAAATCTTAGTTCTTTCTGGGCAAGTCCTAAATTTGATTGTTTTGCAGCTTGCCTTGGCAAATTTTTCAAATCTTCTTAAACCTTGGTTCCTTCATCTTTAAAAAGGAGATAATGCCAGTTAGTATTTTTTTCAGTTCTGGGATTAAATGAGATCTTACATGGAAAGCAGGATACAGAGAAAGCATTGAATAAATGTTAGTTGAACAATGAGAACACGTGGACACAGGAAGGGGAACATCACACACTGGGGCCTGTTGTGGGGTTGGGGGAGGGAGAGGGATAGCATTAGGAGATATACCTAATGTAAATGACGAGTTAATGGGTGCAGCATACCAACATGGCAAATGTATACATATGTAACAAACCTGCACGTTGTGCACATGTACCCTAGAACTTAAAGTATAATAAAAAATAAAATAAAACAAATGTTAGTTGCCTCTCTTCCTTTCTTCTTTAAAATGTGTTTTAAACAAAGAAGGAAGAAAGAACCTATGTGGAGTATTATGTAAATAAAGAAAGTACTTCACACATATTTTCATTTAATCCACCAAAAAGACCACACACACACAAGTAACCTGCTGATAATATGTGTGCCCTCCTGTATAAATCAGTGAACAAATTGTTTTTAATTTTTTGGCAGACTTATGAAGCCAATTAGCTTTGTAATATATACCCAAATTTAATGGGCAAGTAAATAATTAATGTTATTGCCTTTGTAAATTTAACTTTTCAATTATAAATTTACATAATTAAAAGAGTAATGTTTCAGTATGCATTCTAGCCAAATTTAAATCAAGCAATTAAATTGTAGGTTTTCCTCACCAAATGAGCTCAGCTCATTATTACACAGATGACAAATGTAAATTTGTTTTTTCATGGTCAGCTTCATTACAAAAACATGAAGGAAAATACTTGCAGGACGTGTAATCAAGTAAATTATTCCAAGCACCATTTATATATTTTAAATTGTTTTTCTGGTTTCTCCGTCTTAAATTTAGGACAGTGTGAAGACACTGCCATGTTTTCCTCCCTTCTGAGGAATGTTCTCTCCTTTAAGGGATCACTTAGGACTGTGAAAAGAAAGCAGGAGAGGCTGGTTGCGGTGGATCATTCCTGTAATCCCAGCACTTTGGGAGGCCAAGGCGGGTGGATAACGAGATCAGGAGTTCAAGACCTGCCTGGCGAAGATGGTGAAACCCCGTCTCTACTAAAAATACAAAAATTAGCTGGGTGTGGTGACAAGCGCCTGTAATCCCAGCTACTTGGGAGGCTGAGGCAGAGAATTGCTTGAACCTGGGAGGTGGAGGTTGCAGTGAGTGGAGATCATGCCACTGCACTCCAGCCTGGGTGACAGAGTGAGACTCTGCCTCAAAAAAAAAAAAAAAAAAAAAAAAAAAAAAGAAAGCAGGAGAATAATACTGTGTTGGTAATTATGCGCAGTGATCCAAATCTGAAGATGATCTGCTTATGTGTAGGGACAGGACCTCAAAACCAGAATTGAAATCATTTAAATGGAAAGTTTAGCAAATTTGCAGATTTGAAAAGAAGAATTTGAAGAGCTAGCTGTGTGGAAACTGTGATAGCTATGTAAAAGTAGTGAAGGAAAAACAGGACTACAGGGCGAATGCTTTGCTGTGGCATTCATGTGAATGCAGAAAGGTATAAAGCAGGAGCTTGTTTCTCCCTGAGATGTGAAGCAGGTGTGTTTTGTTCTTCCTTTTAAATTAGCTTTGTGAAATACTATCAAGCTGATTTTAATCTAGAACAATCTATTTAGTGACTACATTGTTCCAACTTGAATGAGTAGAAAATGGGGTCTGCTATGTGAAGATAATTAAACTGCAGATGTTTTAATCTTCAAGAAATACTGATATGTAATTAACCATGCACTGACTAATGATCTATACTTAACTGTTCACAACTTTGAGGCACACTAATAAAAGTAGGATTTCAGAGCTTGTTAGAATAGGCATATGTATCACGTAAGTCTCTTTAGAAGACAGATACTTATGTTTCTCTTTCTTGCCCACTAATATCTGTGTATACAGAGTTAATCCCCTTTCAGTGATGTTGAGTATATGAAATGGCAACACTTTGACATTTATCTTTAATTTGTTGAGTCTCTAGTGATGCATTATTTTAGTGTATCCAATATCATAAGGGTGACTTAAATTCTTTACCCTGGAAAGAATTGTTAACCATGTTTTAGAAAATGTGTATCCTATTGCTTATGTTCTTTTTTCATCACAGAACATATCTCTTCCCCTTGACATTTGATCTCTGTGTTACAGAGTCCTTGTCTACAGGCTGAGGTCTAATTAAGTTCTTTTCTGAATGTGATATACAGTCACTCTATTTTTCTGCCTAGCATTATTTTTCTGCTTTTCACAGTAACTGCCCCTTACTGCTGCTGTCTGCTACCAATTCTTAAAAGCAAATAAAGCCGGCAATTATGACTAATTTCTAATCCTCATTTTAGGAAACAGGCAGTAGCTACCTCATGAGCCCATCAATTTACCTTGGAATAAGTCTGTAGGTTAAGTGGTTTTAAATCCATTTTGGATCAGAAGTTGTGGGCCCTCTGTCTAGGAAAATGTGAAAAACAACTTTACATAAATTGCAGAAGGTTCACGGAACCCCTAGCAGCTCATCCATGGTTTCAGGTTAAAGTCTCTGTATAGTTAGCTACTAAGACTAGCAGATCTTTCTTCATTTATAATTCTGTTCCAATTCAATAATTCTGTATAAAAATATGCATATTGTTCTCTTCTAAATTAGATTTTTACTAATGGTTCATATTTAGTCATATTAACTTAAATGTGTATTATTTCCACTTTCCAAAATGCTAGTCATTTTTCAAAGTTAAATCAAACATCTCTTCCATGAAGCTCTCTGTTTTCCCACAAATCCCCCCTCCTAGGCAACTGAAAGTAGTTGATCTTTGTTTTTTTGTCATTCCCGCTCTTACCTTCTATTCCTCCTTATAGATATATCTTTTGTGCAAGTTAATATTTTCTGCCGTTTATAGATTTATGTCTACTAATGTTTTTCAACTTACTCTCCATGGAAACAGCAATTCTCTTTTTCCACACATTTTATTGATTTACATAGTGTTTATAATAAATAATGTAGAAACATGTGCTTTTACAAACAAGAATAGTGAAGTAAACAAGTTTGGGAATGAACACAGTTGCCTCTTGGTAGATGTACATCTAAACAGAAATATGTGAAATACAGGAGAGTAATCTGGTAGTTTCCAATGCTTATCATAATATGGGCACCATTTGGAACATTTTATAAAAGGAATGAAGTACATTGTCTAATTTGACGAGTTGGTATATTGTTGGCCATTTAAGAGTTTCTGTTGCAGTAAAGAAAACTAATCCTTTCCAGTCCTTGGCACTACCAATTTTTATGCCAGAAAACCAGAGTAAACCAGGATGCACACCTTCTAGTAAACATTAATGTTTAATTTTTAAAATGTTAATTAAAAAAATTTAAATTACACGACTTTACTCTTTGCATTTCGTAACATTACCTAATGGCAGTAAAGTATCTTAGCAAGCAGTTATGTATAGGATTTAACAGTTTTTGCTGTAGAATCAGTGGCTAGGAACTTTTGTCTCTTAATCACTGTAAAATTTGGGCAAGCTATTCAATGTATGAGCCTGAATTTTCTCAGCTGTAAAATGGAGATAATAGTTAAAACCAAGTAGAGATTGTTATAAGATTGGATGCCTGATACATATAGCATTAAATAAGTATAATCTGTTATACATATTAATAATGAAATTTACTGGGTATTTATCAAATATATGGAATATATCTTTATGACACATTCATAATTTCATTTCTTTGAAACAGCCATATAAAACTCCTAATTGTATTTACTTTAAGAATAGTTAAAGCATTGATATTATTTCTATCAAGTCTTACTGGCTTTCCTAATCAAATGTACTGTTTTTTATTTCATACATTTGGTGGAGTTGTAGGTCTACAATGATCAGTAGAAACTCATGGATAAGAGGGTTGATCAAGTTGAGTATTTAGCCTTGTTGTGAGTGAGTTAAGCCAGCACCAATGCAGTGGGCTAAGAAATTAGACAACAGTCTATTATTTCAGGTTTGTGTTACACTTCCTAATACATAAAGAGTCCATAGAGTAAGGGAGAGTTTAAAAAATGGAACCTTTGTATTATTTATTTGTCTCCAATAATAACAGCAACAAACAGTGAGTATAGGCCGTGCTTGCTAGTAACCCACCTCTCAAGAAAGATAAGCCCTATTTTAGAGCATTTGTCAATGTTCATGGTGTGAGTATTCCCAATATGGCTCCTTTCAAGTTACTAATGACTTAACAAGCAGCTCATGAAATTCCTGAAAATTTGACAGGTGGCTCCTGCTAGCTGGCTTTAACACAAAACTGATAGGTCCTTTGATCTCATCATTCAGAGTTACCCTGTAGTTGCTTACCTTCTTGTGAAGTAACATTTCTCTTCTACTGGAAACATTCTTTTTTCCTCCTTCACTTCTCATCTTGTTGACTTCATCTTCTCCCTTTCAGGTTCTATGCTAATTTCAGTGACTCAGTTTTGTTTGGTTCTTTTCTGATTTCTGTTTGGTAGAGATGGTGCAGTGGGTAAGTGGAGTGGGATGGGAAGGAGAAGAAAGCCATTTGAGCTAGAAGTCTTTATTTTCCCTCAACCCTAAAGACAGCTTTATATGTTTAAACTCCTTAATGTAGCCTGGATGGCTCTGTGTGACTCATCCCAATGTATTTTTCCATTCTGATTGTTTAGAGTGCTCTGTCCTCAAAATATGCAACTCATCCATCCATATAGGAATTTATAAATTTCCTTGAAAGTACAGTGTTCTCTCTTCCAAGCTTTCTTACCCGTAGTTTCTTCTGCCTGAAATGGTCTTAATCTCTCTTCCCCTCTTATGCTTTCATCTAACCAAACCCCCTTCAGCCTCCATCTCATGCCCCTCTCTCTGATGTCTCAGATGTGTGTTATCCACTCATTTGTGATCCCACAATGTCTTGTACTTACTTTCCTAATCCATTTACTGCCCTATGTCTGACTCATTTGTCAGCACTGTGACAAATGTTTCAAAGGAACTCCATAGGTATTTGCCAAATTAGGTACCAGGGCTTGTTAGGACAACTATGGGTTACGAATCAGGAGACCCTGAATCATTTGACATATGTCAGAAGACCTCTAGGACTTAGTTTTATTTATTTACACAATATTCTGAGTTTCTATCCTGCATTATGAGCAGCAGATAACTCACCTCTGCTTTGGGGGTCAGTGACAAAGTATAATATTTAAGGTATCCCTTTGCATCTGACTTCTTTTAAGGTGTGAGAAGCAGCACAGTGCTGTGGTTACAAGTGTGGACTCCAGAGCCAAGCCTCCTTGACTCAAATCTCAGCCCTGCTGCCTTGGATAAGTTGATTGTTTCTCCCATGTGTGAGGTGGAGATTATAGGAGAACCTACCTCACAAGTTGTTAGGAGAAAGAAATGGGTCAATACATATGAATAGGAGTTAGGTTTTATTATTACTGTTGCTAATATTACCTTTAATTTTGTTTTGCTGACCTCTATGAGGCTTTATTATATTTCTTCCCTTGGAATTATAGTCATTAGATTTCTACTTTAACTTATTTGTATTGGGTTCGGAGTCCATAGCATCCCAAATATTCTTCCAAAATTAGAAACCTATTTTTCACTCACCTATAATTTTCTTTCCTTTCTCTCCTCCTGACACACTTTCTGTAATTCTTTCTGAGGGTTCTCGGGGACTGTATAGTGTTGGACTTGTTATTAGCATAAGCAAAATGAATTTCAGAAAGCATGAAGCAATTTTTTATTCCCTATTTCCTCTCAGAAATGAGCTTTTTCATGTACACTGGCAACTTAAAAAAAAAAACTCTCTTTCCCATATCCAAGATAACTTTTCAAATTAATATAATGATTTGTTCCATTCTAAGGAGTAATTATCAGTAATGTTTTATTTTTAGAGTAATATCCAGTGATTTTCAGAAACTGGAAGTTGTCATAAAATCATTGAAAGATAAGTAATGTTCTTCTAGCTACTTCCGGCAGGTGTCTCAGCTGATTTGACCCTGCTTGAAAAGTGAGTTTAGTATCCAGACTGCCAACTTATATAAATTGTGAGGGTAAATGTGTTGTGAAGTGTCTGAGATCTGGGGTGAGGAGAGAAGAATGAGAGAGACAATATTTGAACACGAAAAAAATATGTTTAGCAAATTGGATCTATTTACACTATTACATTAAAGAAGGAAATTAAACAAGCTCTAAAACATCCATGGGCAGATGGACACAACCTCCTTATGAATGAGAAAAAAGAAGAGAGGAGGTGCTCAGAGAAAGTCGCAAATTACCCTCAAATCTGTTTTCATACTTCTTTTGGAGAGCTTGTGGGTCAAAGTGCGTATCTTCTATTTCCAGTATTCTCAAGGCACTAAGACGAGACAGAGAGTGACACTTCACAGTAAAAGAAATGATGCCAAGTGTGGCTGGTGCACACTGAGTAGGTGAGAGGGTGTGGTACAAGATGCCACTGGTGATGTAGCTAGGGGCCAGGTCTCAGATGACCTCCTAAGCAATGTTGAGAATTTGGGATTTCATTCTAAGGGCAGTGGGAAGCCTTTGGGAAGTTTGGACAGAGAAGTGGAAATCATTTATTTTTAAGAAGCTCTTTTCATCTATAAGGTAGACAATGGATTGGAATCAGCCAGAGATGCATTGAGTAGAGACCAGTTGAAAGGCTATTATAATAATGCAGACAAGGGGATGTCTGCTTTTAGTGGCTCAGTCTAGGAAGAAGAGAGACCACAGGAGATCCAGCACTCTTCTCCATATGAGAGGCCCTGATGTGTAGCTAGTCATGTGAAAGAACTGAGAAAGAAAAGCAGTCACAATTAATCCTTTACCATGTATGTGCACATGGATTGTGGAGGTTAACAGTGTGATGTCACCTTAGTTTCATTTGTTAAAAGCAGTGATAGAGGTGTATTTTTTTTTTTTTTCTTGAGATAGAGTCTTGCTCTGTCACCCAGGCTGGAGTGCAGTGGCGTGATCTCGGCTCACTGCAACCTCCGCCTCCTAGGTTTAAGTGATTCTCCTGCCTCAGCCTCCTGAGTAGCCAAGACTACAGGCACGTGCTGCCATGCCCAGCTAGTTTTTGTATTTTTAGTTAGAGACAGGGTTTCACCATGTTAGCCAGGCTGGTCTCGAACTCCTGACCTCAAGTGATCCATCCACCTCAGCCTCTCAAAGTGCTGGGATTACAAGAGGTGGATTTTTGTAAGCCTTCTTATGTGAATGAGTTCAAAGATTTGCCCATTTGTTTTCCTTTTTATAAACCATTTTCTCCTCTTAGAAATTTCTCAACTTGGAACTTTCAGTAAGTGAGATGTAAAATTAAGATAGACATTTTTGGATTTTTACCAAATGGCTCGTGTAAGTTCATGAGCATCACTTGGCACCAGATGGCTAAGAACAATTATCAAGCATTTCTTTAGACTTTAATGTTTTCAGAGAACTTTATGATAAGTGACTAATTTAGCTTCACATTTGCCTGGTAAGAAGGGTGAGGGAAAAATAATAGCCAGCCACCTAAGTCACATTTATGTAATTCATAGGACTCTGTGGATTCTTAAGACATATTAAATAGTAAATTAGTGTGTGCTGAGGATGGGAAGCATAAGGTTTTGGGAAGGCTCAGGATTAGCAAACCTGTGGTGGTAACAAGGTTGAAATAAATTCCGATTACTTCACACCTAGGTTTTAAGGGATTGTTATGGTTTGGTTTTTTTTGAGAATTGAGAACCAGGGAGCTAGACCCATCATATGTAGTCTGTCTCCATTAAACAATCATATATAGAGGTAATATTATGCCCCTTCTACAGTTTAGGAAACTGAGGCCAGGTAAATAGGTGAATTGTTTGTTTGCACGGCCATTTAAGTTTGTAGAGCAAGAGTTCTAAGGTTTGGGTGATTCATCATCCATGCCTTGATATGAGATGACAGCTTTCCCCTCCATACTGAGGTGATGAGGCTGTTCCATTTCCTAGCCAGGCACTCTGGCCTGCTGTGTGTATGTGTTTTTATAAAATTTCTATAATCTACCTCTTGATGGGGTTAAATATGCTTCAAAATCTAATTTAATCTTTCTGGTTTCTAATGTGATTTCAATGAAGGCTTATTTCCAATGCAATGGTTTTGCAATTATAGTGGAATCTCAGCTTATGTGCATTTAATTTATGTAAATTCAACTTTACGTGCATAGCAAATAAAAGAAAACTGTTTAAATCATGTAGAAGATCTTGTCCCCTCTTCTATGCGGTGAGCCCATGCCCCAGAGTAAGAGAAGAGATTCTACTTTTCTTTCTCTGTCCCAGGCCTTCACACTTTTTATAGGGGAGGACTTTGCCTGAATGAGATTCTATTGTTTAAAAATACTTATTTTTCAAACAATATAGTCCCTAAGAAAAGTCTTCATTTCACTTGTTTTTGACCTAAGAACTCTCTGCTGCAAAACTGGAGGGAAGATTTTTTTCCTTTGCATTTATTTATTTATTTATCTGGCACACATTGAATGAGAACATACTATGTTCCAGTACTGTTTCAGGGACTGGGAATACAGCAAGCACTACAAAATTCCTGACCTCAGAGATCTTACAGTTGAGTGGCTTTTGAGGTACAGAATATCAGCCTCAGCATGCTGCCTACCTAAGATATTTTAGGATTAATATCGTTTGTGTGTGATTTTCACTTAGGTGATCATTTTTAAAATTGAGCCCCTCTTTACAGCTGCTGTAGAAGACAGTTTGGCAGTTTCTTACAAAGCTAAACCTACTTTTACCATATGATACAGCTATCATATTCTTGGTATTTACACAAATGAGTGAAAAACTTATGTCCACATAGAAAACCTGCACATGGATGTTTGCAGCAGCCTTATTCATAATTACCCAAAACTGGAAGGAGCCAGCATGTCCTTCTTTTGATGAATGGATGAATAAGTTGTGGTACATCTGTACAATGGAATATTATTCTGTGCTAAGAAGAAATTTTTATCAAGCCATAAAAGTACATGGAGGAACCTTAAAAGTGTATTACTATGTGAAGAAAGCCAATCTGTAAAGTCTGTATGCTATGCGATTCCAACAACATGGCTTTCTGGAAAAGAAAAAAACTTTGGAGATGGTAGTTGCTAGGGGCTTGTGGGGAGGGAGGGATAAATAGATGGAGCCAGGGAATTTTTAGGGCAGAGAAACTACTCTGTATGATACTATAATGCTGGATGCATATCATAATACATTTGTCAAAACCCATAGAAGGCACAACACCAAGAATGAACCCTAATGTAAATTATGGGTTTTGAGGGATAATTGTGTGTCAGTGTAATGGTTCATCAATTGTAAGAAATGTAGCACGCCAGTTGGTGGGTTATGCTGTGCATTTGAAGGGATGGGTGGAGCACAAGGGATATATATGCAAGCTTTCTGAAGTTCAATTCGATTTTGCTGCGAACCTAAAACTGCTATAATAAGTAATCTATATATAAAGACGTAGCCCCCTCCTCTCCATCACAGGTACCCTCACGCAAGCCACAACTCTTTATATATCCACGTATTTGTCATATCCCTTCTCTGATAATAGATCTATACAGTTTTGTGGTTTTACTGGGATCATAAAAGCATTTTATAAAATGCCACATTGTGCAACATGATCATGAAAGATGAGAAATAGGTGTTGGAGGCCTGGGTTTTTGTCATCCATCTGACCCAAGTTATTTATTGGGTCAGAAAGGCTTTGCATAAGCCTTTCTCCTCTCATCTATGAAATAATAGGATTCAGTTGGCTAGTCCCTAAGGCCCCAACCAGTTGTTTTTTGAAATATTTTTAACTGAATGATTAAGACTTTTTCCTAATCATCAAGCAGTATGAAAGTAAAATTCCTTCAGTAAATTACAAGCCATATTTTCATTCCTTTAAAAATCAAAATGTTTAAAGATATATTGATTAATGTTCTTACAGGCCTTGCCATAGGACAGATTCCTGGAATCTCTTACACATATTTTTTGCGTTGCGTGACACACTTATCTTTTAGATGCTATTTTGGAGAAAAGGTGTTCAATATAACCTAACAGACAGGGATAGCAGGTAATAGTCCAGATATTTTATTTTCAACTTTTATAATATTGTATTATAAAATATTACATTTTTTAAGTTGAGGAAAATTATATGGTGAATACAGTGTGCTAATCACCCAGCTTTAGCAAATCTTAAGATTTTGCAAAATTTGCTTCCTAGTTGTTTAAACAATAAAATATTTTCGATGTTTAAAATCTCATATGGAAATAAATTGTTTTTATATTAACTTTTTAATTTCTGTTTGTAAGTGCATCAAATAATTATTAAGAAAAATTGGAAAATTTAAAAGGTCAAATGATGCATAATCTTACCACCCTGAGAGGAGGACTATTAGGATCATTTTGGTAAACTTTCTTTGTCATGCAGATGCTATATGCCTATATCTGGCAAATAGTTATCTTTTTATAATTTTATTATGGGAAATTTAAAACATATTAAAGTAAGGGGATAGGGTAGTGAAATCCTATCTACCCATAAGCAAACCTCAAAGGTTTCTAGTTCATGGACAGTCTTGTATTATTACCCAACCCCTATTGGAGCAAATTCCCACCCATAGTAACACTTCTTTAAGTAGTTCAGTGTTCATCCCTACAAGATGATATCCTCTTTATAAATATAAGAATGATATTATATCAAAGACATTAATACATCTTCAATATCAAGCATCTAATTACTTTTCAAATTATCGATTATATTTTTTTCTTAGGTATTGTTTGTAAATCAAGATCCAAGTGAGTTTCATCCATTAAAATAGACTTTCTTGTCTCCTAAGTCTCTATTAATCCATAGTTTTCCCATCACTGTTATTTTTCTTGTAATTTATACATGGAAGACAATGGGGTTATTTGTCCTACAGACAGTCTCACAGTCTGGATGTTGCCAATTTCATCCCTCTGATATTATTTACAGCATATTTCTCAGTCACCTGGATTTCCTATAAGTGAGATTTAAGGATAACAACTTGATGTAATTTAGGTTGCATGTTTTTGATCACACGTAGCTTCACCTATAAAGCTACATACTTCCATCAGGAGGCAATGATGTCTTCTTACTCTTGAAATGTTAGCAGTCATTGATAATTATTGCCTAGATCTACTATTTTATTAGGGGCTACAAAACTTTGATCTTAAAATTTTATTATTTTGTCCTCATTTTTGGTGAAAAACTTCTACAAATGGAAACTTTTATCAGTATTTGATTATAGACCACAAAGAAAGGCAGCTTGTTTTTCTATTATTTACCATTTTCAAAATAATGATCTGGTTCTCCAAAGATGATCAATAAGAGGTTTTCTGTCTCCTTTTTTTCTTAGTATTATTATGATCTCATAGATTTAAATATATCTGCAGTGTTTTGATCATTTGCAGTTATTATTCTTGGTGATGCTCTAATTTTTCTATCCTTAATTTGCATTTCTCTTATTATATATGTGGCCAAGCTCACAGACTATGCACTTATTTTTCTTTAAATTTCCTATTGACATCCCCATGCCTATTTTTCTAGACACTTACTAGAGTTTTTCTCTTCTATCTCCAGAAAATGTTTATATGTTAGGAATATTAACTCTTTGCTCTTATGAGATGAAAAGAGTACTCACAAAATACCATAAGCAATGTACGGAGATAAAGAACAAACTTGGAAAACATGTTTACAGTTTTTATCACAGGCAAAGATGAGTTCAGGTCTCAGCAGGAAAAAGTGTAACACAGTGATTGGAAGCCCAGACCCTGGACTCAAGACTCTCCTGCATTCTAATCCATGCTCTATAATGTTACACAAGTTACTTTAACACTCCGAGCCTTCCCATTCCCCATCTACAAAGTGGGAATCCTAACAATATTGTCTCATTAGTTTATTGGAAAGATTTCATGAGAAAATACAAGCTGAACAGTGCTGGCACATACAAGCTCAATAAATAATAGTTTCTGAGACTCTTCTTTTTGAGTGCCAATAATGATGATAGTCAATTGTGCTTTGTTAATGGCTTGGGGGTTGGGCAGTAATTCTACTCCTCTGAGCCTCAGACTCTTTGGGTTTACTCAACACATCAGTGTGGCAGGTCATTCTCTACAGGTCTGCCTTTCCTGCTTGCCACCATAGAGTTAACAAGGAAATTGTGTAGCTTTGTTCAAACATCAGTCAGTGGAGGGTATCATACATAAATGATTGATTCATTTTCCTATACAGATAATATGCCTATACAATGGCTCTGTAGTACATACTTGCTCTGTGCCTCTAAGAAATGGACATGAAACAGAGTCCATACTCTGAATAATTTGGTCTAGTAGGGAAGACGCAAACACATTGTTGCCCATATTACTATTTTTTTCATCCTCCTAAAACCCTTGTAAAATACAACCAAGGTGTTATGCCCATTTTATAGGTAAGAGAATTCAGACCCAGCATGGCACCATTGTATTAATTCAAGTCCCCTTGAGGAGGTTTTACTTAAATCTAATACCCATTGAACTTCAACCCAGCTCTCAAGGGTTTGTATGTCCTGACTAGATGAAATATCTTATATTTGTGTTTTTTCCTGTTTTCCTCCTTTCTGTAACTGGTCAGCTGACATTATTTTGGAAGGATTTTACTAAAGCAAAAATTAAATCCCAAAAATCATTTGACAATGAATATTGGCAGCAAACAACTGCATACTTAGGTCCTTTCTAGATGCTATTCTAAGTGCTTTAAAATTGATTATCACAAAGAACTCTTTGAGATAGATATCACCATGGTGTCTGTGATGCAGAAGAAGCACTGAGAGGTTAAATAACATGCCCAAGGACACAACTTGGGGGTGGCTGAGCCAGGAATCAAACCTAGGCAGGGATCTAATGCTTTTAGCCAGTATTATCTTTGCATTCTATGATATCAAAACAAAATAATATCCTTGTTGATAGTCTCCTAGAATGACAGGTTTTTGCTGAGCATCCTTTTTTGTGTGTTCACAGTGGTGTAATATTGTGGATCTGACTTCATGTGTCACTAAGAACAGGAGATCCAAGACTGCTCTTCTGGGGATGAGGTGATGCTGATCTATTTTCGCTGATATCAGTTATGCTGATCGTTTTAAAAAATTGTGTTGGGTATCTAGAGATATATGGAAAGCTAGCAAAAATAGCCCCTGGTAATTTAATCACCCATCTGTCTAAGTATGTGGTCCAATTCTTCCTTCACACTAGCAAGTAAGGAGAGTGTAGTGAAGTCAGCCATTGCCTGGTTTCGAGACAGCACAGAGGGCCCACTGTCTAGATTTGAGGCTGTGTGGGATAGCATGCTGCCCTGAGAATTTTGTTGGTATGTACATGGTGTGTTGGTGCACTGGCATGCATGGAAGCTTATGGGGTGTGGTGTCTGAATGTGTGAATCCTAGAAAGAGTGGATGTATTTAGGGAAATCATACATACTCTTACTGTTTTGGCTAGGAATGGGGACCACTTCCCTGGTAACAAAGAGCAATTTCTTAAGGCAAAGGGGGGACCTGTATTTCTAGACAGCTAAATTAGAAAATGTCAGACTTGAAGAGGTGCTGGGTGGATGCACACAGAGAAGAGTCAGGGCGGGCATCTATTCTGTGTACATTCAATTCTAAAAGCACATCTACTTTTACTACTTGCACACCAGCAAAGCCCAACCCATGTTTAAAAGTTTATGAGAGACACATATTTCATTAACTAGCCAAGAAGGCTATAAATCAGCAATTAGCCCAGGTGCCGGGAAATTTCCTAAAGCCTCATTTTAACATTCAGTGACATTTTTTCCAAAGTTCCTTTGATTTCACCATTCAATTTAAAAGGCTAACCAGGAAGGAAAATAATGCTAATGCACTGGCAAGAGATTAGATATCTAAAAGTCACTGGATGTTTTCTATAATCTTCAAAATCCAGCAGTACAGATTTTATTTTGCTATTCATCAGCGGTTTGTTTGTTGTCTAGACTAGAAATAAACAGAAGGGAAGGTCTTTAATACTTAGCCAGCCAAAACTGGTGATTCTAGTTACAGTTGGACACCTAGATGCCCAGAGTATTTTATGTTTTATAGCCCCTACTTTGAGTATTATCACCTGCTAGAAAATATAATCAATATTTTGCAACTGAGGCTGACCACCTGTGGTGACTTGGTGCTGGGTATACAATCCATGTAGCTCATTCCAGTATGTAGTGGGACCAACTCTAGGCCTTCTGAGGAAATGTACCTTCTTCTATTTGTGTGCCTTTACTATTCTCAGCAGAGACTGAGCTGGGCCAGTTTTCAGTTAGACTATTAGGAGACTGAGATATTCCTTTGGATTTTAAGTTGTGTCATTTCTGAGTGTCAGAACTAGGTTTAATCAGAAATAAAACCTAGGAAAGAAGCAATGGTGATTTTCAGCATGTTTGCTGAATGTCAATATGCTCCAGGGTCAGTTCTGAGTTTGAATCCCGACTTGTCACTTCCTAGTTATGTGATTTCAATCAGATTACTTAATGTCTCCAAACTCAATTTCCTTCTATGCAAATAGAGTAATACACATATTGGGAAGCATTGTTGGCAACAGGAATGCTGTGTGTAGGTGTGTATACCTATATGGTATCTCCACGATCACACTTCTTAAGAGGTAAATCTTTACAGCAATGCTTCTTTAATTCCCAGTAGGACCCAAATCTGTTGGCATAGTTTTAAATTTAAATTCGTCATTAGATACATTTGGATCCATAGTTCATCCTTTCCCCCAGCACACTTCTGCTCAAAAATCTTAAGACCCACTTAGAGTTGCTAATACCTTCTGCTGCTCCCACTCTCCCTGGTTTTGCCTTCTCGGGATGCCCACCTCTCTTGGGAGTCTGTCTTGGTGCCAGGGTATCTGTGAAACCCGTGTCTGTGTGTGCTTTATGCTCACAGGAATCATTTTTAACACAACCTAACCATTAGAGAGGTGTGGTTCACACTCTGCCATCAGAGCAACCACTAATTGATACCTTTTGAAAAATGACAGATTCCCTGAAGCGTTCAAGGCCGCCTGACAGGCAGAGATGCCACCTACCTCTATGATTAGCACTCTCCCATGCAGACACTGGTGATTTAAGACATATGTTGTTCTTTCTTGACATTATTTTCTTTCACATTATTCCTAGTATATACTTTCTCATTTTATTTTACCATATAATAGCATTAATCCCTTTATTATTTCCAAGGATTTCGAAAAAGCTAATTTCTGAAGCTGTGCCCTCTGGACCTAGTGTCCTTTACTGTGCCATGTGGCATCTTGTTAATGGGTAGTGGAATTTGGTGAATACTTTTTTGTTTCTTTGTTGAAGGAGGGAAATAAAGCAGAAAGAGGTGTGTAGGGGTGGGAGGTGAGGAGCAAAGTAAGGAAATGAGTGTTGTTCCCAAGAAAACCAAGAATTATAGAATTGTCTCTCTCTATCAAGCAGAAATTGAGATATTTATGTCAGCACACGCTATATCACTACTTGAGATAATCAACAAATTTGTAGGAATTTGTCATGTCTACTCATATCTGGGCAACGTTAGGAAATTACAAAAGATAAAGAAAAACTGCTAGAACAAAGGCTTAATGAAGGTAGGAATAAAGTCACTATTATCCTCTACCATATCCCCAGTCTTTAACAAAGTGCATGGCAAAGATTATATATTTCATAAACATTTGCTTTGTAAATGTGCTTTGGATCATGTCCTTGGATGACTTAGAATGGATTGTAAGTACCTTTTCTCTGAAGCATTGTAACTATTTATTAGGTTGGGATGTAACTAAACCTGAAAGGTAGGTGACATATTTTTATGTCATTACTACCTGAACATAGACAGTTTCTTAATATCAGTTAAGAAAAGAAGAAAGAAAGATGCATTTGGATAGACTTGAGACTAGAATTATCAAAGCAGTCAGCACAATTTCTTTAATAACTCCATCTATCATTGTGCTGAATTACAGCATTGTTTGCTTCCAATGTTGTGTCTCTTGGCTTCAGAATGCAGGAATAATTGTAGACTGTGCCTTGACATTCCAGAACCGAGGCCAAGATCATCCTCAAATTGCCGGGTACGAGAAAGCAGACAATAAATGAATCAGAAAACATGACTTTCTCATGTTACAATGTTCCGCCATCTGCCCAGGAATGTGGGGGCAGCTGGGGTAGCTGCATACAACTGATCCTGGAGATGGTCCAGACAAAGTTGCCCAAAGTCATTAAGGGCTACAAAAGCAATGTCATATGATAAAAGATGGAAAGATTCAGAATCCAGTGGGAACTAAGATGAAGGTAGATACATTTATGAAATGTCATGCAGAATATAAGCCTGCAGCAGTAAAAACTTTAAAAATAAAGAACAGTAAAAGTTTATTGAGCACTAACATTATGTACAGTAATGAATGATTTACCTATGACTTCATTTCTTTTGCATAAACATCCTAGAGGGATAGGTATTTTCATCATCTCTCTTTTATAGAAAAGAAATATGATACTTAGAGAAGTTGATTATCTTGGCCAGGGTTCCACAGTGGTGGAACCGGAACCTGAACCGCAGTAGTAAACCCCAAAGCCTAGTTCTTAAACATTGCACCATATTTCCTAACCACTTTTAGACTACTGAGGATAAGGGAGCCTTTTATCAGTTAAAAAAAGAAAATGATCATTTTTGGGAGCTGAAGATCTTCAAAGGTATTTATGTTACCGCAATGAGGGGTAACAAAATAAAAATGAGGGGTACCCCAGGGAAAGGAAGGGACAACCCTAAAGGCAAATGACAAATTGGTGACCAAATTAGATTTAGATCTAAAGTCCTTTGATGACTGCCCAATACCTTTTCCCTAAATGCATCTCTTCCCTTTTTTGTTGTCTAACCCTGGATTCCTTTACTTCATACTTTTTATAGTAAAGCAGGGGCTGAGAGTTGAGGGAATGACAAGAAATAATGGCATGGAAGCAAAGGCAGAAAATCTGAAAACAGCATGATGAAAGTAACAATGAGATTTCAGTATTAGCCTGTAAGCAGAGTCATCCCAATACATGCCACACATACTCTTTAGAGTATCTCCTAGAAATAGTTTTGGGGCTTTTGTTTGCTAGCTTCCCAAATACAACTAACATTCATCTTTTGCATCACACTCCAGACTATACAAATCCTTTTCCTAAGCCCAACACTAGAAGACATTCATCTAGTCAGTATTCCATAGTTGTCAAAAATACTGGAGATGGAATGCTTTTGGTTCAAACCAGGCTCAGCCACTTATCATCTGAGTGGCCATGAGGTTTACTTAACCTTACTGTCTGCTTATTCATTCATTCAAAAAATATTTATCGAGCTCCACTTCTGTGCAAGGCTATCAGTGAAGTGAAGTGCTGGAGACACAGCAGAATACCCGAGATAGAATTTCTTGCATGCATGGAGTTTACATTTTATTGGGGGATGACAGATAATAAACAGGTAGACATGTAATACATCAAAAAGACTTTTAAATCTAGAGAAAGAGGGATGAGATATGTGGTATGAGTTTACAATTTTAAACAGGGTAATTTTACAAGGGTCCTCACTGGAAAGGTAACATTTGAGCAAAGACGTGAAACAGTGAGGAGAAAAGTTTCCCAGGTAGAGGGAATGATGAGTTCAAAGGCTCCTAATAGAATCAGAGGTGTGTTAGAGGAGCAGCATGGCTAGAGAGGAATAAATGAGGGGGAAAAGAGTGGAAGATGAGGACGGTGGTAAGAGAGATGCATCAAATATCAAGCAGGATCTTTATGGCCATTGCAACAACTTTAACTTTGAGTCTGAGTGAGGTGGAAGGTTTTGAGCAGGGGAGTGTCATTCTCTTACATGGGTCTGGTGGAGAGTACCAGCCCTAGTCTGAGAGAGCCTGCTGTGCAACCTTGTAGATCTTTAATGATGTCTTGCACCAGCATGGTAGTAAAAGATGTGGTAAAAAAAAAAAAAAAAAAAAAAAAAAAAAAAAAAAAAAAAAGGTCAGCTGCTGGATTTATTCTGAAGATAGTGCCACCAGAATGTGCTGATGAAATGGACAATGTGAGGTATATAGGCAAGACAGGAATCAAGGTTTACTTGGAGGGTTTAGGCCTGACCAACTGGGTGAATAAAATTGCCATTGACTGAGAAGGCATAAACTTAGAAGAAGGAGGGCTTTAGTATTTTCCAGGTGGAAGCTGGTGGTGCTGATGACTAAGTCATGACCTCAGTTGGGTCATCTTATATCTGACATGCCCAAGTAGAGTTGTTGAAGAGTCAGTTGATTGAGTTTAGAGTTCGGGGAAATATCTGGGCCTGGAGACAAATCTCAGAGTTGTCAGAGTATAAATGGTATCTCAAGCTGTGGACCTGGAAGATGTACCTGGTGAGAAAGTGTGTATAGAGAAGAGGCTCAGGACTGAGCCCTAAGATCTCCTTATGTTGGAAATTGGGAGGTTGAAAAGATGCAATAGAGGTAGCCAAGATGGAGTGGCCAGTGGTCGCAGTAAGATTGGTACCTTAGAAGTCAAGAGAGGGAGGTATTTCAAGGTGGAGTGATGCACGGTCTCCTTGTCTTGCTTTGATGATAGACCAGTGTTAAACACATTGTTTTTGTATACTAAAGATTTGCTTGACACACGGATTGAACTGTGCCACAGACAATGAATTATCATGGAAAATCGCTTTTGCTCTCCCATCCTCAGTTTCCCTGTAAGTTAAATGAGCAAATTTGATTTGTTAAGTCCTAAAATACCTTCCAGCCTTGATATACTATGAAATTTTTTTTTGGTATGATTCTTTAATTCAGTCAAGACTGAATCCATTCAGGGATTCTGCAATTTTATGACAAACAGAATCTAAAGTATCTTTTGTTTAGTCTCTCCAAACCAAATGGCCTTTAATTTAATATCACTCTGTCTTGTTTTTGTTTTTCTTTATGGACATTGTCTTTCTCTGTTGATTTTGTAGACTTGGAAGAAACCTCCATCCTCAGGGATTTGAAGAAGGTTATACTGGAACCTGTGTGAAGGCTGAGACAACCGTCCCTTTTGTGGTGGCCTGAGGGGATTTTCTTAATCCCAATGTTGCCCTGAAATTTATGTCCAGGATTCAAAAAGTTTAGGACTGCTAAGGTATGAGTTTGTGACTTTATTATTTTCTAAGACAAATGTGAACATTTAAAGATATTTATCCATATTTGCAGCCTTTCTCCTCCCCCTTTCCCTGACCTTCTTCTCTTTACTTTGTCTCTTAAAGGAAAGATCTTTTCTATCTTGAAAAGATACCATCACTTATGGGATGTGTTACCACAGGTAAAGATACAATGGTAGAAACTGAAGGAAGCCTGCATTGTCTATATAATAAAGAGGTGGTCAGAGGGCAAAGACAAAGCATGCAGAGATGTTTGTGCAGGTGTCTCAGCTAGAAAGAAAAGAGAAATGGGGGTAGATACTTATGTAATAAAAGACTTCAGGTAACAAGATGAGTAAAGAAGTGGTGCTGTGTAATACACTGTTTATTCATATTTACAGTGTCCACAGGAGACTTTGACAAAATTTTGTTATTCCTTAAGGTCTTTAGGGGAGTTGTCTTTGTATTTATTTTATATCCATGCTGGAGCAGACTCTAAGTTGAAGTCAAAAGGTCTCGATTATTTTTTCTAGTTCAAATGATAATTATCACAGTAACGATAGACACTAATCAACAAAGTATGCATTTGCGTGCATATAAATACATCCTTATACACATACAAAAACATGTACATATAAATATATATAATTTATTGAATGGTATCTCTGTGCGTGTGTATGTGTGCGCACATGTGTATATGCATATATATGTACGTATATATAGATAGAGTGTTGGGGAGGGAGGGACAGATGGAGGGAGGGGAGAGAGAGAATGCTTAGAACCACCATTTGTGGAGTCTGTATTGTGAGTCAGGCATTGTGCTATGAGCTTTGAAAAAAATACTATAAGCACAACTCATAACAACCATCTGGAATAGGGATTTCTGTTCTGGGAAACCAAAGGGGAGACAAGTAAAAAGATTTTCTAAGACTGTGTAGCAAGAAAGGGTCAGGGGCCAGGCTCATTCCCACACTTAGTAGAATTTAAGTCTCTGTGCTCACTGTAGAGAGTAGTAGGATTGCATTCACTGCTGGTTAAAAGCACTGGGGAAAAGATGATTTTATAGCTTACAACCACATGGCATGTTCAAGAGAAGTTGTAGGATGTCTGAAAATTCCATTGGTAACTCATTTGATGCCCTTTTAATCTCCTTCAAAAAAGAAAGAAAAATAATCCTTCATAACCCAAAGGTTTCTGGGAACTGGGAGAACAATGTAGGTGAGGTGTGGCATTGGCTCTCTTCTTCTGGCACCGTAAGTCATATGTCATGCACGTGCCAGATAGAAGGGTGGAGCTGTTGAATATCACATTAGTTACAGTCACAGGCCTGCTGTCATTTTATTTCTGAATTTCTCACTGCTAGAGTAAGTGTGGTGTATGCTCTTAGCTAGTCATGAATGGGCCTTCCTTTGAGGATGAAGCACTTTCTATCTAGTATTCCCAAATGCCAGTGAATAAATGATTGAGCTGTGATGTTCACATTGCTTGTAGAACCGCTAGAAAGCTGCTGAGATGGGCGGACATGTAAGAGGGAGCATTTCAAATACACATTCCTCCTTCTCTAGTCAGAATAACTTTGTCTTTTTTTTACAAAGTAGATTAATTATTTTTCTCTTTTTGACATCTTTAAGGAAGTTTCAGTATAAATACTTAGTAGGAATTCATTTTTCATTAACATGGTTTCAAGGACCAAATAGGTAATTAACCATTCATAAAAGAAAAATACAACACAGTGTACCTTTATTGAGTCCTTGTACAAGTATAAACATTCTACAAAATTGATGTATAGTTGTGGTACAGTTACTTCTTCCCACTCATTCTTTTATTATTATTATTATTATTATTATTATTATTATTATTATTATTATTATTATTTTGGAGATGGAGTCTCACTTTGTTGCCCAGGCTGGAGTACAATGGCACAGTCTCGGCTCACTGCAACCTCCACCTCCCAGGTACAAGTGATTCTTCTGCCTCAGCCTCCTAAGTAGCTGGGATTGCAGGCGCCTGCCACCACGCCTGGCTAATATGTTTGTATTTTTTAGGAGAAATGGGGTTTTGCCATATTGTCCACGCTGGTCTCGAACTCCTGAACTCAAGTGATCCTACCGCCTCAGCCTCCCAAAGTACTGGGATTACAGGCATGAGCCACCATGCCCGGCCTTTCCACATGTTCTTGATCTATTGGAAAGGAAAACTAAAAAGTTATCTGCTTGTCCTCAAATACGTAGAGAAGCTTAGGGGTTTGGGTTGGGATTTTGATTACTGAGGTTTTTTGGCTTTGAGAGTATCGAACTTTAATTCAGAATGTCTGTTCTGTCAAGAATATTCACTTAGATGCCAGCTACTTACAACATAAATTTAGAAAAGTTTTAAAGGACTTGGCTATAAAAATTTTTCTGGTTTAGAGACCAGTCGACCATTAAGGGGAAAATAAAGCTCCCTCTGATTGTTGACGGAGGATGCAGGGCAAAGAATGCCTGTTTTGCTGTGCATGTTCATCACAGGGCTCTGTTCAGCTGTAGTATATATAAAGATGTGCCTGTGTCTGTTCACAGACCAAAACCCAGTTTCCAGGGAAGAAGAAGGAAATGAGGCAGTGTTGGTACTATCAATCTGCCTAATGCTTCCTGGCTCCTGTGCTCTGGTGCATGGAACAGATTTTTCAGATGTCTTTTCAAGTGCAGACACTATTAATTAGTGGCTATGGAACTAGTCTTTAGAAAAGGCAAATCAAAGTTCCAATAAAGCTCCTGTATGAACATTAGAAAGGCCGTCTAATTCTTCTCAGCCTATGCTGTTTAAAGTATGTTTTCTAAGTCAGCAGCATCAGCATCATCTGAGCTTGTTAGGCATGCAAATTCTTCATTTCCCAGGCTTACTATTTGACTTTACTAAGTCAAACTTCTTGGAGAAAGGTCCAGAAATCTGTTTTTGTTTAATAAGCCATCTAGATAATTCATGTGCTTTGCTAAAATTTAAAAACCACTGCTTAACCTGATCTCTGAAAAATAAGGGAGCTTATAAAAATTTGGTGTCTAAAAACTAGGAGAATCTAAGAATATTAATGACCCATATGCCTTAGTGTGTGTGTATGTGTATATTTGTATGTGTATATAGTGAATACATACACAAATACATATGCATATGACATCAAAAGGGAAAAAAGTTTTTCAAAAAATCATAAGCAAAGTTAATTACTGCATTTGAAATCTACAAAATGGAAAAAATAGATATAAAATTAATTTAAATCTAAACTTAAAATAGCTGTCATTATATATAAATGAGTCCACAAAATAGAGTAATCCAGACATCGAGGCTCATGCCTGTAATCTTAGTGATTTGAGAGGCCAAGAGGAGAAGATTGCACGAGGTCAGGAGTTCAAGACCAGCCTGGGCAACATAGCAAGACCTGTTTCTAAAATAAAATAGAAAATAAAAGAAAAGAAATTAGCCAGGCATCGTAGCATGTACCTATAGTCCTAGATACTCAGGAGGCTAAGGTGAAGAGATTGCTTGCGTCCAAGAATTTGAGGTTACAGTGAGATATGACTGTGCCACTGCACTGCAGACTGGGTGACATAGTGAGACTCTGTCCCTATAAAAATAAAAATAAATAATAAAACAATAGAGAGTTCTGAAATAGGAACACATATATATAGTCAACTGACTTTTAACAAGAGCACCACATTACTTCAAAAGAAATAGGAAAAATTGCTTGAACAAATAATACAAAACAGCCGGATATTTATGTAAAAAAATAAAGAAGCTTAATTTCTACCTTATACCATACACAAAAATCAGTTTGAGTCAGAGAACAGACTGAAACATAAATGCAAAAAAAAAAAAAAAAAAAAAAAAAACCCACCAGAGATCTCCTGGAACAAAAGCTAGAATACCTTTGTAACTTCAGGAGGAAAAGATTTCTTAGAAAGGACACAAATGCACAAACCATAAGAAGAAATAAATACTTTAAACTTCATGAAAATTAAAAGCATCTACTCATCAAAAAATACCACCAAGAAAATAAAGAGATGGACCACAGACTAGGAGAAAATAGTTGTAATACCTATATTTAACATACATATGAACATTCACTTCATAAAACTAGATAAAATAGCCAACAAAGACAAGCAGTGGTGCTTAATTTGCATTGCACCACAATGAGATACTTCTACACGCTTATCAGAATGGCTAAAAATAAAACGAATGAGAGCACCAAAAGTTAAAAGGATGTGAAGTAACCACAGTTCTCATACATTACTGGTAGAATTGTGTAATGTTCCAATCACTTTGAAAACCAATTTGGCAGTTTCTTATAAAGTTGTCCAAGTATCTGCTTTAAGACCTGGAAATTCCACTCCTAGGTATTTATCAGACAGGATTGAAAACATTTGTGCACACATTTTCTTTATAACTTTAATTATAATAACTCAATCCTGAAAACAACTCAGATGTCTAACAAAAAAAAATGGATAAACTCTTACATATTCATAAAGTAGATGATATGGTTTGGCTCTGGGTCCCCATCCAAATCTCGTCTCTAATTGTAATTCCCACGTGTCAAGGTAGGGACCTGGAGGAAGGTGATTGGATCATGGAGGTGGTTTCCCCCATGCTTTTCTGGTAGTGAGTGAGTTCTCACGAGCTCTGATGGTTTAAGAGTGTTTGGCAGTTCCCCTCTCCCTCTCTCTCTCTTCTGCCAGCATGTAAGACATGCTTTGTTTCCCCTTTGCCTTCTGCCATGATTGTAAGTTTCCAGAACTGTGAGTCAATTAAACCTCTTTTCTTTATAAATTACCCAGTCTCAGGTAGTTCTTTATAGCAATGTGAAAATTGACTAATATAGTAGAATACTATTCAACAATAAAAAGACTGTCACACATAATAACATGGACAAATCTCAAAAATAGTATGGTGTAGGTGAAAGAAGTCTAACACCAAAAATAACTTGTATAATTTTATGTATATGAAATTAGAGAATAGTCAGAACTAATCTATGATGACAGAAATCGGCTCAGTGCTTGCTTCTGGTGAGGTGATGCCTGGGAAATGTTCATGAGGGAAATTTCTAGGGTGATGGAAATGTTCTGTGTCTTGATATGCATTATCAAAGCTGATTAAATGATACACATATTAAGCATTTCACTGCATGTAAATTATATTTCAATTTTAAAATGCATTAAAATTTTGTTAGGAACTGCCATTAATTACATACTTTGTTCAAAGTGCTTTTCTTTAAATGCATAAACTCATTTGATCCTTGAAACAACTCTCTGGGATAGGTATCATTATTCCTAATGTACAGATGTAGAAACTGATACTGAGAAAAGTTAAGCAATTTGCTCCAAATCATACGGCTTGGTCACAGAAGCTGAATTCAAGTGTCAGTCCATCTGACTCCAAGGCCTGGCTTAATCATCATGTTACTACTCATTTGGCATAAGTGCCTATGACCCCATCTTTTTCTTTTGAACTTTTATTTTAGGTTCAAGGGTACATGCGAAGCTTTGTTATGTAGGTAAACTAGCGTCACAGGGGTTTGCTGTACAGATTAGTTCATCACCCAGGTATTAAGCCTAGTACCCTATAGTTATTTTTTTCTGCTCCTCTCCCTCCCTCAACTCTCCACCCTCAAGTACACACCAGTGTCTGTTGTTCCCTTCTTTGTGTTCATGAGTTCTCATAATTTAGCTTCCACTTATAAGTGAGAACGTGAGGTATTTGGTTTTCTGTTCCTGTGTTGGTTTGCTTAGGATGATAGTCTCCAGCTTCATCCATGTTCCCACATTAAACATGATGTTGTTCTTTTTTATGGCTGCATAGGATTCCATGGTGTATATATACAACATTTTCTTTATCCAATCTGCCATTGATGGGCATTTAGGTTGATTCATTGTCTTTGCTATTCTGAATAGTGCTGCAATGAACATTCATGCACATGTGTCTTTATGGTAGAATTATTTATATTCCTCTAGGTATATATCCAGTAATGGGATTGCTGGGTCAAATGGTAATTCTGCTTTTAGCTGTTTGAAGAATCACCATACTGCTTTTCACAGTGGTTGAACTAATTTATACTCCCACCAACAGTGTATAAGTGTTCCCTTTTCCCTGCAACCTCACCAGCATCTGTAATTTTTTGACTTTTTAGTAATAGCCATTCTGACTGGTGTGAGATGGTATCTTGTAATGGTTTTGATTTGCATTTCTCTAATGATCATTGATATTGAGCTTTTTTTCATATGCTTTTTGGCCACATGTATTTCTTCTTTTGAAAAGTATTTATGTCCTTTGCCTACTTTTTAATGGGGTTGCTTGTTTTCTTCTTGTAAATTTAACTTCCTTGTAGATGCTGGACATTAGACCTTTGTCATATGCATAGTTTGCAGATATTTTCGTCCATTCTGTAGGTTGTTTACTCTGTTGAAAGTTACTTTTTATTTTTTTGCAGTATAGATGCTCTTAAGTTTAATTAGATTCCACTTGTCAATTTTTGCTTTTGTTATGATTGCTTTTAGTGTCTTTGTCATGAAATCTTTGCCCATTCCTATGTCCAGAATGGTATTGCCTAAGTTGTATGACTCCATCTTTATTCCAGGCCAGTTGTGAGGAAATAGTCTCTTGAAGAGGCTACCAGAAAAGCCCATTAGGGACAGTGGTTGTTAAATAAATGCATTCTGTATTTCTCGTTTTTCTTTTCTTTCTTTCTTTTTTTTTTCTTTTGAGATGGAGTTTCGCTCTTGTCACTCAGGCTGGAGTACATTGGTGCAATCTTGACTCACCACAACCTCTGCCTCCCAGGTTCAAGTGATTCTCCTGCCTCATCCTCCAGAGTAGCTGGGATAACAGGAGCCCACCACCATGCCTGGCTAATTTTTTTGTATATTTAGTAGAGACGGGGTTTCACCACGTTGGCCAGGCTGGTCTCAAACTCCTGACCTTATGTGATCCACTGGCCTCGGCCTCCCAAAGTGCCGTGATTACAGGCATGAGCCACCACGCCCGGCCAGCATTCTGTATTTTTCTAATAATTATGGTGACATTAAAGTTAATAGCAAATATTACTTCTGCCCTCAAGGATCATTGCTTTAAAGTGCTCTAATACAAGTCTGTTTTCTCAGGGTGAACCTTCTAGATCATGGACCATAATATAAATTCTAGAGCCAGAAACTGTGTAATATGCAGTTTAGAAAACCCCATATGACTTGCAGAGGCAATGTCATTTAATAAAGAGCTCTGGTGTGAGACTGCCTTGGCTCAAGTCCAGATGGTTTTACTTTCTGGGTGTATGACCAATGACAAGTCACTGAACTGCTCCAGACCTCAGTTTCTTCATTCATAGGATGGGGATGATTCTCATACCTACCTGATAACAAAGTAAGGATTAAATAAAATTATGCTGCTAAAAAACTAATATGTGATGGTTACTTACGAGCCCTCTATAAATGCTAGGCTGCTGTTTTGGGTTTTAGAGATTATATGAACAATGACATTCCTAAGCCAGAGAATAATCTAATTTCCTGTTGTATGTGGCAGCTCAGGGTCCCTATGTGTGTCTATGTATTCACTTAATTTTGGCTGAAAGCAAAATGCTGTTGTTTTCTAAAAACTATATCAGTGTTTTATTATAAGAATTTGCAACCTTGGAATGAAGTGGACCCTGTTGCTCAACAGAAAAAAAAGGCATTTAATTACTACATAGGAAATTGTGTTGAGGAAAAATTGTCATTAAATATAATTGTTATGCTTTATCTGTCCAGAATGATTGAAAGTGGCCTGAAACTATTTAGCATGTTTAACAGATATCAGCAAGGTTAATTGTTTGGGAACATCGAAGAGCTGAATTCCTCCGTGCACCTCCACAATTTGTATTACTGTCGTATTATTTTCTTCATGACTTCAGCATCAGTCTTTATTTTATCTGTAGCTTTTGAAGTCTTGATTTCCACAGTACAATTTAAAAGCCAGAAAAATTGCAAATATGTGCAAGCTAACAGTGCTTTTCCTATAAGGAAAAATTAATTAGTCTATTACCAAGTTGCTATATAAGTAGAAAATCTCTATGCACCTCCAAGTAATGTTGTCAAAAGGAAATTAGAGACTGCTTTTGTGGGTAGGTTTTGTTATTGTTTCTCATAGTCATCACTGAGGGTGGGGAGATGGGTGACTTGGAAGAATAATTTTTCAGGTACTGTCAGGTGTACCTGGAGGGGTGTGTTTGTGTGTGTGTGTGTGTTTGTGTGTGATGTGTCTGTAGATAAGTATTTTCTTCTCTGGGATCTTTCTTATCAGTGAATCTTATGCTGGTTTTGTAGAAGTCCTAATATTCATGTGGATCACTTTTGTACTTGTCTGTTTTCTTTGGATGTGGAAATGATGGTTTTTATATTTTTGTGCCTCACAGCACAGCAGCGGAACTGTGGCTAACTTACCAAGTCTTTTTTTTTTTTTTTTTTTTTTTTTTTTGAGACGGAGTCTCACTCTTTCGCCCAAGCTGGACTGCAGTGGCGCTATCCCGGCTCACTGCAAGCTCCGCCTCTTGGGTTCATGCCATTCTTCTGCCTCAGCCTCCCGAGTAGCTGGGATTACAGGCGCCCACCACCACGCCCGGCTAATTTTTTGTATTTTTAGTAGAGACGGGGTTTCACCGTGTTAGCCAGGATGGTCTCGATCTCCTGACCTCGTGATCCGCCCGCCTCGGCCTCCCAAAGTGCGGGGATTACAGGCGTGAGCCACCGCGCCCGGCCCTTACCAAGTCTTATGATGGTCCTTCTCTTACAACTTTCTTTAGCCCTCACTGAATTTCTCTGAAAATTCATCATGCATTGAAATTTTGTCTCAGATAATAAATATCTTAGTGTCAAACATGGAGAGGATCAGCAGAAGGGAATCATGATTTCTTGTGAAAAGAGAAGAATCTGGCTGGATAATTTTGAACGTCACTTTCTACAGCTGGTTTTATTGCTTTATTCTGCCAGTATACACTGAGTCCCTGTTGAGTCAGGAGTTATACTGAGCTTGGCCACTTCATATCGATGTGACACTTACCTTCTCTTTTGGATCTCAATTTCCTCGAATGTAAAATGAGTGTTTGTATCAGATAAGCCTAGAGCTCAGCAAATATTGCAGTTTCATTCAATTTCAAGTGAATTAGTAATTAATGTTGCTACAGGAGCATTCTTTGAGCATGTGTGACAAACTGTAAGTGTTGACTCTAACATGGAATGTGAAGGTCAAAGCAGATTGAGCTAAAGAAATTTTATATAAATTCTATAAAATACTTTTTGCTGAATTTTAGCATTTACTCTCTTCAATGAGACCTTGAAATGCCATTCAGAATGTCTTATCTGAAATATAATCTCATTTTTTCACTTATATATTCCAGAGATATTCTATTCTTTTCTTCCTACTTCCAATAATAGTTCTTACAAAGTTATTCTCATTTTATGGATGAGGAAACTAAGAAAGAGAGGTCAAGTAGCTTTCTTGAAACCACCCTGTTGGATTAAAATTCTCTCATCTGATCTTTGCATTGGGCCCTTAAAATGCATGTAATGGGCCCAGTTCTAGTCCCAAGGTTTTTTGGTCCTGCCAAACTAAAGGATACTTCCTTTAATGTTCTTCGATTCTGCTTCTGATTCTGGTAGCAGCAGAATGTGGTTTTTGCCTTTATTTTTTTTTGTTTCTAATTCAAATAGTTACTGTTTTAGGAATAGTCTCTTTTTGACAGTTACTGAAAAAAAGATCTGTGTTTTTCCCCTTGAGCATTATGTTTTGCAGTCTGTTTGTTTACTTGGGTTGAATTTTACCCAAGGTCTTTGAAACTTAACAAAATCTCAGTTGCTGCTGCGTTCAAAATCTTGTACAGATTTAGGTCTTATTTGCCGGGTTAAAACACACACACACACACACACACACACACACACACACACACACACACAGTTTCTCTCTGTCTCTCTCCAACACAAGAAATGGCCATTTTAACTTTTTTCTGCAGTTTTAAATATATTGTTTTCATAACTAAGCAAATATAACATAGGTTAAAAATCTCTCCAGTGAAATTCACATCTTACAGAAAGACCTTTTTTTCCCCCTTCAACTTGTTTATTCTTCCCCTTTGCTTTGCTGCTAAACCCACCCACTCTTGGTCCATTTCTTTTCATGAGACTTTTTCAAATGTTTACACCAGTACACCAGCATTTTCCTCATATTTAGCCTGGATTGAAGAGTCAATCTATGCCCATCTCATATATTTGTTATGAAGATCAAAGTGGCATAAATGTGAAAATGCTTTGAAAACTATCCCGCTCCCCTGCTGCCTGAAGGACTGTCTAAAGAGCTTCACTTACAGTACACCATCTTCCCATTCCATTTGCCTTGTGTCATGTCTTTTTACTCATTCCCCTCTCTTCTCTTCCCCCAGTCTTTCCACCAGCTTCAGTGAATGTCTCCATTTATTAGAAACATGCCATGTCCTTTTAAATCACCTCTCTCTTGCACTTGCTGGTTCTTTTGCTGTAGTGCTCACACCAACAGCAACAAATCTCGAAAACCCCTCATCTTTAAAGTTCCGGTACAGAAAACCAAACACCACAGGTTCTCACTCATAGGTGGGAATTGAACCATGAGAACACTTGGACACAGGGTGGGGAACATCACACACTGGGCCTGTCGTGGGGTTGGGGGAGGGGGGAGGGATAGCATTAGGAGATATACCTAATATAAATGATGAGTTAATGGGTGCAGCACACCAACATGGCACGTGTATACATATGTAGCAAACCTGCACATTGTGCACATGTACCCTAGAACTTGAAGTATAATAAAAAATAATAATAATAAAGTTCCAGTTCACTGGAGGCTTGACTGGACTCCCTTGAGCTGGAAGTCACATATTCCCTTTTGACTCCATTGCATTTTTTGCAAACTTGTATTGTAATTCTTACTATGAAGAGTGATCATTATAATTGTATTTACAAGTCAGTCTCCCTCAATGAAATTCAAGCTCTTCAAGGCAACAATTCTTGTTTTTATGAATGTATCTTCTAGTTCCCAACTCTGCATAGCGTATAGTAAGTACTCAATAGATATGGATGGGTGGATAAATATATTGCAGAATGGATTTAGTTTTAAAATAGGTCATTTTCTCATGACTTATTGATTCTTTTTGGATTTTCTTATTTTTTAATTTCCAGTTGTTTTTGGTTTGGGTTTTTATTTGCTGTCCTAACTTTTCCATCTGTGTAATATATTTTATATGTCTTGTATTCATATTTTCCTCCTACCCACTATATCCATTCTTATTACCTTTCTTTCTAATACATCATTGTGCTCTTCTGCCTTTATGGTAGCCCTCACCTCTCTCACTAGGCCAGGGATATAAGACACCTGGTACATGTGCTACTACCCCTCTTCCCTGTAGCCTTACAGACATCACTAATTAATTCTAGCTCAGGAGCTGTAGAATCCTTCCAACACATCACTCCAGACAGTACTTGATACCAGCATGGAAACCTATCTGCTATTTCTGGATTAGAAGATTTTCTGTCCAGCTTCCAGTTACTTTTTCCTTGTCTCCTATGCATAAATCCTTGCTTGAGAGACTGTGGGTCTTATATTAGAATTTTGAAAAAGTTTAGCAAGCTACCAGACTTAATCTATTAGGCTTCAGAAGCCAAGAAGCGTTTCTGAAACATGTTGCTACATATGGAATGTCTGTGGAACTGTTTCCATACTTTGACTTTTTTTGGTATAAATGAATGTTAATGTCCCTGGAGATTTTTTGGGTTTTGATACACTTACTCCTTTAAGAGACCATTTTCAATATATTTTAGATTCCTGAAGGTTAGTTTTCAGGATCTGGACTTCCTAATTGAGTTTTCTGACTGGTGTTGCCTTATCTACAAATAACATTTTGATGTCATTATTAGCGGTGTAACAAAAAATGTAACACATTCTGATAGACAAATGACTCATTACTATAATAAAGGTGGTAAAAACTCCCTCACAAATCGAAATACAGTCTGTTTATCTAGTTACTACCTTTCTGACATTTTTCTTCCAATACATTACCTTCAATCTGTGTTTTTATATTTATTTATTTATATTCTGGGATAGGATTTTGCTCTGTTGCCCAGCCTAGGATGCAGTGGTGCAGATGCAGCTCACTTCAGCCTCTGCCTCTTGGGCTCAAGTGATTCTCTCGCCTCAGCTTCCTGAGTACCTGGGACTACAGGTGCACACCATCATACCTGGCTAATTTTTAATTTTTTTGTAGAGGCAGGGACTTGCCAAATTGCTGAGGCTGTTCTTGAGCTCCTGCTCACAAGCAGTCTCCTACCTCGGCCTCCCAAAATGCTGGGATTATAGGTGTGAGTCATTATGCTAGCCTCAATCACTTTTTAGAATAAAAATATGTTTCTTTTTTCTCAGAAATGGATGACCACATGCAAATGCACATGGCCTGTATACAATTTCAGGATGTGTTTGGATCCACTTAAGTGCATCCATGGATTAAAAGTTAGGAGCCCTTTCTGTAGTGATATAGAGGGAATTGTGACCCTCAATAGTTTATGATTTTAATTTCATTCCTCTTTAGGAGATAATGTGCACACATAAAGACAGACGAAGATTCCATATAAGGAAGTGTGTAACCTAAAAGAGAGATTATAGACATAGGGAACAACCAGAAAAGATTTTTGACATTTAATGATATTCAAATCATTGATATCTGAGATTTTACTAAAAGCTATAGGATTGAACTCAAGCAAAAGTTACTACCTTCTTCTGTACAGTTAATGGTTAAACCCCAAGTGGCAAAAAGAATGGGAGGGGAATAAACAGTAGATTTGATTTTTAAACATCTTTGAAAGATATATAGAAAAAAATATAATTTTGTATTACATAAAACATAGTTCAATAAAGAAATCAAGAAACCACTCAGTAAAGGTCTTAAAATTGGGAACTATGACAAAGTGAGGGAGGAAAGGAGCAAAAGTTGAATGTTGGCCTGTGGTATGAAGCACAGTTCTTCCTCTTCTCCATTGCTACTCATTAATGGAATGATAGGAGCATTTTACCCCCAGGACAAAACGAGAGGGTTCTTTTCTGAAAACACTAAGTGAATTTCTCAAGGGGGTAGTTACAGCTGATCAGTGGGATGGGTGACCAAATAAGGTCTTTCCCTTATGCCCTTTGAGGCATCCCAAGCCTGGGCTTAGTTTCCTGCTTGCTTATCGTTGAAGAAAGCCAGCCAGTGCTGCAGCCCCACCCATGTGCCCATGAAGCCACAGTCTTGTGGGAAAACAGACCTGCATATAAAAGTGTCATGTATTGTGCACATTTAACTTATCTCAATTCAACTATATACAATGGAACATGGAGAACATGTAGAAAAATAATTTAAGTATTTCTCATTCTACTCAGTGGGAACATATTCCAGATGGTCAGTCAAATGGGAGGCATAAATTTTCTAATTTAGTAGGTCTCGGTTTCTTCATGCTTTTCATAGCATGACCATCTCACTCTATTAAATAAGATTCGACTATTTAAAATGTGTTTAGCATTATACTAGATTAAAAATATGTGAAGTATTTCTTGTGGTATTTAACTTGATTTCTTCCCTAGAGAAATGCTTTTGTGTTATATTGTGAAATACTGGACACTTTTCTAGTGACTTTTCCAGGGTCATTTTGACTATATATGAATTTTGTCTCAAATATGGGTGGGGCCGGCAGCATTACTGGTTCAGTGGTAGAATTCCTGCCTGCCAAATATGGGTGGTTCTGTCACCTAACCCTCATGCAAGATGACTCATGTTATAACACAGTGGAGAAAATTTCACCAGCTACAGCAAAATAGTTAACTCATTTTCACCATTTATTTTTATACTCAACTTTCCTGTGATGTTATTAATATACAATAAAATCACACATTTTAAATGTGGGATCTGAATTTTGACAAAGGTATACACTCATGGAACCCCTGCCCCAATCAAGGTACAGCATATTTCTCTCACCATGAAGTTCATTCAGTCGTGATATTTTCCTCTCCCACTGAGGCCGCCAGTGTTCTGCCTTTTGAAACTTCACATACACGGAGCCAGGCATGGTGGCTCATGGCTGTAATCCCAGCACTTTGGGAGGCCGAGGTGGGCAGATCACTTGAGACAGGAGTTCAAGACCAGCCTGACCAACATGGTGAAACCCCATCTCTACTAAAAATAGAAAAAATTAGCCAAGTGTGATGGTGCATGCCTGTAATCCCAGCTACTCAGGAGGCTGGGGCAGGAGAATCACTTGAACCCAGGAGGCAGAGGTTGCGGTGAGCTGAGATCGTGCCACTGCACTCCAGTCTGGGCAACAGAGCGAGACTTCATCTCAAAACAAAACAAAACAAAACAACCCAAAACTTCACATACATGGTCTTATGGGATATATTCTATTGTTTCTGGCTTCTTCTATTCAGTGTGTTTTTGAGATTCATCCATGTTGTCTTGTGTAAAAGTAGGTCATTCCATTTTACTTCTCACCAGCATCATTCAATTAATATACTATAATTGCTTATTCATTTTCCTTTTGATAGACATCTGGCTGTTTCCCATTTGGGAATAATAAGAATTACACTATTAGAAACATTTGTGAGCATGTCTTTGTGTAGACATAAGTTTTCACTTCTTTTGAGTGAATATCAATGAGTGAAATTTCTGTGATGTGGGGTAGGTATACATTTAGTTTTAGAAGGAACCACCAAATGGTTCTCCAAGGTGATTCACTTCCATAAGCAATATTTGAAAGATCCAATTATTCTATTTTCTTGTCAATACTTGGTATTGTTAGCCTTGTTAAATTTAACCATAGTGGATATAAAATAAGATTTCTTCTTGTTTTAGTTTGCATTTCCCTGTTGGCTAATAATGTTAAGTACTTTCAGTTGTACTTATTGGCCATTTGTATATCTGTTGTGAAAAGTCTATTCAAGTCTTTTGCCCAATTTTTATTGGATTGTTTACCTTTTTATTATTGGGTTGTAAGAGCTCTTTTAATATTCCAGATATAGTTCTATGT
The DNA here is from genome assembly GCF_000001405.40 of Homo sapiens. NCBI lineage: Eukaryota > Metazoa > Chordata > Mammalia > Primates > Hominidae > Homo > Homo sapiens. The sequence goes on from NC_000005.10 coordinate 156,139,086, forward strand.
CATTTATATATAGCGTAGATATATTCATCCAGTCTGTTACTTGACTTTTCATTTTTTAAATGTTGTCTTCTGAAGAACAGGAGTTATTAATTTTGATGAAGTCCAGTTTATTTACATTTTTATTTTATAATTTCTGCTTTTTTTGTTCTACCTCAGAAATCTTTGACTCCAAGTCACAAAGATATTCTCCTGTTTTCTGCTGGAAATATTATATCTCTAGCTTTATATTTAGGGTAGCAGTCTATCTTGAATTAATTTTTGTAGTTTGGGCTTTTACAGTTCAAATTCAATATGTCAGCTTATAGGTTCATCAAAAGTTAGCTAGTTTCTTCTAGTCTAAACAAGGCTGTCTTTCTCTGGTAGGCTTGTTTCTCTGCTTCTCTTACCTCCAATATTAGCACCTGGCTCCAATTATGAGAGCTGTGTCCTTGCTCATCTAGGAAATGCTTTGTCTCTCTGGAATTTGATCCTCTTAGACTTCTTTGGAGCCACAGTTCTTTAATACCTTTAAAGAAAGGTATGCATTAGTCTGTTGAAGACCATTTCTTACAGTTTGGGCAGGAGCACATTCTATTCTTATTCCTCTATGTCCTAACCACAGGGAAACTTTCACTCCCCCGTTTTAAAATAAGAAATGACTATTGAACTTAGGAAGAAAACTGGTAGCATGGAAGAGAAAAACATAGTTGCTATGGTTCGAAGGATGATGCCTCCTCCAAAATTCATGTTGGAAGTTAATTTGCAATGCAACATTGTTAAAGGGTAATGGCCTTTGGGAGGTGACTAAATCATGAGGTTTCATCCCTCAGGAATGAGATTGACACCTTTGTAAAAGGGCTTGAGGTTGAAGGAAGTGCTCTCTGTCATTTCACTCATCTGCCATGTGAGGACACAGCATTCCTGCCCTCAGGAGGATGCAGCTTTCCTCTTGGAAGCAGACAGGACACCCCTCACCTGACAACAAACTTGCCAGTACCTTGATCCTGTACTTCTCAGTCTTCAGAACTGTCAGACATAAATTTCTGTTTATAAATTACCCAGTCTGTGCTGTTTTGTTACAGCAGTACAAAATTACAAGATAGAAACCAGAACCAGAGCAGTGGAGTTGTTGCTATAATAAAGAGCTGAAAATGTGGAAGTGGATTAGGAAGTCGGTAATGGGTAGAGGCTGAAACAGTTATAAAGTTAATTCTGGAAAAAGCCCGTATTGCTGTGAACTGAGCATTAAGGGTGCTTCTGGTAGGGGCTCAGAAGAAGAGAGATGTCGAGAAAGGCTGTCTTAAAGATGATCTAAGTAGTCATGAACAGAAGGTTGGTAGAAATGTGGATGCTGAAAGACCAGTTTGATGAGGTCGTAGATGGTCGTGAGGAATATCTTATTGGAAACAGAAGAAAAGGACATCCTTCTTATACACTGGCAAAGAACTGGCCGAGATGTTTCCATATCATGTTGCTTTGTGGAAGGCAAAATTTAAGAGCTATGAACTAGGAAATTTAGTGGAGAATATCTCTAGGCGGAGTGTTTAGGGTGCTGCATGGCTTCTCTCAACTGCTTATATAGTAAAATATGAGAATAGAAAAAATGAGTTAAAGACAGAATTTATAATCAAATATGATGCAGAACATAAAAATTTGGAAAATTCTCAGCCTAGTAATATAAAGAATAAAAAAGCATGTTTAGGAGAGAAAACCAAGGGTGTGCCTGGCCAAGTGACCCTTTGATAAGAAGATTAGTATGGATAGAAGTTAGCCCCATGCTATTCATAAAAGAGAATCAAAGAATGACTTGGAAGGCATTTCACATATCTTTGAGGCTGCCACTTCCATCACATGCCAAGAGTGCCAGGGCCCTGGGGCAGAACAGTTTTAAGAGGGGGGGCCCAGGAGGCTGTGGAATCTTGAGGCTTGCTGCCCAGGGCTTCCTCAAGTCTCTGCTTCCTGAATTCCAGCACACTGCTACTTGACCACCCTAGCTGTGACTCCACTCCAGAAGGTATAAACCAAAAATCTTGGTGGTGTTCATGTGGTGCCAATTCTGCAGGCTTATGGAGTACATGTAAGTGAAGGCTTGGCTGCCTCTACCTAAATTTCAAAGGATGCCTTGGAGAGTCTCAGGACCCAGGCAGAGAATTGCCACAGGGGCGGGAAGGCAAGAGCGTCCCTACTAGGACGGTGCCTAACAAACACGAGACCGGGTCACCACAGAGAGTCCCAGCTAGGAAAATGTCTAGTAGAGCCATGGGAGCAAGGTCACCCCAAGACCCCAGAACTATGGAGGCACCAAAGTGTGATTTCCCAGACTGCGAGAGCTGCAGGCACCTGACCCCTGCATGTGAGAACTGATATGTGGGCTGCTCACAGCAAAGCCTGGGCTCAGGGCCTTGAAGGCCCAACCCTTAACCTGGCAGAGGGCAGGACACAGGGTCAAAGAAGATTATTATCCTTAAGCCTTAAGATTTATTGTTTGTCTCATTGGGTAAAAAGACAAATCTGGTAGATCAATGCAGTGGTTTTTCCTCTTATTATAAAGACCCTCAGAGATACAAGATAAATGGGGGAGGGGTTGATTATCAAAGAAAGTTTAAAATATTATTTACACTGAAGGAAGAGAAGTGTTTGAATTTACATATCCAGAGCATAGTGAAGTAAATGGGAAGGAACCCATTTCTATATCCCTGTTGCATTGTCTTCAATTTTCAAAACTCTAAGAAAATAGGAGCTTAAGACATTCTGTAACAGGGAGAGAAGTATACCTCATATGCAAGGAAATAATCTTCAAACTAGTATCAAACTTTTTATCAACAATACTAGAGGCAGCAAGCAGTGGAGCAGTTTCCTTCATTTTCTGAGGAAAAAGCTATTTTCAGCCTGATATGGTTTGGATCTCTGTCTCCACCCAAATGTCATGTGGAATTGTAATCCCCAGTGTTGGAGGTGGGGCCTGGTGGGAGATGATTGAATCATGGGAGCAGTTTCTCATGGTTTAGCAGCATCACCTTGGTATTGTTATCATGATAGTGAGTGAGTTCCCATGAGATATGTTGTTTAAAAGTGTGTAGCACCTCCCTGCCTTCCTCCTGCTCTGGTCATGTGAAATTCTGGCTCCCCCTTTGCTTTCTGCCATACTTGAAAGTTTCCTGGGGCCTCCCCGGAAGCAGAAGCCACTATACTTCCTGTACGGTCTGCAGAACTGTGAGCCAGTTAAACCTCTTTTCTTTATAAATTAACCAGTCTCAAGTATTTCTTTACAACAATGTGAGAACAGACTAATACAGAAAATTGGTATCAAGAAGTGGGGCATTGCTATAAAAGCATCTGAAAACGTAGCAGCTTTGGAACTAGGTAATGGGCAGGAGTTGGAACAATTTGGAGGGCTCAGAAAAAGACAGGAAGATGAGGGAATATTTGGAACATCCTAGAGACTTATTAAGTTCTTGTGGCCAAAATGCTGATAGTGATATTGACAGCGAAGTCCAGGCTGAGGAGGTCTCAGATAGAAATGAGGAACTTTTGGAAACCAGAGAAAAGGTCACTTTTGCTATGCATTAGTAAAGAGGTTGGCTGCATTGTGCCCTTGTCCTTGGGATCTGTGGAACTTTGAATTTGACAGTGATGATTTAGGGTATCCGGTGGATGAAATTTCTAAGCAGCAAAACATTCAAGATTTGGCCTGGTTGCTTCTAACAGCCTAAGTCCTTATGTATGAGCAAATAAATGACCTGAAACTGGAATTTAAATGTAAAAGGGAAGCAGAGTGTAAAAGTTTGGAAAATTTGCAGCCTGACCCTGTAGTAGAAAATCAAAGTCAATTTTTAGGAGAATAATTCAAATAGGCTGCAGAAATTTACATAACTGAAAGGAAGACAAATGCTGACAGCCAAGACAATGGGGAAACGGACTGGAAGGCATTTAAGAAACAGTTGAAGAAACCCTTCCCATCACAGGCCCAGAGGCTTAGGAGGGAAGAATGGTTCCATGGGCCAGTTCCAAGGCCCCATTTCCCTGAGCGACCTCAGGACACTGCTTTTTGCCTCCCAGATCCTCCTACTCCAGCCTTGGCTCTAGCCAGGTACAACTCAGGCCACTGCTTCAAAGAGTGCAAACTGTAAGCCTTGGTGGTTTCCACATGTTGTTAAGCCTGTGAGTGCACTGAATGCAAATGTTAAGGCTTGGGAGCCTTTGCCAAGATTTCAGAGGATGTGTGGAAAAGCCTGGATATCCAGGCAGAAACCTGCTGCAGAGATAGAGCCCTCACAGAGAACCTCTACTAGGGCAGTGCAGAGGAGAAATGTGAGACTGGATCCCCCATAGAGAGTCCCCACTGGGGCACTGCCTAGTGGAACTGTGAGAGGAGCACCAACACCCTCCAGCCCCCAGAATGGTTGATTCACCAGCAGCTTTCACCGTGTTCCTGGAAAAGCCACAGGCACTCAATGCCAGTCCATGAGAGCAGCTGCAGGGGCTGATCCCTGCAAATCTACAGGGGCAGGGCTGACCAAGGCTTTGGGAGCCCATCCCTTGGACCAGCATGCCCTGGATGTGGGACATGGAGTCACAGAAGATTATTTTGGAGGTTTAAGTTTTGATGACTGCCCTGCTGGGTTTTGGACTTGCATACGGCCTGCAGCCTCATTCTTTTCTTTTTTTTGCAATTTTTTTTTTAAATTATACTCTAAGTTTTAGGGTACATGTGTACAATGTGCAGGTTTGTTACATATGTATACATGTGCCATGTTGGTGTGCTGCACCCATTAACTCATCATTTAGCATTAGGTATATCTCCTAAGGCTATCCCTCCCCCCTCCCCCCACCCCAAAACAGACCCCGGAGTGTGATGTTCCCCTTCCTGTGTCCATGTTTTCTCATTGTTCAATTCCCACCTATGAGTGAGAACATGTGGTGTTTGTTTTTTTTTCCTTGCGATAGTTTGCTGAGAATGATGGTTTCCAGTTTCATCCGTGTCCCTACAAAGGACATGAACTCTTCATTTTTTATGGCTGCATGGTATTCCATGGTGTATATGTGCCACATTTTCTTAATCCAGTTTATCGTTGTTGGACATTTGGGTTGGTTCCAAGTCTTTGCTATTGTGAATAGTGCCGCAATAAACATACGTGTCCATGTGTCTTTATAGCAGCATGATTTATAATCCTTTGGGTATATACCCAGTAATGGGATGGCTGGGTCAAATGGTATTTCTAGTTCTAGATCCCTGAGGAATCGCCACACTGACTTCCACAATGGTTGAACTAGTTTACAGTCCCACCAACAGTGTAAAAGTGTTCCTATTTCTCCACATCCTCTCCAGAACCTGTTGTTTCCTGACTTCTTAATGATTGCCATTCTAACTGGTGTGAGATGGTATCTCATTGTGGTTTTGATTTGCATTTCTCTGATGGCCAGTGATGGTGAGCATTTTTTCATGTGTCTTTTGGCTGCATAAATGTCTTCTTTTGAGAAGTGTCTGTTCATATCCTTCGCCCACTTGTTGATGGGGTTGTTTGTTTTTTCTTATAAATTTGTTTGTGTTCATCGTGGATTCTGGATATCAGCCCTTTGTCAGATGAGTAGGTTGCAAAAATTTTCTCCCATTCTGTAGGTTGCCTGTTCACTCTGATGGTAGTTTCTTTTGCTGTGCAGAAGCTATTTAGTTTAATTAGATCCCATTTGTCAATTTTGCTGTAGCCTCATTCTTTTGGCCAATTTCTTCCTTATGGAATGGGAGTATTTACCCAATGCCTGTACCCTCACTGTATCTTGGAAGTATCTAGTTTTTGATTTTACAGTCTCATAGGCAGAAGGGACTAACTAGCCTTGTCTCAGATTAGACTTTTGACTTTAGAGTTAATGCTAGAATGAGTTAAGACTTTGGTGAACTGTTGGGAGGGCATGATTGTATTTTGATATGTCAGAATGATATAAGATTTTGGAGGTTCCAGGGACAGAATGATGTGGTTTGAATCTGTGTCCTCACCCAAATCTCATGTGGAATTATAATCCCCAGTGTTGGAGGTGGGGCCTGATGGGAGGTGATTGAGTCATGGGGGTGGATCCTTCGTGAATGATTTAGCACCATCACCTTGGTACTGTTATTGTGATAGTGAGTGAGTTCTCACAAGATCTGGTTGTTGAAAAGTGTGTAGCACCTCCTTTCTCTTTCATTTCCTACTGCTCCAGCCATGTGAAGTTCTGGCTCCCCCTTCTCCTTCTGTCATGATTGTAAGTTTGCTGAGGCCTCCGCAGAAGCTGAGCTGATGCTGCCATGCTTTCTGTACAGCCTACAGAATCATGAGCCAATTAAATCTCTTTTCTTTGTAAACTACCCAGTCTCAGATATTTCTTTAGAGCAGTGTGAGAACAAACTAAGATAAAACCAAACTCAAAGTGAGGTCATAATAAGGGCATTTTAAAGCATCAAGATTTTTAGGCCCCTCTATATCCTTTTTGAATCTATTCTTTGAAATTAAGAATGAATTTTATGAAATAATTATTTTAATAAATTAAGAAACAGTGACACTAATGAAAGCCTCCCAAAAAAGTTGAAGATAATTATTAGCAGTTCTAGTAAGTATTTGGTTAAAAGTATAGAGTCCAAGAACTTCAAGAAGGATACACTCAAGAAGAAAAATGAAGCACTTACTACCAATAAAGAATTTTTTCACATGAACAAATTGAAGTGAAAAAGCATGCATGTGTTCTCTAAAGAGAATGAAAGACAATTGTAAACCACAGAATGAACAACACAAACTATATAAGGAAATAATGTTTCAAATAAAAAGCATAAGAAAATAACAAAATGTGCCATAACTTTGAGCAACAGATATAGCTTTAAAAAAAGGGATTTGAGGCCAGGCGTGGTGGCTCATGCCTGTAATACCAGCACTTTGGGAGGCCAAGGTGGGCGGATCACGAGGTCAGGAGATCGAGACCATCCTGGCTAACATGGTGAAACCCCGTCACTACTAAAAATACAAAAAATTAGCTGGGCGTAGTTGTGGGCGCCTGTAGTCCCAGCTACTCGGGAGGCTGAGACAGGAGAATGGTGTGAACCTGGGAGGTGGAGCTTGCAGTGAGCTGAGATAGCGCCATTGCACTCCAGCCTGGGCGACAGAGCGAGACTCCATCTCTAAAAAACAAAACAAAAAAGGATTTGACTTTTTTGCTTTAGAGGTTATGACATTGCATTCAAAGATAAATAAACATCATCTTAGCATACTACCTGGTTCTCCAATGAATAATTTATATTGTCATAATAAACTGGTTTTCAACTTTAGAATTAACCTATAAAGAAAACTCACAGTCACGTTAACCGAATGTTACAAAGCTTGACAATGGAAACAAAGGTACTTGATGGTAGATGGTGTCAAGGGAATAAGCGGTGAAGGAAAGGTGGAGGTATGACTACTTTAACAAAATGAGAAGATTTTTCCTCTGAGGTTAATGAAACAAGACAAAGGTTTAGACATATTACTTAACATTACAACTCTAACTTTAGTTGTAATTTTACATGTAATTTTAACCATAGAAGAACAAAGTTTGGAGGGGAAGTGGATTTTGCAAATAAGCTAAATTCTTATATTTTACAGAGTGAGTGAATAGACAATATCCCAAAAAGGTAAATGATGAGAGTAATATAAGACTAAAAATAAGCGTTAGTGAGCTAACCACTAGAGAGTTAAAGTACAGAGCCAGCTAATTTAGTTAATTGCTTCTGGGAAGCCCAGGTAGGGAGGGTGGGGAAATGAACTGTTTTATTTTAACTTATTAGTTTATTATTTCCCCATTTATGTGTAATATTTTGGGGAAAATGTTTAAAAGAAGGAATATATGACTTCTTGATAGACTCTTATTCATCCTTAAAGACTTACTTTGCCAAAGTATAATACTCAGAAAGTAAAAACATGAGTCTCATACAAATATATAATGAATGTACGGCAAAGGTTTTATTCAGCTCATTAATTAATGAAAATAATAAGAAGATGGTAAAGCTGGGTCAAAGAATGTTTAAAGGAACAACGTAATGTCCACCACAAAAGGCATTTTGAAATAAATTTTAATTAGAACAAAATGACTTAGTCCTATAGGGTAATAGTACTGTAACCTTGCATTTATCTTTTTAGTAAGATGTATAGGTCTTAGGTTAACAAGTAAATTCTCTCATGAACTAGTAAATAGCAATATCAAACACTGAATTCTTGTGGAGTTAAGTAATCTTTGTGTGAGCTTGTTAAGCAATGTCCAAGCCTAACATGGAAAGGTTACATTTTATTCTCTTGATTACCAGTTTTACATAACTGTCATATCTAAAAGAGTTCATAGTCTTAGGATGCTTTCCGGACTCTCTGACCATCTGGTTTTCCCTGGCTGTTTGCATTTCCATGTCATACATCTATTACAGCAATAACCACATTTTTAAATTTTTTTCTTGTTTCTTGCTGCATCACTCCCCGACTAGAAAGCAAGATTTCTGTATGCAGGGCTTGTATGCAGTAAATTGTCAGGATGTTTGTTGAATTAATTATTAAACTTTCAAATGTTATCAGCTATCTTTATAATGCAGAAACAAGAAATTAGAGATGAGAATGCAGGAGGAGAAAGATGAGTCAATAAATAGAAGAGAAAAACTTAAATCTCCTACAAAATCTAGTGATGTGGCAGTTTGCAAGTTGTCCAATAAATAACTGGGAGAAATTCTACTGTCTTTTAATGCAGTGACATTCAGATGTTAAAGGAAGTGGAACTCATATAGAAGGACTGCCAGGTTAAATGACTCATTGAAGCCTCATCTCTTTCTTAGATCTTTGGTAAACTTTTCATCTTAATGCCAAATGTACTCCTGAATGAAATAAAAAGGAAGAAATTAAGGAGAAAGTGTCCTTCTGCTTATTTCATTCCTGGGGCTAGAAAAGCTAAGAAATGGTGCCACTTGCACTTTGCTAAAGCCTATAATCATAAACCTTTGTTTTTCTGCCGCTAGAACTACCCCTCCTCCAGTAAGTGATGTGGTGAACCAAGTGATGTAGTGAAAAAAGAATGTGTGTCTTCCTTGAAGATGAGAAAAGAAAGACAAATGTGAACCACATAATGAACAACAAAAACTCTATAAGGAAATCATGTTTCAAATAAAAAGTATAACAAAATATGCCATGATTTTGAGCAATAGATATATTACCCAAATATATCAGCAGACCATATGCAAACACAGCACCTGGAAACTGGGGTACCTTTGGGTTTGTCTTGTTTCAAAGAGTGCTTGGAGTGCCTGTCCAGCCTCATGAGTCTAAAAATTTCTCTCCAAGAGAAAAAGTTGAGTGGTCCTGGCAGCTGTTTGGCATCTATTTATTTTATCTGTCTTGCTAACATATGGAAGTCTTCCCCCAACCACCATTCCACTCAAAGGTTTCTATTTGAAGCTGCTTAAAATTGACTTCTGTTGATGTAACTGATATATGGTCTTTCTTTTTATTTATTTTTTTAATTTTTGATTTTTGTGGGTAAGTTCCTGAACAGAATGAGGTCCAGCTGGTTGTTCTCACCATCCAATAATGAGATACAGACAGACTGGGAAAGAAGGCAGTTTATTTCCGCAACTGGTTACAGGGAGAAGGCTGGAGTAACTCACTAGACCAACTCAAAATTACAAGGTTTTTTCTAGTGCTTATATACATATTAAGCTTCATGCCTATGTGCAGGAGTGCACCTACAAGCAGGAGTGTTTCATTCAATCTATATCTAATCTTTAGGGTCCGGGGTCTGGAAAGTTTTCTCTAGAGCCGTGGAAAGTTTCTTAATCTAAAGTGGGCCCTGGTACAAGGTATATCCGCAAGAGTGCTTTTATCGTTCCATCAGACTTCAGGGTCTGAGAAAGACTTTGGGGTCTAAGAAGCCAAGGCGGGGGTCTGAATGGGTTTGTTTTCATATTCCAGCCCTTGTACTCAGGCACCAGTTTCTCCAGTTCTTTAATGTTTAACTTATACATTCATCAGAATTTTAATAGTTAGTGGAAACTGACTATTCTGATTGCTAATGGGAACCTGGCTGTCACAGGTACATAGTAGGTATATGTATCTGTGGAGTACATGAGATGTTTTGGTACAAGCATGCAATGTGTAAAATCACATGCTGTAAAATGGGGTACCTGTTCTCCCAAGCATTTATCCTTTGTGTTACAAACAATCCAATTATACACTTTGTTATTTTTAAAGGTATAATTAAATTGTTACTGACTATAGTCACCCTATTGTGCTATCAAATACTGGCTGTTATTCATTCTTTCTAACAATTTGATTTGTGGTTTTTCAGTATTATACTCTGATAAGCAGACTGAATCATGTTTTGGATGTCATTCTTCAGATGCTTCTTTGCATCATCCCTGAACTAATGTTTTCAGCTTATCTCAGGATCCAGAGTCTGTGATTTCTTCCTTGTCTCTTGGTTCTCAGTAAAGGGCAGCCCTAGGGATGGGCTGCTCACCTCTTCAGCCCTTGAAGAACAGACTCTTTTACACTTCCTTATCTTGAGATAGATCAGTAGATGGTTCTCAGCTGGAGGTCACTTATCATAGTTTCTATAAGGGCTAGCTAGTGAAGGGGCCAGGGGAGGTGGGGACCTTGAGAGCTGGTGGGGTGATGTGGGGAGGGTCGTGGGGCATGCCCTGCCTGAAGGAGGCTGGCATGGCCTCCTTGTGTATTTAAGTGAGCCTATGGTTTGCAAGGCTATCATTTGTGAGATGCTGAAAGTGCAAATTTGTATATGGAATCATCTACTTCTTAAAATGGTGTGTGGGCTAACGGAAATGTACTGGCAGGCTTCATTCACATGGGGACCAGTTTACAACTGAAGACTTGGCCTTGAAAACCAGTGCCTTTTTAGCCTCCTAATTGGTCTCCCTGCAGCCATCCTTGTTCTCTCCTCTGTTCTCCACCCAGCAGCTAGAGTGGTCTTTTAAAAATGCAGGCCTAGTGGCATCTCTTCTCTGTCTAAAACCCTCCAGAAGTGTGCTGTTAGAATTAGGGTAAAGGCCAGAGGCTTTCTTATCCTTTAGGAAAGTCTTCAGGGCTCCCTGCACCCACCACCACTCTCTCAGTTCTGTCTACTCTTTTTGCAACTCCTTTTGGCTCCTCTAAATCACCACACCAGCAACTAAAGCCTTTGCCGGTGCTTACTAGTCCACCCACTTGGGATGCTTCTCAACCCTCCTACCCACATTATTTAGCAAAGTTTTAAATGCCTTCCAAGGCTCAGCTTATGTTTTAACAGACCTTCATTAACCCCCTACACTAGTCTGCTTCCATCCCCTTTGTATTTGGTCGATGTGCCCTAATTCTTTCATGTTGTACTGCGATCAGACCTTGAATTCCAATCATCTGCTTAACAATTGTCTTTCCTACTGGACTATGATGTTCCTTAATGGTTGGAATGATGTTGGGTTTGTTTGATGGTGTAGCTTTTGTACCTGGTACAGTGTCATGCATGTAGTATAGAGCTTTATAAATATGCATTGATTTGACATTGAATTAACACTTTCTGTGATAAGCGTGGAATGTTGGAAGGACACAGGATTTCATAAGGGGATAAGCTGTGGCTTCCCCGCAGTGATCTTTAGACTGTGTTTTCTCTAAGACTCTTAAAATCCATTCTTGTGAAAGAGGAGGCAGTTCTACGCGGTGACTTGCTTTCTCTTATAATGAACTTGTTTTGCTTTCTGAAAGATAGCTTATTAATTGATCACTATTTTTCCTCAAAGCTGCTCAGTGGTCTTTATATTTATTCTGTGACATAAAAAAGAACTGGAAGGACTTTCAGAATGTCAAATACATAGTCATGTGGCCTGAAAGTTAAAAACATCTGTACTTCAAGGGCTCTTAAGATGACTGGAAGAGGAAAATATGACTTCAGTAGATAAACATAAAAAAGGTAAAAAATTAAAACATTTCATTACTCTGAATTTAGATTAAGAATAGAGAGGAGCTTATATCATTCAGTAACACATTAATATAAATCTAGATACATCAGGGGGAGCCAATGGAGATAGATGGTAAAAAGAAGTGGGGTCAGAGAGAGAAGCTGAGAAACAGACACAAGAAATTCCTGCTTTCTCCTCTTTCCTATCTCCATTCTTTACATGAAGACCTAGAAAGGAAGAGACAAACTTTCCTGTATCTATGGCAGTCACCTGCAAGGATGTCACTACTAAAAGCAATAGTCAGGCCTTTCTTTTTGGATGTGTGGCACAACTGTGGGTAGATATTATCTCTTAGTTCTTATTTAATAACCTGTGTAAAATGTAATGGAGCCCACCTCTGCCCAAAACAATTGCAGATTGTGTACATTGAGGTAAGATTCCTTATTTTCTTTAGAAATGTGTAGTGCTCTTATTTACTGCACTTTTATTCCTTATATTAAATTTATATTTATAGTGCAGAATTTACAAACCAGATGAAAGTATCTCCAAATGCCATAATGCATTGGCTCATTTCTATTAATTACTTCCTGGAAGAAAAATCATTCTTCTTAGAGTAAAAGGACATCAACTTCTCTGAGCACCAAGATACTGCCTAGGTTCCCTTCCAGGATATTGACTCAGGAGACTTCATTGTGAAGAAATGTTTACTAACAAAACTGGAAGCCAATGTAGAATACACTAATTTTTGCAGGAAGGAGTTTCCAGTCTCTTTTTCAAGGATTTTTTTAAGATACAGCTGGACCAAAGGTATGTCTACATGTTTACATCATTTCTTCTTCTTCTTTTTTTTTTGGTCTGGAAAGATTCCCCTTTCCATAGTCTCCAAGGAAGGCCCTCTAGTCTTTCCAGATTGGTTCTGTTTGGATTTTGTGATTCATAAACAGAAGGGAAGGGAAAAGAGAAGACAAGAGTGAGGATCATGAGCTAGAGCCAAAGATGTTTCTCCTGAAGCCATTGGCTTGTATTGAGGTATTGATTTATAAATGGCAAGTACATGGGAGATACTTTTTTGAAAATGGTCTTAAAAAAAAATGAAACTGAGTTTATTAGTTTACCCCTTTATAATGTTGAATAATTGTGAGTTAAAAAAAAACAAAACAAAACAAATACAAACTTGAGTTCATTTAATATTACATTTGCTGGTTAACCTTTTTCTTTGATTAGACTTTCCTCGATTTGTTTCTTTGACTAAGACATTGACCTTACTGAAAACTCCTTTATGTGTCTTTATAGTCCTGACTATTTTAAATATTGTTTACTGAAGACATCGTGGGTCAGAGAGTGAAATAAAGAGGAGGTGAACTAAATGTGCATGATAGTCCCTTCACATAAGTCCTGATTCTGTACATAAGTCATTTAAATCATATATCTAGTACAGTAGCCACTGGCCATGTGTGGCAATTAAACTCTTGAAATGCATATACCAAGTTCAAATTGAGACGTGCTCTAAGTGCAAAATACACTTAAGATTTTCAAGACTTAGTATAAAAAATATAGGATATCTCTATTCATTTTAACAACTTTATTGAGATATAAATCATATGTTGCATACTTCACCCATTTCTAATACATTTTCAATGTTGACTACCTGTTGAAATGGTAGTATTTCTTATACATTGGGTTAAAGTATATTGAAACTTCACCTTTTCTTTTTACATTTTAATCTGACTACTAGAAAGTTTAAAAAATGTGGCTCACATTATATTTCCATTGGATAGCACTGACTTAGATAATGGCTTGTGAATATATAACTTCTTGAAGAAAATGCAACCAAAGTATCCTTTGACCAATCAATCAATATGTATTTTTTTCAAAGTTAGGAATTCTATGAGTCTGCTTCTTTTCTTCTATTCACCAAAAAAGGCATCAGGTGACATCTCTCTCCCTCTGGGTTAGTTAGAAAATGAGCTTGGTGGGTTTAGCTTAGCAAAAGTAGGGGAAGAAAAATAGTATAATCTCTATTTTTCAAAGACTTTAAATGACGTAAGCTCATGTCAACATGTATTTATGTCAGCTAATTTCTCTTAGGTGATCATAGCTAACTTGCTGTGTTGTCTTGTTCAAACGTTTCAAACCAGGTTCTGGTAGCACTCTTTGAATACACCTTTCTATTCTATGAACTGAATGTTGCAAACCTGTCACAGAGTCATAGATAAGTAGCCTTGCAAAGGAACTTTCAAAATCAAGTGAGTAAAAAATGTTGTTTTTTTTTTTTTCCTGGGAAAAATAGGACTTTGGTTCTCTTGATGGACTGTGTATGGAAATCCAGGCTGTGATGAGGTTTTTAACGTGGGCCTTGGTTTTAAATAATGCTTTAAAAACTGCATTTGCATTTTCTTTTATTATCTCCATGAAGGGAAGTAGTTAGAAATCGGATCTTCAAGAAAATAAGTAAACATCACTGGCATTCTTTAACAATGTGAACTCTCCTGAAATCCTGCTCTTTAAGGGATCAAATTTTTTATTTCCTTATGTTTCATGGGAACTTTACATTGAATAGACTTGAGAGCAGCCTAGTGGACTACCTTGGCCTTATTTTGGCTGATAGTCTCATTAGAAATATACCAAAGGGTAAGAAGAATTTAATTATGCCTCCATTAGTATCCCCTCCTTGGGTGATTTTGTAGCCATTCATTTAGAAATAGTGTTTGTCAGATCTGGGGGAAGACTCTAGGGTGATGGTCCTTGATGTCAGCTACACGTGGAAATCAATAGAGAGTTGCATATCTGGGTTTCCAGGCCACACCCAAAACCAGTGAAATGAATTCATGGTTACATCGTATGCATCAGTATTTTCAAAGCTCCAAAGGGTGAGTCCAATATACAGCCAAATTTGAGAATGACTGCTTTCAAGATTAACCACCCCAGTTGTTTTAAACAATTGGTAAGCATTGGAACACTTTTTGCACACGACATGTTACCTGGAATCTTTATAAAAGATGTACTGTTGCCTAAAGCAGGGCAGGGTCTGAAGTCAACCCACTTTGCCTGCCCCTTGTTCCCTGCCCCTAAGGGAGATTCTGTGAAACTCAGGGCTCC
Source organism: Homo sapiens (assembly GCF_000001405.40). Taxonomy (NCBI): domain Eukaryota; kingdom Metazoa; phylum Chordata; class Mammalia; order Primates; family Hominidae; genus Homo; species Homo sapiens. The sequence goes on from NC_000005.10 coordinate 156,154,090, forward strand.
TTGAAGCACTGATTAACCACTGCTCTAATTTGGAATCCTCACTTCATGGGTCCGAGACTCAAAGCTGTCCAGTAACTTGCTCAAAGATGCTTTCTTTTTTTCCTCCCTTGTTCTCTGTCTTCCACCTCCACTTTCTTTCCTCCCAAGGAGGAATGCAGTTAAGCAGAAGAAACATAATTTTAGCCTGATGTGTTAGATTTGAACAGTGGCCTTTCCTCTTCCACTCTCTCTTAGATCTTCAAGCCCTAGAAAGCAGTGAGGAAGAAAGCTTAGAACTCCCTAAGCACTAAGTGTTGTCTGTGGACTGAATACATAATATCTGAGAAATATATTTGCTATTATTTTTTCATATACAGATGCCACTGTGACTGATAAAAAACAAATTCATTTCAAAAATAAATACATTCAAAATTATAATATACCCTTACCAGCTTTTTGTCATGATGCATTTTATCAATCAGTAATAGCAATGGTAATAGCCCTTACTGAACATTTACTATGTGCTAGGTACTGCACTTAGTGCTTTATTTGTGACTTTTCTTTGAGTATCATAAGAACCATGGGAGACAAAAATTATTATCTCCATGTGAGAAACAGTGGCTGACAGGTAAAGTAGTTGGACTGTTTGTCTATAACTAAGGCTGGCTGGCTCTTAAACTGTGCTTGACTACTCAACCTTGTGCCTCTCAATAGATAACTGATAGAAGTATTTTTTTCACCCAGTCATTTTTTTCTACTTTAAAGGAACTTTCATTTCAAGAGGGCTGAAAATCACTGCCCTGCAACATGCTGCTCCTTTTCCTGTTCCCTGACTTTTTACTGGACTCTGCACATAGCTCAGTTCTTCTTTTCATAAAGTGATGACAAACTCAATGTCTGCAGGGATGAGGCAGGGAATGTTAATGAGTAAAATAGGTCAGGTTTGCATTTTAAGCATGCAGGAAAGGTTTGCAACATCATAGAACAATGAGAACATGCGACAATAATAATCACAGGATAATCTATTTTTCTGAAACCTGCTGCTCTCTGGGACCAGGCTTTTCTTCTCTTTATTCCCACTTTTGTTAGAAATGTAGCCACCAAAGTATTTCTCTATGAAAAATTATCTATCTATCTATCTATCCGTCCATCTGTCTATCTGAAACAAGTTTAAATGGTCATAGATATTAGACTTTTTGCCAGAGATACAATAAGGAGTGGTGGGGTCTAGGGTAGCTTAGAGATTATGTTTCTTCTAAAAAGGGCAGCCTATTACTCAGCTGTAAAATACTGTGAGTGGTGCCGTGTTGCCAGACCTTTAGTGTTTTATAGGAGAATCTGAAAAATTGGCTTTTTATGCGAAATATTTCAGTTTTCTAATGTTGACTTAAATGTTATAAAAACACTGTGGAGGCCAAACAAATTTATGTTTTCAACCTAGCTATGTCTTGAACCTATAGGTCACAACCTTTCTTTTTAGTGGGAAAGAAACACCAACACCAAATTATGGAAAGCCAGACAAACCTAGTAATGTCGTGGGCTAGGAAAAAAAAAAAAAAAAAAGAAGCACACAGGATTTACTCTGGATAATGTCTGCAGTGTCCAGCATGATGGCTTCTCAGCTGCTCTGTGTCAGTGGGCAGCTGATAGAGCCAAGTAGCCCTCCGTCTTCACAAGATGGAGCTTGTCGAAAGACTGACTTGTGCTCCTTGCCAGTGACTGGGAGAGTTGAGGTGTCAGTGGGCTTCCTGCCAAGGCTAGTTTCTCATTAACTTTAACCTGATGAACATTGCAGGATGCAGGAGCCTGTCAGCCTTGCTGCACAGGCAGCACACCTCTGAGATAAGAGGAAACAGAAGGTTGCAGGTACTGTTTTTGCTTCGTGTGGCAGGAGAGTATTCCAAAAAGCTATCAAAAAATCAATTGACCTGCCAAAATTCCACCTTATGGGCCGAATGTGCATTGATCTTTTCTACATTTACCAGAGTATTTCTTCTTCTTTCTAGCTCCTTCCACTTACTTTTAGCTATTCTACTTTCACCAAGTAAGAATCATAAGCCTCTCAGAACGGCAGATTATAGAAGAGGTCTTAAAGATGTTGTAATGCGACCCCTTCATATTACGAATATGTGAACCAAGGCCAAGAGAAGAGAGAGCATTGCAAAGAGTACTCGGTAAGTTAGTCAGACTAGAACTAAGGCTTCCTTAGTCGTTGTTCATTTCTCATATTCCCAAATCTTGCTGTTGAGCAGAATCCCATGAATATTAAAACAGCTGTGGCTGGGCACGGTGGCTCACACCTGTAATCCCAGCATTTTGGGAAGCTGAGGTGGGCAGATCGCTTGAGGTCAGGAATTCGAGATCAGCCTGACCAACATGGCAAAACCCTGTTTCTATTAAAAATATAAAAATTAGCGTGGTGGCATGCGCCAGTAGTCCCAACTACTTAGGAGACTGAGGCAGGAGAATCGCTTGAGCTAGGGAGACGGAGGTTGTAGTGAGCCAAGATCGCGCCACTGCACTCCAGACTGGGTGACAGAGTCAGACTCTGCCTCAAGAAAAATACCAAAAATGCACATACGCAGCTGTACAGAACACCCCAAACCTATCGAATTAGAGATTCCAGGGGTGGAGACTAGGAATGTATATTTTTTCAGGTCCCTGGGTCATTTTAAGGTCTTCTGATGGGCTGATTGTTGGAAATCACCGACTTCTACTTGGGATTCCGCCCTCAAATGTGTCACAATTAAATTCTAGTGTAGGCATTCTTAGTAAGAACTCTTGATTTTCACATCTGGTTTAAGGCAGAGTGGTTTACTGTTGCCTTCTGAGACAAATCCAAGAAAGTAGAAACTGTCAATACATTGCATAGAAATGGCTTATTTTCATGCATCCCTGATCCTTGACAAATTTTAGTTAAAGCAGGCTCAAAGATTTATTGCATTTGAGGTTCTTAATGCTTATGTGAGCAAAATTATCAGGATTTCTCTGTAAAGCAAGAAGAATGAGATATGTCACACTTGTTAAAGACAGGATTCTGATGATGTGCTTAACTTTAGTCACTGAGATCTTTAATATCTTCTCTGGCCATGAACAAATAGCTGTGGTCACCATAGTAAAAGTAACTAAAACAGCAAATACAATTTACTAAGTCCTGACTCTATGACAGAACTGGACTCAGTGCTTTCTTATATATTATCTCATTTAGTCTTCACGTGCACTATGGGCATGAGTATTACTTTCACTGTTTTTCAGATGAGAAAACTAACTCTCAAATTATAAAATGCACCGTAGAAAGTGTAGTTAGGAATAAACAGAGCCAGGTATTGGACTCCAAAGCTGGTCCCCAGCCTGTTGCTTAGGTCTAATGGGTGACTGTCCACCAACATTCTTTAGAAAGACCATTAATCCCACCTACTCAAAACCTCCATCTCTCACTATTCCCTTATTTCCACTTTGCCATAAACTCTACAAAGGACTAGAAATGTAGTGTTGAATCAAGGGGGGAAAATATTTTTCTGCTAAGTATACAATCAGCGATATAAACTATTTGCTATAGTATATAAACAAGAGGTTTTCTCCATTCTGGTTGTCTTCTCTCATTGTTGGGGAAAAGAATTATCGTGTAGCTCTGTTCATGAACACACACATAACTTTGATAATTTAAGGATATATTAAAAGTAACTGTAATTGGTACAGTAGTAAAGTGGTTTGAATAGGGTTCTTTGTTTAACTTATCATTGTTAGGAAATACAGTATAATCACAGTTTTTGAGTATTTCAGTTTTGTGATTTTTAAAATAATGTGACACAAAATATTAGTTTCTTAATTTATATCCACATTTTGAAATGATAAGTTAAAATATTAGCTTCTTAATGTATGTTCAAATGTTAAAATTATGTGAGTCGCTCAAACTAATATTCTTCAAGAAGTATGTAATATCAAAGTTGGTGATTCAAATGAACAGGAAACTGTGTAATTGGTTTTTTGCTTTTTTTTTTTGCACCATGATAAGGTTTAGCCCTTAGGTTCCCACTGGTGGAAAGGACTATGCATTGAGTGCTGGAGGTTTAGAAACTAAAGCTACTGATCATGACTGAATAACACTGTGGTCCACCATTTCCACATCTATAGGATAAGGGTTTCGAATTTTACTGGATGCTGTCTGAGAATCCTCTTTTCTCTAAACTTCTGTGAGTTCCCACCAATCCTAGACACTCCTTAGCCTTGCCCACTTTGGGAGAGAATAACTTTTTTCTGTGAAGTCAAATCAGCCAGAGAAAAAAGTTTCTCTTATTTTTCCATTTTACCGGTTAAGAAACTGAGGGCCTACTCAAGCTGAGAATGTGGGAAGAGTTTAAAGCAATCTTGGAGAGTGCTGTGCTCTGGGCCTTGAAACAGCTGAGGGAGTGACAGCCACTTCTAGTCCTAAAGGGGAGAGGGGAGGGAACAAAAAGAGTAAGTGACCTGACCCCACTCACGGCCTTCTCTCCAGTCTGTTCATGTTCCACATTGGCCACACCCAACCAGGGATGTTGAGGACCAGAGAGCCCATTAATGCAGTCTTTACGGACAAGCCTTCCGGGGTACTCAGCATGATAGAGAAGGCAAGAGTCAATGTGGAGGAGCAAATGGAAGATAGTCATTACTATCTATTTGCTCAATTGTTTTTGAATTTATTTAGCAGGCACTTAGAATTAGGTAGCAGGAAAAGATTTTATATACCTACAGCTGGAGCATTCAAAAAAATCACACAGCATACTAGCATGATAGAAAGGACTAGAATTGAGACCTCCTAGCTTTGACTGCAAATCTCAGTCTGTACTATAAAAGCTGTCATTTAACTTCTCATCATTAAAAAAAAAATACTTAGATATGAGTGATACACTTTTTCTCTTTAACCATCTTTGAAGGCAGAAGACTTATCATCATTGTTTTGAGAAGCAGCATGCTATCTTTGAAAAATAATGGGATTTGCAATTCCCATCTCATTCCTCAACTTTTATTAGCGTATGTGACCAGCACTCTGAGCCTCATTTCCACCATTATAGGAATGGTAATATCTGTCTTGGCTATTTTGCAAGATTATTTGGAAGGTCAAATGAAATAACCAAAGAGCCTTAAAAAATGTCTAGTGCTATGTGTGCAAAAATATGTGGTTGTAATTCATCAGAATATAGTCATAAGTAAAAGCTATAAACTTCCTTAAAGAACAAAATTACGTAGATTTTACTTTATGTTCTGAATATTTACTGAGTAATTGGAATAATTTAAACTTTAAAGACATGATTATTAATTTTAAATTATCTATTCTTTGAAATTAGAGTTAAGCAAATGAAAAAAATCTAGCATCTGGAAATTTGAGTCTCAGCCAGGATACATATTATCTTTCTCTGAACCACTCATAAAAAAAACAAAACAAAACAAATAAACAAACAAAAACCCTATCATACCTTTGGCTTCAGAAGAGGCTGTATTTTTTTCAGATTGTAATAACCAATTTTGGATATTTAAATACTGTTTATGAAACATTTAGTAGAATTTATTACTTCTGTTAACTACAGCTAGAATAAACATTGGATAAATAAAATTCATGAAATATAGAAAAGTATCTACAGGAAAATGAATCATTAATTTCCCAATTTCAGAGGTGATCACTGTGCATTTTTATAAATATTTACACAGATATTTTTCTTACATAATTGAAATCCATTGTAAAGTTTTTATTTAATATATTGTAAGCATTTTTCTTGTCATGAATTATTCCAACGTAATTTTAATGGCTACATGAGAATACCTTCTTTAACAAATCTTGTATTGTTAAATATGTAGATTTTTGGAAAGTGTTTTTGATTATCAAGAAAAGCTGACATATTTTTCTTAAGTCCCATGGAAGACTTGAGTTTGAAAGAAAATAGCAAATTGTGGGTTCTTAAACAAAGAAATGTGTTCTTTAGTAAATTAGCTTTCAGTTAATATTTCAGTCAGTATAATTCACGAACTGAAATCTGTCTGAAACAGTTTACACATATTTTCAAATCTTTAAGACATATTTTTCACAAGTGCTTTGCCATGAGTTGTAATAATTACATAATAAATAACACTATCTCAGAAAAGGAAATATGTCATCATCTTAAGCTACATTATTAAGAGATTATAATATGAAACTAGAAGGCAATGAAATTTATTTTTAACTAAGATATATCAGCACAAAGATCTCTTCCAGCATCAGTCTTATATATACTAATTTGAAATTCTTAAATAATTGGTCTTCCGAGTTTTTCTATTAAAAAAGCTTCACTTTCTATATTTTATTCCTGCAATTCATTTATTAAAAGTAATAATGTGAAAATGCCACAAAATCACATTTATTTAAAAATATTCTTTATAGTCTCAAGATGCGTCCAGAATCATATAAATCAACAACTGTAACAAATTAAATCTAATTATTGCTGGATTCAGTTCATATAAGAGGGTATCTCTTATTATAAGTGCTTTGTTGAGTTATATTTCCTAAGAGGAAGCATTTTTATTTTAAGATTTTGAGGAAGAAATTGCACATATATTCTTGATTTCAATATTTAGCCCTCTATAGCATTTACGCCTTTAGCCTTTGCTAACATTGTGCTTGATTTAAGTTTCTGATTTTTTTTTGCCTCTTCTTCATGTGTGCCCATCATCACGTAATAGTAGCTTATTGTTTGAAGCTACTTCACTTGATATTTTCTGTCTTTTCTTCCAACTTGTTTGTCCTATTCTTGCCTCTTCCCTTAATTTCTTCTCTTAGATTAGAGGCCAGCAAATTTTTCCTCTAAAGAGCTAGATAGTAAATATTTTAGCCTTTGTGTAGCACAAGGCCTCTGTCAGGACAAAACTTTCTCCTTATATGCAAGAGCAGCCATAGACTATACGTAAATGAATGGCTGTGGTTGAGTTCCAATAAAACTTGATTTGCAAAAATAGACAGCAGACTGGATTACCCTTATAGCCTGCTTAGATATTGGCATAATACATTTCTTTACCATGTGTCTTTTTACTTACAAGTGTCTATGGCTTTGTTTCCAGATATCTATCATAAATATTTTTGAAACTAAGGGAATCAATGCACGAACATATCAAAGATCGGGAATTTTTGTTTTATCCTGAAGATACCCTGTCGTCTATTTTACTTTTGGGAGAATGGAAAAGTTTTTATGTAGGATGGAGAACAAGAAAAGCTTTATTTTTGCTTCAAACTCTGTAGTAAACATTCACTTTTATATCACAGAGAAAATTCTCATTGACAGGTTAGTTCCTCAAATTTCATTCAACCAAACACCTTGATAATAGTAATCATAGCTCACAGTAATTAAGTGCTTACCGCTTTCCAGTCACAGGACTAAGAACTATATGTTTGCCCTTAGAGCAAATCCCAAGGGCATCGTCTGTTGTCTGTTTTATGGATGAAGAGACTGAGAGCTTCAGTAACTTGCCCAAGGGCACAAAGCTGGTGAATTGCAGAAATAAAACCAAGGCTATATATGTTGGACACCTAAACCCATGCTCTTCTATGTTAACTTCTTAGTCACTGCTTATACTTTCTAATTCTACTGTAAAACAAGAAATGAGTGATACAGAAGAGATGGGAGAACTATTATATGTTTGCAGTGTAGACATGAACATTTTCCTCATCTTTCCTTCCTACTTCCTGGATCTTCCTTAATTTTGAATCATAATTATATGTTTAAATTAAGAAGCGTGAACTTCTTAATGTTTCTGAATATAGCAACTGTTTTATTCCAAAGTCACAAAGTCAGATGTATGAAAATGTAACTCTCTTTTTCTACAGCCTCAGTTCCATCAGCCTCCCAGTCTAGTTTTGACTGTTAAATTCAGTCACATGCAGTCATTTATTGTTAATTTCAGGTCAAACTTTTGATTTCCCCCCACTCATATTCCTTTCTGGAGTAAATTTCAAGTGCCAGGGTTCCTTACCCTAGATTCTCTAGGAAACAGAATGTGTGACAGAATTTACCTGCTAATGAGTTTGTAGTCCCAGGGTGGTGGGGGTGGGGGTGGAGTGGATAAAGAGAGGTAAGCCAAGGAAGGAAGGAAGCACAAAAAGTTAAATTACAAAACTGGCTGCAGTTTTGCAAATAAACACAGATTCCTTCCTTCCATTGGTCAATATTTTGTCTACACTTCTGAGATTTTCAAACAACCTCTCCAGGCTACTGTTGGGGAAGCTACCTCCCATGTTCAATAAGCAGTGTTGCACCTGAGTCTAGAAGGGAGGAGTCAGAGACTCTGTGTTATGAGGGTGTTAAACTTGGTAGCCAGAGACCCCTTTTGAGGTGTGTGTGATGGAGGTTGTTCTGCAGTGTGGCGTGAGGTCTTAATAGTGTGTGCAGCTCTCCATTGAGCAAGTGGTCAAGGACCAGGGAACCAGGTAGGGCTGAATAAATCAGTCAGTCTTGGATTTGACTCCCTTTTTTCTTTGGTCTCAGCTGAGATGTGCAATCATCCTCTCATGTCCTACTATGGTTTCTGAAGAGATGGTGCATTGTACTCATCACCATTCCCCCATCGTTTTGTCCTTGAGGACTATTTGAACCTCCTGTTCTCTCAACTGATGCCTTCTCCCTGCTCAGAAGATGGGAAGCTGTTTACTGTTCCCTCATGTTCCTCTAGATCTGCAGAAAGCAATTCACATGCACATCAAAACACTGGCTTAGGGCACAGCTAAAACATTCTGCCTCCTGAATTACATGTAGGGTATGAACCATAATTCCCCTTGACTCTAAAATCCTTAACTTGAATGGGTTCTATAATAGCCCACACACTAACCCTGGGGGATGAGGCAAGGCAGCCATTTATCTTCATGTCATCTAATCATCTTGGTGTTTATCTAACTTCCCTCCTTCTCCTCCAGCTAACAGGCTTGCTTTTCTCTGCTTGCCTGGTGGGTATTGGGATGGCAATGTAGCCCAGCTTCTCTCTACATCTTTTCTTTCTTAAGGTGCATTGCAGAGACTTTTAAATTCAATAGCCAAACATTTCACTATTGTTTTTTCTCCTTTCTCTCATTGATCCATGATAAACTTTCTTCCATTTGGAAAATGCTGGATTCCACTTTCCCAAATGAGGGATTATAAGAAAATACTAAAGTACTAAGGATTGAGGAAGATACTAAATAGTTAAGATATTCATATCAACTCACCACTTGTGTATGCAAATGGAGGAGTGAGACATGTAGGAGTGAGAGTCAAGTTTTGAGGAACCCTGTCAGAGTCCATGTTTCCGTAGGAGCCCATCAGAGCCATGGAGGAATCTACTAGCTTGGCATGACTCTGATGTACTTTGTCTCAAAGTCCGTTAACAGACACCACCATTAACCACACATAATTTCCTCATAGAGGGAGGCATAGTCAGTCCTCAGCTGTGCTTACTGTGCTTTCTCCACCTAGTAAACCAGACCTGTTTGACCTGAAACTTTACATGGTGCTAGATAATGGCTTCTTTTATTTCTTTTCTGTCCTGAGGTAGTACATTCCACTGACTCCTTATGCTGAAATTTACTCCATTACCTCAAAGCTATGACCAGGCATCACTCAACAGGCACTCAGAAATGACACGAACTGATTTCTGGTTTTGGAATCTACCAATATTATTATCAAAAGAAATCATTTTCGGCCGGGCGCGGTGGCTCACGCCTGTAATCCCAGCACTTTGGGAGGCCGAGGCGGGTGGATCACAAGGTCAGGAGATCGAGACCATCCTGGCTAACATGATGAAACCCCGTCTCTACTAAAAAAAATACAAAAAATTAGCCAGGCGTGGTGGCACGCGCCTGTAGTCCCAGCTACTCGGGAGGCTGAGGCAGGAGAATGGTGTGAACCCAGGAGGTGGAGCTTGCAGTGAGCCGAGATCATGCCACTGCACTCCAGCCTGGGCGACAGAGCGAGACTCTGTCTCAAAAAAAAAAAAAAAAAAAGAAATCATTTTCATTTTCTGCACGTCTGAACTTTGCCTGCCTTGGAGAATGGCAGGAAAGCTAATACCATTTTATAAAATGACTCTAAAATGAGTCTATTTACAGTCTTGCAGCTTTTAGAGCTGAGAATTTAAATATAGCCACATAGTCACCCATAAATGTAAATGTGTGTGTATTTGAGCAGAGAATGGGACCTGAGAGTCATTTTTGGACTTGAGGTTCAATTTTCCCCTTGGAATAAATATAGAAGCTTAGGTTGATTGCATTGAAAATTCTATCAATTGATGGACTAGTTTCTTATTCTCCTTTCATTGGATTTTTAATCCACAGAATGTGAATGCCTTTTTTTTCCCCTTTCTTTTCTCTCTGCCTTTTCAGCCTTGTTCCCCACTCCCACCCTTGCAGCTCCTTTCATGAAATGGCAGTGAACCTTGGTGTCAGCATCATTGCTTTCCAATGAGGGGGCTTGCATTCCTGTCTATTTCCAGTCTGCTCCTGCCCATGCTGGAAATACCAAAAGAATGACAGACATGGAAATGCCTCCCATTTATATTCATTTGATATTTGGTTCTAGTATTGAATGTGAATGGATCTTGGATTTTATTTCGAAGTGAGTATCGAACCCAAATGTCAGTGATTTGTAGAGGGCTTATTTTAACTAAGCATTGCCTTTCTGTTCCTTTCAATATCAAATCAAAACACTGGCATATATGAGTACATGAAGTGTACAAAACACTGTGCTTGGCTTTCAGAGGGACAAAGCTGGACAATATGGGTCTCAGCTCTCTAAGACCTTGTTAACTATTTGAAGGGACAAAACATGAGGAACTGTCTTCATAAATTTATAAATAATTGGGAAAGATTGCAGTGACTGAAGAAATTTCGGCCCTCAGTTTTCTCCTCTGGAAAATTGACATGAAAATGTTTTCTATTTCTTAGAGTTGTGCCAATGAAATGAATTAAAGATGTGAGAACATTTGATCAGAGGCTAAAATATAGTAGGTGCTCAATATATTAAATGTGTATTTTGTTTAATTCAAGAGACCTCACCAGGGAATATCTGCTTAAGGGTCCAATTGTAATGATAGCGAGGGCTGCAGGAGTTCCGGAGGGAAGGGCTCTGTGAAGCCATACTTCTGCAAGTTGCATGGAGGGAGTAGAAATTTAGTTGGGCCATTAAGAATGGTTTGCAAAAAAAGGGAGGGGAAACTTGCCAATGGGCATTCTCAGTGGTAGAACAACACCCCTTTATGTTCCATCTGCTCTTTAATCTTGCTACTCAATGTTGTGTGAAATCAAAACTTTTAAAAAATGAAAAAAAAGTAAAAAGGTCTAAGAGATGGAATCTTTTTCAGAGCTATTCAGCTTAGTAAGGAAACTGTTCAGCCTATATTCCCTATGAAAGGTAGCTGAATTCCATTTTAATACTTTTTTACCTGATTTTAGGACTTTCCAGAGTTGTGCCAATTTTGTTGTCAAAAATGCAAGATGATGGATCCCAGATGTTTCAATTTGTACTATATACTGCTTAGAAATCTGTTGATTTTTCTAGTTGAATCCTTGAACCTGCAGATGGATGAACTTGAAAGAGTGCTTCAGACCTGGGTGATATTGACAGTTGCCTCGGGCTTTTGCATACAAGGTTTAGAAATCTTGCAAATATTGGTCTCTAAGACTAAACACATCAAACTGTTTGAAAGTTACAGATACACTATTTTAGGAAGAAATGTCATTACTTTCTCTGGCTTACTTATTGCTTTTGGTCTTAAGTATATGTTAAGTATGAAAATTTAGTGATATATATTCTTCAGAAAAAGGAAACATCTTAATTATATCTGAAGAATTGTAGACTAGTGTGTCTTGCAAATTTTGTTTGAAGTTTTTAGGAAATAGCAAAAAGTTTTTTGACGGAGATGCTTAAGTATGACAACACAGCATTTTTGTTCTTCTTTGACTTAACTTTGTATGAAAACTGTTCCTCTAGTATCTGCACTTGGCACTTCCCTAATCTCTTAGATTCTAATTTATTTTTCTCTTCCGGTGTCTGTATTATTTGTAGTGGCTTTTTGGGATTATCAGAGGGCTCTAGAATTTAATTGGAGTTTTCTTTTTAGTAAATGTATCTCTTTTCCAATATATTGGTGAAGTACATCACTTTGATATATCTTTTTTTAAAATTACTAATTGTTGCTTTGTAGGGACATAAAATAAACCACTTAAAAGGTACTGTAGTGCCTACAACTTCCAAGACGTATTGACGAAGCTGAGTTACTCCATAACTTTTTTTTTTATTGAGATGGAGTCTCGCTCTGTCACCCAGGCTGGAGCGCAGTAGCACAATCTTGGCTTACTGCAAGCTCTGCCTCCTGGGTTCACGTCATTCTCCCACCTCAGCCTCCCGAGTAGCTGGGACTACAGATGCCAGACACCACGCCTGGCTAATTTTGTTTTTGTATTTTTGGTAGAGACAGGGTTTCACCGTGTTAGCCAGGGTGGTCTTGATCTCCTGACCTCGTGATCCGCCCGCCTCGGCCTCCCACAGTGCTGGGATTGCAGGCGTGAGCCACCGTGCCCAGCCCTCCATAACCATTTTTGAGCAGAGCTTTGTCATATTAGTCGTTCTGACTGAACAGAGACCTGCATCTAATATGTCTGCCAATTTAGGAAACAAAACCTACATAAAGTTTTAGGGAAGAAGTTTTAGACAACTTTGGACTTTCTTTGCACTTACAGATACCCACACATTACTCAAACACTTTCCACTGAAAAAGCAACTCAGTCACATCTAGAAATAGCAGTGCTTCCTTGCCATGTGTCCATGTAGCTAACTTATTAACAGTTCTCAAACCTGCGGGGCGAAGACAGCCACACCCCACAGGGATCTGGCAATTTTAAAGCTTTTCTCTAATAGGCTTGCTCTCCTTGATTCTCCATTCTGACCTTTTTTCACTTTCTTCCTACTTCCTTCTGATTTCTCCTTCCCTAATTCTGAGGCCTGACCCATTCTCCAATTTAGCATCTCCACAGACACTTGGCTCTACTGGAACACACTTCTGGCCTCAACACCCCAATCACCTTTGCTTCCCAGTTCTCTCTCAGCTTGCCTGTCAGTTTCATTTCAGAGGTGCCCTCTCTGACTTCTCTTCCCCGACTGACAATCCGCATATGTTCCCCTGTCATTCTTCCTTCAGTACCCACTATTCTCATAGTGCCCTGGAATTTTCTTCTCAGCACATATTGCAGTTTCTAATTATGTGTTTATTTGTGTGATTACTTGCTTAATGTTATTATCCTACATTATATGTCAAGCTCCATGAGGGCATAACTGTGTTTGTCTTCTCCCCAGTGTATCTCCTAGTACCTCCAACATGGCCTTGTATAACACATGGTAGATGCTTGTTGCTTTGTTGCAAGTATGGTAATATAGTTTGGATGTGTGTCCCCTCCAAATCTCATGTTGAAATGTGATCTCCGATGTGGGAAGTGGGGCCTAGGAGGCGTCTGGATCATAAGGGTGAATCCCTCATGAATGCCTTGGTGCCACCTCCCTGGCAATGAGTTCACATGATATCTGGTTGTTAAAAAAGTCTGGGATTTTTTTCTGTCTCTCTGTTGCTCCCTCTCTTGTCGTGTGATACGCCTGCTCCCTCTTTGCCTTCTGCCATGGCTAAAAGTTACCTGAAGCCTCACCATAAGCCGAGGAAATAAATGCTTTAGAAATAAAGCCATATAAAACCAAGCAGATGCTGGTGCCATGCTTGTACAGCCTGTAGAATCATGAGCCAAGTAAACCTCTTTTCTTTATAAATCACCCAGTCTCAGATATTCCTTTATAGTAATGCAAAAAGGACTAACACAGAAGCATAGATAGTTCACCTTGGTTGATTTCAGGGAGGCAATAAGGTGGAGCATTCATTAGTGCGTGACTTGCTTATCAGCACCATGTCTTAGTTTTGTGGCCTTGAGCAAGTGGCTTAAACTTTCTGTGCCTCAGAGAAATGGAAAAACATACATGACAGGAAGACTTTGTGGAATAAATGGGATAACTCACTTCAACCATTTAACAGAGTGCCTAGCACATAGTAAAATATCAAATGATCACTTAGATAAAATCATCATTTTTTTCCTATTTAGTTAGAATAAATGGATACTCTAGGTATTATACTACTATAGTGCAATATTATTCAATTCACAATATGGTTTATTTGTGATCATATTGTGCAAACTAGAATGTTCGTTAACTCACTAAGTGCTTGTAGAATTTGATTTCCTTCCTGTGTTACATTGTGTCACCACTATTTTACCAACATAGTGAGACTCCTATCTCTACAAAAAAAAAAAAAAATGGGCAACATAGAGAGACCCAGTTTCTGCATAACATAAGTTACTTGGGTGTAGTGGTGCTCACCTGTAGTCCCAGCTACTCAGGAGGCTGAGGCAGGAGGACTGCTTGAGCCCAGCAGGTCAAGGTTACAGTGAGCTATGATCATGCCAGTGCACTCCAGCCGAAGTAATGCCATGTCCCAGAAAAGGCTCACAACACAATTGTTTTATGTTTTAATATTAAATAAGGCCAATAAATACACCTTGTGTGTGCTACCAAGAAACAAAAACGTATTCAATTGTATTTGTTCATCCTAATAATCCTCGTAGAGAGCTTCACTCTCCCCATTCAACAGATAAGAAAACCAGTCCTGGACTGATTAAGTGAACTGCCAATTCAATTTAACAGAGATTTATTGAACACCTGTTCTATGCCAGGTGCTCTGAGAGATAGAAGAGTAAGGCTCAGGCTGAACTCTCAAGAAGTTGGAATCAGCAAGAATAAACACACATGCGCCATGAGCAGTCACTCAGCTGCTGACAAGGAGCCCTTCCCAGGCACTCTCTGCATGTGATGGGATGATGAGTGTGCTTATGGAGGGAGTGAGGCTGAGGGCTTCAGCCCCTGTAACTACGAATCAAAAGGCTGACAGGAGAAACATCTGATCTCAAGGCCTAAAGAACCTCCCAAGCATAACAACAATGTATAAAATGCTAAGGCTCTCCCACTTTCTCACTGTCAAAACATTAAAACTAATTGCCCCCAGGCTCCTTGATTATCTGCAACCCAACTGCTTCTTTGACCACTTGAAAAATGAACAGGCTCCTCCAAGGAGGTTTGTTTATAGGAAACGAAGGAATTATTGCTGAGTAGTTGCTGGCCTATTTACAGTACTCAGGCCTCCTCTTGGGCCCCGATGCTCTCTGATCCCAGGTTAGTGGCTAAGCAGCGGTCTTGTCGCATTTCCTCACTTATATAACCACACATTTTGTAAACATTTTTTCTCCCTTGGGATAGAAAGACAACATTTTTTATTGTTTGACCTTCTGCAGATCACTGAAACTTGCTGAACTTAATTTCCTCAATTGTTTACTAAAAATCAACAATATTAATGCCTATCTCAAAGGGTTTTTGACAATGAATCAAAAATTGAGTATCTCCTTTAATGGTATTGATATTCTGGTTGGAAGGGGACAAACTATAAATAAGGAAATGACTATATAAGATGCCAGGTGATGAGAAGTGCTATGGAGAAAAATAGAGCAGATGCTGGAGAGAATGAGGTGGGGTGCTATTTCAGATCAAGTAAACAGAAGGTCACCACAGGACAGTGACATCAGCAAGTGAGTTCTGGAAGAAAATGCTTGAGATGGACTAAATAGCATAATGGTGTGTGCAAAGGCTCTGAGGTTCCGAGTGGGATTGGCTTGTTGGAAGGACAAGAAGGAGGCTAGTGTGGTTGGAACTCAATGAGTAAGGGGGAGTTGGTGGGTTAGTCATGGGGGGTGGCATTCACACCATAGAGAGCCTTATAGGCTTTGGCAAGAATTATAGATTTTATTCTAAGCTCAGTGGAGAGCCATGGAAGTCTCTGGGTGTGCCCGTGGTGTGACGTGATCTGATTGACTCCAAGGATCTCAGCTAAAGATGGATAAAAATATTGGCTAGTAAACTCCTGAGGGTTGGATTGCAAGGGGCTTTGCGGCCAGGCCCTGAAGAAGCAGTAACACCAGCAAGCGCTGAAGGGAGGCCCAGGCTTTGACCCTTTAAAATGAACTGTTCCTGCAAGACACCATTAATAAGACCCTGAGAGGTAATCTACAAGAAAAGAAAATCCCTGAAATATTGTGAAATTGCTGAAGGAAAACTAAGTTGCAGATCAAAAGTAAGATGAATTCCTCTCTTGTAACCAAGAATTTTTACCATTTTTAGTGTTGGGAGCCAGAAAAGGAATGATATTAATTATGGAAAATAAGGAGTAGAATTATTATTAGTAGTAATTGTCCACCTGAGTTGTAATGGGTAAATTTTGACCCTGAGAAAAATCATAAAGCCTTTGGCAGTGTGTCTAGGCATAGAAAGTTACCTTAACATGAATGTTACCACTTTAGTTCCTATACCAGGGGTGAAAGAATGGGATGACAAAAAGATGACACCACTTGTCACCACTTGTCCAGGGAGCAAGTGCTTTTGTGATAGTCATAACTTCCAGAATTAGGTCTCATCAGTGTCCTGTTCTTCTAACTCACAATCAAAGGGTGCCGGGAAGCCTATCTGAAGTCCTTGCTTCTCTGTAGCAGCAATGCAGTGCCAGGTAAAACAAATTAGTAGGACAGGTCAGGAAACATCTATCATATTAGGAAAGTCATTTGTTACCATGGACAGAGACCATCACCCCACTATCCTCTTGCCCTGGCTAAGTTCCAGGCTGTAATCACATGCCGTCTCCCCATAAATCCCCATGCAGCTTTTGCAAGAGAAGAAATTGCTGCTTTTCTCTAGTTCTCCGCACATGACTTCTTTGCTGTCCTTGGAATTAGTACTTGAAAGAAGGTGGGCATTTATAAAATGTTGCCAGACACCATTCACTACGTACATTTTTAGGTCATCTCCAAGCCAGGGAATAACCTTCTTCTTTCTGTGTAAATGAGTAGCCTGACTTAGGATCTGATTTCTGTCGACATGATTTTTTTTTCTCACATTAAAAGTTGTGTCTTTGCGGTTTGGACATTGGAAATATACATCTGTAATTTTCCAAGGAGGTACCAAAACATATTAACTAATTTAAGGTGCTCATATCTACATTTTTAAACTTGATACTTAAGAACAAATCTCAGAGCATTGCGTTGGCGCCATGCTAAGTGGGTCCTAGAAGAACTAATAGCATTTTAATTTCAATCACTGAGGACTTGGTTAACGCAAGCTTATGACACTCACTAAGGGATAAAGTGGATCCATCTACATTAGTCCTACTTGGATATAAATTTCTTTTTCCAAAATGTCTTCTGCTTACCTATGAGCCCCTTGATTTTCATCAATAGATCTAAACAGCTACATTTTTTAATTAGATTAAGATCAGGGGTAATTTAAGACCTGGGTTATACTAAATATAATGTGTTATCTTGGATTGAATCTTGGAACACAAGGACATTAGTTAGACATATTGGGAAAATCCAAATAAATCACATTGTTACGGTAACATTTTAGTTAAAAGGTATTGTGCAAATGTTAATTTCTGTTTCCTTAAATGTAACATGCTTATGTAAGATGTTAGCATTAGAAGAAAGTGTGTAATAGGCATACAGTAGCACACTGTATTACTTTTAAAATTCTTCTGTAAATTTTAAATTATTTTAAAATCAAAATAAAGAGTTTAAAAATGGGGATGATACTGAGGGGAATGGTTTGGGATCTTCTTGTGCCTTTCAAATCCAACTCTAGTGGCAATGTCCCAGGGCACATACAGTTCAATGAGAAGCAACTGTGGGAGAATAATGACAATGGGAATTTCTAGAAGTTATGAAACCCCGGCCATTAGCAGTCAGTAACCCTAGGGAGTAGGTGCAATTTGATCTGTACTGTACTGGTGAGGAAACTAAGGTTAGAGGAGGGAAATAACTCATTCAAGATCAGCAGGCCGGTCGTGGTGGCTCACACCTGTAATCCCAGCACTTTGGGAGGCCAAGGCAGGTGGATCACCTGAGGTCAGGAGTTTGAGACCAACCTGGCCAACGTGGTGAAATCCTGTCTCTACTAAAAATACAAAAAACTAGCTGGGCATGGTGGCAGATGCCTGTAATCCAAGCTACTCCGGAGGCTGAGGCAGGAGAATCGCTTGAACCCGGAGGCAGAGGTTGCAGTGAGCTGAGATTGAGCCATTGCACTCCAGCCTAGTCGAAAAGAGCAAAACTCCATCTCAAAAACAAAAACAAAAACAAACAAACAAAAAACCCAAAAAATCAGTAGCTGGTGATGATGAAGTCAGAATTTTAGCCTCTGCTCCTTCATGTTACAGCACCTGCTCTCAACGAGGAAGTCGGGAAGCATTTGTGTTCATCATGACCATGCCATTTCTTAACTGTGATCTTGGCAAATTTCTAAACTTCTCTGGTTTTTCATTTCCTCATTTATAAAATTAGGAGATTGAGTTTGATGACTCTTAAGACTTCTTTCAGCTCTGAATTCTTGTGATCTGATGACCTACATATAAAATATCTCTTAATTGAAATGTTACCATTAAACTTTCTATCAAGTGAAATCCTTTTAAGACTTAATGGGAAATAACCTTTGGATGTGAAGGGAGCTTATGTGACATTGGAGTCCTCATCCACATTTCTTTTTTTCTGTGAATAATCCTGCCAGCTCCTGATTTCTGGCTAAACATTTAGTGATCCCTGGGAGGTGTAAGCACTTGTAAGAGAATTTTATCATAATAATTTATTATAAATTTTAAATGGGAATCTTTAGCATGTATTCGTGTAATTTGTTTTTTTTTTAACTTGATACATATTATTGGCAGCACAGGAATAAGGAGACATGACAGTAATAAGCTATCCTGAAAGTATTTACACATCAGAGTTTGGTTTGTAAGAGTAAAATCACTATGATCTTGCCAAATTTTATATACATTAATCAGAAAAATATATTCTAATCATGGATTAACATAAATTTTTGTCCTGTTTACTTGAGTTGTAATATTATTTTAGTAGCCCATTAACTATTTTAAAAAATCTCTGACATAGGCAAGTCAATATTAAGTAAAATAAAATAATAATAAAGGTAGAGATTTCTGAATCTTGGAAGAAATTTAGCTAATGTGAATAGATTTTTTTAAATGTAAATATTGCTTGATTATGACCTACTTTATGATATGAAATAAAAATAAATGGACAAAAAATACCACATGTGGACTTGCCAAAAAGATCATTTCCTGGTATGCAGTGTAAAATTATTTTTAAATGGTTTTTACTAACCTCCTTTGCAGGATTTTGATGATAGCAACAGTGCTTCAATGCATTAATGCACACACAAATATACAAACCCACAAATTAATGTCTTTTTGTTCTTAACAAAAATACATGAAAGAAGTAAATAAACAGCTATTCAACTGAAAGGAATAAAATTGAAAAGGAAAATAATGATCATTTTTCTAAATGCTGTTACATCCAGGGGAAAAAAAGAGAGAATAAACACAGTTAAGTACATAGCATTTGCATTTGTTTCAATACATAAGTTATCATTTTTACATCACTATTTTTATTTATAGAGACATTTTTTATTTCCCCCATTCCAGTGCCCTTTTAAATAATTTTGATGCAGAAAAACCTTAGGGAGATCTTAAAATTCCCCAAACAATGTTAAATATCTAAATATGTTTTCTTTTCTTTAGAATAATGAAGTAATAACTTCTTGTTATACTTACCTTGACCTTTCATGCTTATCCTTTTGATAGTAAATTAAAAAAAAAACACTGTATCTATAGTTTTTTTGATGATGGTCCAATCATATGGAAAATTAAGTTTTTTATATTGCACCTGCAATTACTAATTATGTGACTTATAAAGTCAGGAAACCTGTGTGAGTCCCAGTTTTCATACACATACAATGAGCATAATTATTCCTGTTGAATTTACATCAGTGGCTTCATAGATTTAAAAACTCATTGTAAAGTATACAGATCTATATTCTGGGCAGTTAGGGAGTTCAGTCTTTTACTATTTATTAAGTGTTTACTATGTGCTGGCTGCCGCATTCATGGTATAGCAGTGAACAGGCAGAAAATGAATCTGAGGGGTGGAACTCTAACTATGGAAGACAACCAAGGAAAAATAAAATAAGGTACTTGCAGATGAAGATAAGAACTATAAAATAAATTGAAGTCGGTAGAGGGGAGAGGCTTACTTTAGATAACAGGTTGCAGGAAGCCTCCCTGAGAATGTGCCTGTTAAGAGCCAGTGGTAAAGGAATCTAAGGAAATGGCTTTCCAGTGGAGGAACCAGCCAAGTGTGTATAAAAAGAAACAAACAGTAGGTCATGTGGCTGGAGCATGGTGAACTGTGGGGAACAGGGCCATGAGAGAGAGTAAGAGAGATTGGAAGGGGCCAGATCAAGCAGGGCCACCTGTGCTGCGCTGTTTCAGATTCCTAGATGAGCTTTGTGATGATCTGTGTTAAGGATTGCAGTTATTTCATCCAGGTTCCCAAGAGCAAAGTACAGAGATGAGACAGTTGGTGCTCCTGGTTTGTTCAAGAATTATTTTCTATTAATGCTTTCTTTCACAACAGCCACAATATAGGGTTATGGTACATAAAGTGAGGGCAATGAGAATGGGAGGAGCAAGATCTCCACAGTGTTCTGAAGGACCCACCAAGGGGACTTCATAGTTGTCTATGTGAGTGATAGGAAAAAGATGTCAAATAAGACTTCATGGTTTCTTATCTGAAGTTCCAGAAAAAACATTGATAATGGTTGAGGCTATAAGAACAGAATAGCTCTAAGGGAGAGAGAACGTAAGTTATACATTCTTACAGAGATGATAAGTTATAACTGAAAATGGAATCTTAGATAATGTCCACTGTCAGTGGTTTGGGAATAGGATTTTAAAAAAAAGATCAAAATGTAAGCAAGAACAGTAAACTTACTAGGAGAGATAAATGAGTCTAGGGAAAGAGTAAGATTTAGTTATGAGGAGATATATTACATGAAGCAATAGTATAAAGTCAACTGAAGAGAGATTCTTGAATTCCAGTAACACCAACTTAATTGGTAACATAGAATTGATTTAATAGGTGAATAGAGAAAAGAGACTGTAAAAATAACCAAGAATATTTATGGTATTTAGGATGAATTGCTAAGTATTAATTAGTCATATAATTTTGAATTTTCCTAATACATAAGTACTTGTTCAAGGGTTAACTATGCCTGTCAGTTACTTTTGAATGTAGAAAAAAAGTAGTAAAATAAATAGTAAAATATGAATTGATGAAATAGTGGAAAAAATTTACAAATTTGCCTGGCTCTTATTTTGTGAGCGCACTCTACTTAGAAAAAAAAAATATTCGTGTACCTTAACATTTACCAAATCACCAACTACACCATATTTTACCTCTTAGTCTCATCTCTGTTCTACACTCAGAGCCAATTTTTATCAATCCCATTCTTTACTTAGCCTCTTGCAAAGAATATTATGCAAAGTATAATAATTAACCTAGGAAAATGTTTTCTAAGATATTGTTACTCAGTGGAAAATAAAATACAATAAGGAGTTTCCAGTTTTAATTTATCTTTTGAAAAATAGGGAGTCAGTAACTACTTGTGCATAAAAGAAAAATGGAAATATACTCCAAATAAATTCACTTGGAAGTCATGGGCTTTTAGAAAGACATGCTGTTATTTTGACTTCTGATGAAGGTCAATTAATATAATTGTGATGGTCCTAATCAATAATAACAAAAGTAAATGTGATTATATTTTAAGAATACAAAATTACGGTACCCTAAATTAAGGAGTAAAGATTTATGATCACCTCAGGTGGACACATTCTTACCTAAATAAGCATACATGCGGCTATTTTTCTGTGGATCTTTTTTTTTTTATTTTTGGAGTAAGTGAAAGAAGTTACTTGGCTGGTATAGAATAAGTAGAATTATTGCTCCATGCCAGATTAATGGCATTCAGAAAGTTGCTTGCGATTTTCAAAGTTTCTCTTGGTTTTAAGTTAGTGTAGTGCAGTATGGAACTCAGCTAATATACTTTGTGTGTGTGTGTGTGTTTGTGTGTGTGTGTGTTTGTGTGCGTGTGGTGATCATGGCCACAGTACTTGCTAGGAGCATGACTGAATCTACTGAATAGTAGTGCGTTCTCCTATTTTATCAACCCCAGCCAGACAAAACTGTCTAGTTTTTATATTTTAATATGCCAGAGTCAATTCTAAGGGCAAGGTGCCTCAAGTTATTGGCTTATAGGCTTCGTTCAAATAGCAACGTACTATAGATATGAAGAATGGGAAAAAATAGGTTAGGAATATCTCTAAGGAAAACCTTATGCCATTTTTTGATATGCTAGGAGATTAAAAATGTTGAAAAGACAAAAAAAGTATTTCTTTCTCTCCCATAGGAAGCTCTGTTCCATTTTTGAAATCCTAATTTCTATCTAGTTTCAGTATCTTAGGTGTTTGTGATTTTTTTTTAAAGAAAATGGTGTGTGCTGCTTTGTTTACTTTCAGAAGGTGGTGAAGAGCTCATATGTTTATCATTCAATGTAAAATAATAATTATTCTGACTGACTTCACAGAACTTTAGAAGTCTGAGTGCTTTTTAAAATCCTCTGTTGCAGGCTCTAAAAGACTCTAACAATATGTTTTATAATTACAGCTGAAAAATTGTTGGTAAATTGCGATTTTGTTTTTTGTAGTTTAAATATCTCTGAAAAATATTCTTTCTCTTCCAATGTCTACTCCATTTTTTCTTTATCTGCCTTCAGTTTTGGAAAATTACAAAGTGACAAATTGTCAGGGATGAGGATTTTTAAAAGACATAGGGACCCCTAGTTTTTCTCTAAACAAGAATACATACTTCAAACAGATAATTTGAATGCCAGCTCTAAAACAAACAAAAACAAATTAAGGTAATTTTTTATTTTTTATTTATTTTTTTGAAGCAGAGTCTTGCTCTGTTGCCCAGGCTGGAGTGAGGTGACGTGATCTCGGCTCACTGCAACCTCCGCCTCCTGGGTTCCAGCGATTCTTCTGCCTCAGCATCCTGAGTAGCTGGGACTACAGGTACACGCCACCATGCCCAGCTAATTTTTGTATTTTTAGTAGAGACGGGGTTTTACCATGTTGGCCAGGATGATCTCGATCTCTTGACCTCGTGATCCACTCACCTCGGCCACCCAATGTGCTGGGATTACAGGTGTGAGCCACCGTGCCTGGCCCAATTTTGTATTTTTAAAAAATTTTTCTGGTGAGCCTTGTGTGCTGGGATCAAGGTAAATCTTTTCTAAATGGTAGAGATATTAATATTTAAAATGGAAAATACCTTGATGGTCTGAAAAGTGGCTTTTGGGTTTATCTTATTGAGCTAGAGAAATTGCAAATGTAAGCCTTGGAAAACATGGGCACAGCAACTCAAGTTGTTACTTGATTATACAGTTCTCCTGAGGGTCCTGTGCATCTCGGGAGCTGTTTGTTTGTTTGTTTAATGAGCTATATTAAGGGATAATTTATATACAATGTACTGCATCTATTTAAAGTGTACAATTCTATTAGTTTTGACAAACATATCCCCACATGAAATTACCATTGAGATACAGAAAATTTTCATCACCCCCCAAAAGAGTCCTTAAGTCTTTTTGCAGTCCATTCCCTCCTTTCTAAACAGTCTCCCAGTCCTACAAAACCAGGGATCTAATTTTTGTTGCTGTAGACTTGTTAGGTAGGGTAGTCTTAAAAATACCCAATATTTGTTTAATGGGCGGCATTGACCAATTTGACAAGATACAGAGAAAATGAATTTTTTTAAATCACTTGGCAGCATTAAGGATGAGGACTTAATCCATGGGATTTCATCCAATGTATATTGAAAATATAAGAAGTCAAGATGGATTTAATACAGTTAACCTACTGAACATAATAGTTAAGCCTAATCTATATCTTAAGTGTGATCAGAGCACTGATGTTAGCCTACAGTTTGGCAGAATGATCTAACAGAAAGCCTATTTTATAATAAAATGTTGAATATCTCATGTAATTTATTGAATAACATACTGTGAAAAACTGTGATTGTGTGGGTATTCAAAGTACTGTTTCTACTGAATGCATGTGGCTTTCTCACCACCCCAAAGTGAAAAAAAAAATCATAAGTTGAATCATTATAAGTTGGGCACTGTCTGTCTACCCTTTGTGTAACTGAATCGTAACTAAAGAGAATGCTGTTTTGATAATGCTTCGAGTGCGTCAGCGTGGAGAGAGATTTCTAAGAAAACAGCTTGACCTGTTCTGTTATAATGTCAGTTAATCATGCATGCCAAATGCTTGAAGTTCTTTGTGCTTTCAGAGCAGGACTATACGAATATAAGAATGCTCACAACAAATCTCTTTTACAAATTAGAGTTATGAGTCTTTATACATATGCATCTCAGGTTAATTTTATTTTATTTGTTCTACATATTACACATGCTTTCAATATAATTTTATCTTATAGACAAATGATAAATCTTACCCATTGGGCCTTAGTTTTCCCCTTCTATAGAACGATGGCATTCTGATGGAAGCAGAGATTGCTCACTGCAACCTCTGCCTTCTGGGTTCAAGCAATTCTCCTGCCTCAGCCTCCCAAGTAGCTGGGATTGCAGGCATGGGCTACCATGCCTGGCTAATTTTTGTATTTTTAGTAGAGACAAGGTTGGCCAGGCTGGTCTCAAACTCCTGATCTCAGGTGATCCACCTGCCTCAGCCTCAGAAAGTGCTGGGATTACAGGTGTGAGCCACCGCGCCCAGCCTGAATGTATTAATGATTGCCAATATATGTTGTTTGAGATTTTAGCAGTGCCTACAACTTTACACTAATAGTTTCCTAATAGGTCCAACGCATAGTCACTGTTTTCACTAACAAATACTCTAATCAAGATCAAAGGTAGGTTTTAGGCTAATAAATGACAATCTCAGAATCAAAATAGGAAAAATGACTGTTGACATGTGACTGACAATATTGTTTTCTGCTTTCATCATTGCTTCCTTATGGTGCTATTTTTAACATACACATCTAAGCATGTGTTTTATAGACATTTGGGGAAGTAAGTAAATGTTTACTATTAACATTTTCTATGTACTTTTGCACTATATACATATAGTTTTTTTCTTAACAAAAATGATTTTCTATCTGTGCTGCTTGGTTTTTAAAAAATCTTATATCCTGATATCATATTTAAAAACAATGAGTGCAGCTACATGCAATTTTTCATGGCTATATAAAATCCCATTATACGGGTGTACAATAAATTTATTCATTTACGTATTGCAAGATATTTTGTTTCCTTTTGTATTATTAAAAAATGTTTCAATAATTCTTGTTGTATATACATAGTTGTATACTTACTGAGTTTGGTATTTTAAAATATCACTTTAAGAAAATCTTAGGGTCAAATGATGTGCATATGATAAAGCTTTCAATGCATATTCACAAATTGCCCTCCATATAGATTGTGTAATATATTCCCTTCTCCTCACCCCAATGAATATGTTATAATTTTCCAACTTTTTTTTTTTTTTTTTTTGAGACCGATTCTCACTCTATTGCCCAGGCTGGAGTGCACTGGCGTGATCTCGGCTCACTGGAACCTCTCCGCCTCTGGGGTTCAAGTGATTCTTCTGCCTCAGCCTCCCCAGTAGTTGGAATTACAAGTACCTGCCACCATGCCCAGCTAATTTTTGTATTTTTAGTAAAGATGGGGTTTCATCATGTTGCCCAGGTTGGTCTCGAATTCCTCACCTCAAGTGATCTACCTGCCTGGGCCTCCCAAAATGTTGGGATTACAGGCGTGAGCCACAGCACCTGGACCCAACTTTTATTTATGATACTGCAGTTGGTGAAACATGCAAACCTATAAAAAAATACAAGAGGATATATTCTTCAGAGATGTGGTGATGGAAATATTTATAGTATTTTACTTGGAACTGAAGTCAGAAGTTGTAGTTTTTGAGGCAACTTCCTTGCCACATGATCTTTAAAGGGAAACTTAAAGATAATGTGCTTCAGTTTTCACCTCTATGAATATATTCTGAGCACAAAAGTATTTTCTATTAATTGTTAAAACTATTAAAAAACTGCAATAGCATTTCCTTAGTCTGATCACAAACATATACAAAAATTGCTAAGAAATTACAGCAAACCATAATACTTAATGGTGAACTATTAAAAGCTTTTACTCTAAGATAGGGAATGAGATAAAGATGCCACCTATCTCATTTAAACGTTGTGCTGTTGATCATAGCCAGTACAATAAAGCAATAAATTAAAATAAAAAACATAAGAACTCAAAAAAATAAACAAATTTATCAGTATTCACAGCATGATTGTGTAGATAAAAACATTTTAAACTCTGTAGACAAATTCCTATAGTAAGTAATTTTAATAAAAAATCAATATATGCTCCAGCTACAAATATTAAGAAAATGAAAATTTAAAATATCATTTATAATAATGGAGGGGCCAGGGGAAAGCTTACCCTCTACCCTCCAAAGATTCACTGAAAATGAACTGACAAAAGTCAGATTAATAGGAGGAAAAGGCATTCAACATTTATTTTAACATGTTTATGTACATGAGGGCCATACACAAATTATGAGACTTGAAGAGGGGCTGGATGATTGAGACTTAAATACTCTCTTCATAGGGAAGAGATGTATGGATTTGGGAGGCACACATTATTTTGTAAATGATTCTCTTTGGAAGCTGGGTGGGACAAGTTAAGGGGAAGGCAAAGGGTAGAACTGCACAAGAGCAAAGGTAATCTCTTAGAGCTGCTCTCAGAATAAATTAAAAATTTGTCTGGATGTGATGATGACTCTGTCTCTTCTCTGCTGTTTGTTCTTTCCTGGTTAATTGATGAGATTCCTAGGGAGATGGTCTTAAGACAAATGCATTTCTTTTGAAAATAAGCTTTCTTAGTGAGATAAAGAAATTCCAGAGTTTCTCTCAGTGCTTTGGGAAGGAGGATCAGAGAGTCAGGGAAGTGAGGAAAGGACAGAGAGAAACCTTGGTTCTGAAGCTTATTTCTGAGGCCTTTCATTTTAAAAGCGCTCAGCATGCCAAAGCACCATATTTTGGAGAATTGTTTTCTGCACCCCAAAAATAGCATCAGAAAACATCTAATAATTAGCAATACAACTAAGGAAAGAGATATATAATCTCAGTGCTGAAAAATGCAAAATATTACTGAGAGTGATTAAGGAAGACCTAAATAAGTGGAAGGCTATACCATGTTCATGGACTAAAAAACTTGCTATCATTAACATACTAATTTTCAAACTGACCCATAGATTTTTCAAATAAAAACAAATCTGAATTTATGTAAAGAGAGACTTTATTCAAAGGGATTATTAAACTAAGGAGAAGGGGACAATTACAATAGAATGAAGGGTACTATTACAATAGGGAGAACTCCCCATTCCTAACATTTGCAACCATCTTAAAGGTCAGGCTTTTCTTTTTATAGCGATGTACAGTAAACAAGGCTAGAAAGGACTAGGTATGGGGCAGTAGGGCTGGCAGTTAAAGTGAGCAAGGTGATGTGATTAGATAATTGTTCAGGAATTTTTTTCCTTTTATAAGTCAGATGATTCTTGGAGGGGCCCTTCATTTGGCATGCAATGCTTGTTTAACCATTACAGCAAGTCAATGGTTAGGAGGCTGGAGGAAGGAAAGAAGCCAGACTCAAGTTTAGTTAAATCCAGTTAGCAGATATTTCATCCAGATTAATCACTAAGTACTAAGAGTTTAGCTAATCATTTATGAGGCAAAGAATGGGAATTTGGAGGATCTGTGACTGAGCATGTCATATGTAAACAAGGAAGGCATCTGGGAGTCTTCTCTAAATCATATGCGAGAGGCTTGTTCTTTGCACTAAGCAATTTCCTGGAACTCAAGGGATGGAGGAGATTTCTTGACCTTTGCTATTTTCTAGGAGCACAGGGCTTTAGGTAAAGTTAACATTGTCAGATTCAATGCAGTCCTAACTAAAATCCCAACAGATACGTTTGTGGAAATTGACACACTGATTCTAAAATTTATATGGAAATGCAGAGCCAGGAATAGTCAAGGCAGTCATGAAGAAAAAAACAAATCTGGAAGACTTAACATTGTAAGATATCAAGACCTTTTATAAAGCTATAGCAATTAAGATTAGAGTATTGGCTAGCTTAGGAGCAGAACAGAAAATAAGCTGGGCTGGGCATGGTGACTCATGTCTGTAATCCCAACACTTGGGAGGCCAAGGTGGGTGGATCACTTGAGTCCAGGAGTATGAGAAAAGCCTTGGTGATGTGGTGAAACCCCATCTCTACAAAAAATCCAAAAATTATCCAGGCATGATGGCACAGGCCTGTAGTCCCAGCTACTCGGGAGGCTGAGGTGGGAAGATCACTTGAGCCCAGTATGGGGAGGTGGCGGTTGCAGTGAGCTGAGATCGTGCAGCTGCACTCCAGCCTGGGTGATAGAGTGAGGCTCTGTGTCAAAAAAAATAAAAAGAACAAGCTAGGGAATCCTGAAACTCATCCATTCATATATGGTCACCTGGTTAATGACTGGTAGAATTATTAAGTTATGGTCTCAATTCTTCATCCCTTTTTGTGTCAGTGCCCATTTACATTGTGACTTTGCAGTTTCTCCCACTAAAGGGTCAGAGTCTCTTTCTTTTGATTCTGAGTTTGGCCATGTGATTTGCCTAGCCAGTGAGGTGTTAGCAAATGTAACATATGCAGAGGATGCAAGAACACTTGTACATTTTCACTTTTACCTTTTTCTCTCTCGGCCATCACTGTGAGGATACACCTTCCTCTTCCTCCTGCTCTTGAGTTTTATCACATTTTTAATGAAATCTGTAACCATATGTGGCCTTTAAAGTAATTATTATAGGCCAGGCATGGTGGCTCATGCCTGTAATCCTAGCACATTGGGAGGCCGAGGTGGGTGGATCACTTGAGGCCAGGAGTTCAAGACCAGCCTGGCCAACACAGTGAAATCCCATCTCTACTAAAATTACAAAAATTGGCTGGGTGTGGTGCTGGAGAAAGATATGTGGAGCAGAGTCATGTTACCCCAGCTGTCCCAGCTAAGACCATTGTCCTAGAGGTGGAAAAATGGAGTGTCTGAAAAGACTTAGGTAGATTTCAAAGGAGCCAAACATTTGAAGAATTAAAGAGGCAAATAGTTTCAAGAAAAGCAAAAAGTTGAAAATAGGATGAGATTGAAATCACAGTACCCCACTTGGCCTAGTAATGAACAATATTTACCTAGTCATAATAATACAATAATAACTATTATTACTAATATTATCTTTTTTGAGACAGAGTCTTGCTTTGTCACCCAGGCTGGATTGCAGTGGTACGATCTCAGTTTACTGCAGCCTTCACCTCCAGGGTTAAAGTGATACTCGTGCCTCAGCCTCCCAAGTAGCTAGGATTACAGGCATGCACCACTATACCTGCCTAATTTTTGTATTTTTAGTAGAGACGAGGTTTCACTGTATTGGCCAGGGTGGTCTCAAACTCCTGGCCTCAAGTGATCTGCCCACCTTGGCTCCCAAACTGCTGAGATTACAGGCGTGAGCCACAGCACCTCATCCATAATAATTGTCTTAAAGGCCACATATGGCTACAAATTTAATTAAAAATGTGATGGAACTCTATCAAGAGGAAGGGGAGAGAAAGTAAGTGGGGGTGGCAGAGTGGCTGGTAATACAAGAGTTCAATCCTCATCTTCTATAGTAGCAAGTCAGTGGATGATAGCTAACTATGAAAAATCAAGAGCAGTAATATAATCATGTTAATTGGAAACACAACAGCAAATACAGATGTACCTCAGCTTTCAGTAGGGTTACATTTTGACAAACACATCATCAGCTGAAAATATTGTAAGTTGAAATGTATTTAATATTCCTAACCTACCAAACATCATAGTTTAGCCTAGCCTACTGTAAACATCCTCAGAACACTTACAGTAGTCTACAGATGGGCCAAAATCATCTAACGTAAAGCCTGTTTTATAATAAAGTGTTGAATATCTCAAATAATTCATTGAATACTATACTGAAAGTGAAAAACATGATAGTATGGGTACTGGAAGTACGGTTTCTGCTGAATGCCTAACGCTTTCACACCATTAGAAAGTCAAAAAATCCTGTTGAACCATCATAAGATGGTGACCATCTGTCCTAGAAGCCACAACTAAAAGAACTGAAAATGTTATCCTGTGAAGTGGGGATATGAGGAAGGCTGACAAGCAGCCAGTTTTTTTTTTTTTTCATTGTAAGCCTTTTTATTAGCTTTTGGATTGTTAAATATATGCAAATAGTACTTGGATAAAATATTTTAAAAAATAATTTAAATAAGATGCTACCCCAATCTGTGCCCTCTCAAACTCCTGATATTGCAATATGCCCTCATATGTTTATTGATTGCTTCTTCCTTGTCCTGTCTTATATTTATGAGACTTCTTAAAACACCTAAAGTAAGGAGTGTATTTCTTAATGAGGCACAATTGATTCAATACAATTGATTTAATACAAACATAAAGAATATCAGTGGTTCCAAAGGTCACCCTACCACCACCTCCTTATTCCCTCCTGCTCTGCTAGTTTGATGGAGCAAGAGTTCATTCATTTTGCCTCTCAGCAGAAGACAAGGACCATGCCAAGATAAGGGCACAGGTGAAATAGTGAGGACCACCAGCCCAAGAGGAGCCAGTTATATCAAATATAACTAAATAACCCAGTGCTGCCTGCTGTTGCCCTGAAGCTGAGATTGGGTCTTGTATATTATTTATCTGGAGCAGCAAATTATAAAAACAATAATCTCACAAAGTAGACTGGGTTTAAGGTGACTATTCCAATATGCAATATTCCTGTGCCCCATTATGAGCCTTCAAAACACCATTCAAGGAACAATGATTCCTTATGGATGCTCACTTTTTACATTTCTTTCCTTTTAAGTCAGTCTCTGAGTTATTTGAATTCTAAAAATAATTGAAATGTTTGTGTTTTGGTTCTAAATGTTCCTTCAGTGGTGATGGTCAGGCAGTAAAATGACTGGCTTTGTTATACTGCATGCGTTTCTCCTTCCTTTAATTTTCTTTTTTTTTTTTTTTTTTTTGAGACAGAGTCTTGCTCTGTTGCCCAGGCTGGAGTGCAGTGGCACAATCTCGGCTCACTGTAAGCTCCGCCTCCCGGGTTCACACCATTCTCCTGTCTCAGCCTCCCGAGTAGCTGGGACTACAGGCGCCCGCCACCATGCCCGGCAAATTTTTTGTATTTTTAGCAGAGACGGGGTTTCACCACGTTAGCCAGGATGGTCTCGATCTCCTGACCTTGTGATCCGCCCGCCTTGGCCTCCCAAAGTGCTGGGATTACAGATGTGAGCCACCGCGCCTGGCCTCTTTTAATTTTTTTAATCCTCTGTATCCCCCTCCTTTTTTCAACTATGAATTGATTAACATCTTTTTCCCTTGATAAGAAATGAAAGACTACAGTTAGTTGTCTGATATGTACAAATTAACTTGAAGTTAAGGATAATCTGGCATCTGACTTTCCCCAAGGAAACCTTGCCAGAAACAGCGTGATTTATTTTTAACACTTTTCACAAAAACCCTCCCCTGTGGGACCTCAACAAATGTCACTTCTGTTGTGAGACTTTTAAAAACAGTGGGCTGTGATTTTTACAAACTTATAAATATGGCCATATATATGTGTGTGTGTATATATATATATATATAGAGAGAGAGAGAGAGAGAGAGAGAGAGAGAGAGAGGGCCATGTCTCCCATATGCTTTCTTTACTGTGTTCATAATTGCTCTGTTTCAGAACTCTTCAGGACTTGGGGTACTTTTGATCTGCACCAAAGATCTGTGATCGGAATAACGAAATATGGTAGAAGCATCCTGTATTAAATTATTCTAATTGGCCACTTTAATGTTTACTAGTGTCATTAGAAGACTTTCCTGGCAAAAAAAAAAATACCTATTTCCAACTTTGTGAGATTTCCTCTAATTTATTAATTTACAAAAACCTGTTGAACCCCTCTTATACCAGGACCTGAACTAAGGAGTGGATTATAATCAAGAGAAACATTCTGGTGCAAAGTGAAGGTAACATATTAATATAAACATGGGGTGACTTCTATATTGAGTTCTAACATATTGAGGTTGTGACTGGTGGGTAGTTGGGGGTGAAGATGGACTGGTTGTAATCTATGTTGATATCTGCTATGATACTGTTGTTGCCATATGGTCTGTTGTCCTTTGAAGATACCGCCAAATCATCCTTCATCCCTACCGTTCAAGTACAGCTTTCTCTCATATCTTCTAAAACCACTTTAGGACACATGAGATCATTCTCCTCCTCAAATATTAGCTAAAGAAAGCATCTATGGCACTCCTAAGACTTTATCTGGTTTTATGCTACTTTTGGGCAAATAGGTGATTGTATTGCTCCTGAGGCATTCTCTGCTTAGCTGCTTAATGCTCTCTCTGCTTACATACACGACTATATGCAACTATGAGTTTTTCCTGGAGTTATGCTGCTTTCTTGGGCTCTAGCCTGGAATTGATATTCTCTGCTGTCCTGTGTCTCCAAGCTAATCTGAACTTGTCACATCTGAACTTGTTTTAAGGCTCCCTTTTCTTCAAGACCCTGAAATCTCTGTTCACTCCTTGCCTCCCCTTTACTTTTCCTCCCAATAAGGAATTTTTATCCAATTTGCTATGTGAAGTATGGGAGTCAGCCAGATAGCTCTGCCTTTTACTCATCCAAAGTTTTCCCAAGTCAATGGCCTTTACTCATGAGTAATATTTGTTCTCTCCTAGGAGAATGTACTAAGTTTTGGAAACTCAAAAGTCAAGAATGTACCTCTTTTTTTCTTTTCATGTTTTTTTTCTACCCTCTAGAAGCAATGAACATAGAAGGGCATCGTCAGTACTTTAATGAGGGAAAGGGGCAATGGGTAAAAGGGTGAGTATTTCAAAATATTTAATCTTACTAGATTAGTTCTACAACAAAACCCAGTATAAACAGGATAATAGAGATAATCATAAACCAAGTTAAATGACCACAGCAGAGAGGAAAAAGATCCTTCATTCTAGGGTGACTGAAGATGGCTTCATGGAGGGCATGGAGTTCTGCTTGGATAATGGGGAATGAATATGATTTCAATAGGATAATGGGAAATGGATATGATTTTAATAGCAGGTTTTTTGATGGAGGAGGGACCAAAAAGGCTTTCTCAGTAAAGAGAATTGCTGAACAAAGGCAAGCCATTTGAGAGGATCTAGGATGTGCAGGAAAACAGTTTTCTTTTGGCTAGAATGTTAAAAGCATTCTGAATAGACATATAGTCTCTAGCCCTCTAGAGGCTTCTGGATTTGAATCTTGAGTCTGACCTTACTAGCTGTGTGACCTTGGGTGAATTCCTTAACCTTTCTCTGCCACAGTTTCCTCATATGTAAACACGAATACTGATAGTACCTGTGGCATGATGTATGAGGATTAGGTGTGTTATAAATGGTAAGGTGCTTACAACAGTGTCTGGGGCTTAGAAAACACTGTTAGCTGCTGTTATAACTTTGTTAGGGAGAAGAGGGGAAAGCTAAGCTAAGGGAGAAAGGGTGGGAAAGACCTTGAATGAGATGAGGATGGAACTGGCCAGAGATGATGTAATGAAAATTCATCTTGGCAAAACTGCTTAATTTAAATCAGTGATTTTCCAACAAAATTCTGTGTAAGACTGACAAAGAAGCTCATTAGAAATGGAATTCCCAGGCTGCTCTCTCCTCCTAGTGATTGTGATCCAGGAGGTACAAGGTATGGTGAGAAATATGTGTTCTTAACAGTGAGGATTCTAAAAGCTAAGATTAGGGTGAGGCAGTGAGGTGCCTAGGGTGCAGAATTCAAGGAGGCTGTCATGTTCGGGGTCATGCTAGTGCAGGGGGGCCTAAGAGTAAGTGTTTCCTTACATTTTATGCCCCAGATGCCTTATTAGCCTTGCCCTGGTCTGAGCTTTGAGATTCTGATGCTGGTGGAGGAAGAAACTCATTCATTCTTTTACTCATTAGACATATTTCCTGAGCACCAGCTGTGTGCCTGGCGTTATTCCAGGTGCTTGGCATACATCATTAAAAACAACTGACAATGATCCTGCCCTTGTGGAGCTCATATTTTAGAGGGACAGTCAAAAAATAATAAACCTAATAACAAAGTAAATTATACATTAGTTAAAAGGTGATAAATACTGTGAGAAAAATAAAAGTAGAGCAGGATAAAGGTAGTGGCTAATACTCGAGATGCTTTGTTTTAAAGGAGGTCTCAGGCTAGTTCTAAGAGAATAATCTCCAGGACCTACTCAAATATAGCAGTAGTGGTGACCTGGAGTTTCCTGTGTTGCAAAAGGCTTCTGAGAGCCTTTCCTTCCTCAGCAGGAAGCATGTTACATGGGCCATTGGTAGTGTCTACTGTTGGGGTTCAAAGACAAATATCTACAAAATATGGCACTTTGACATGCTGAAGAAGCCTCAGTGTCTCTCTGACCACCCCAACCGCCCCCCCCGACACACATACACACAATCCCTCTCTACATGCACAAGATGAAGTTGAAGTTCCTTTATCTGCCCAAGATCCAGACCCACCAAAGAAAACAGTTCTATTTTCGCCTCCTTCTAAGACCGAGAGCGTAACCACATCTGAACAGACCCTTTTACAAATTAATATACAAATTAATCTCTGATCCATTCATTCTCCCTAGTAATTCCCTCAACAGAATTCCTCTTCTCCCCAACCCTATAACCTGTTTTGCTAGGATGGTGTATAAGCTTCTGCACCCTGTTGTAGAGTGGGTAATCACTCTGTGGTTTTCCCAGTGTACACATTACATAAATTTGTGTGCCTTTTCTCCAGTTAATCTGACTTTTAGGAGTTGATTTTTCAGTGAATCTTCAGAGGGCCAGGGGAAGCTTTCGCTTGACTCTCCACCACCATGGGTTCAGCCAGGAAGAAGAGGGTTATAATTTCCTTCTCTTTGCCTCCTTTAACATCCAACAAACCTAACATGTTACCTCTTCTGGCACCTGCCATTAATGCAGCTATGAAGAGTACGTGCTAGTGACACAGATGTTCTGTTTTTTTGGAGGCTGAAAACCTCTGGGGGTTGAAAATGATTCTGTGAGGAAAATCTAAAGGCAAATTGATGGTAAAATGTCACTGAAATGAAAAAGCCAACTGTAATGCTAAAAAAAATTAGTGAAAACAGATAAATTCTATGATCTCCTTAGTATTTGTCCTGCACAAATGTCATGGAATTTTAGAACTGGAAGGGGACCTTAGTGATCATGTAACAAAGCAGATATGAAATGAGAGTTAGGAAATTATGAGTATAAAGATCATTTAATTAAGATAATCTCTTTTGTAAAAAGCGATAAAGGGAGAGAGCCTCTATTACTAAAAACAGGGGACCTCGGCCAAAGGCTTGTCCATCAGAACACATGGCAATTAGATATTTAAAGACAGAAAGTGGAGGAGGCTAAGGGCATGAAAGGACAAGAATAAATCCGGAAAATAAATGAGGCCAAAAAAAGACGTAAAGCATTGAACTTTCAAAGTCTGTTAGATTGTATTTTGTGCTGTTGCTGATGTACAAACAGAAGAACATATCATTGAGAACAGGGCGTATTAAAGCGCCTTGTGACAGGAATTTTTTTTGAACACTATATTAAGTAAATGAGTGACAATTAAAGACTGCTGATTCTGAGGTTGGGAGCACTGGAGAAAAGCATTAGAGGACACCATGTTCTCATTTATTTGGTGGCTATTCATTGGGTAGCAAATAGGTTTCCCTTGAAAGATGTTGACAAATTAGAGCCAGATCTGCAATCTGGATAAACCTATCTCTGGTTGGCTTCCTATTTAATGTTTCTGAAAGACCTACATATGGGCATTTCATTGCATTCTGTTACCTAGAGTGGAATTGGGTGTGTACAGCATTGCATGGGCTGACTAGTTCAGTTAGCCTATCTAAATGGTCACATGGATCTGGGAAGTTTTTTCTTATAATGTAAATCTGCTCCATTAGTAGTAGCAAACTATAAGTCCATACTCAGGCTCAGCCAGAAAGAATGCCATTATCAAGAAAATCATCTAAAGTGTGCTTGGGACCTAGCTGGTGCTTACTAAATATTTGCTAAATAATTCAAAAA
Organism: Homo sapiens; assembly: GCF_000001405.40. NCBI lineage: Eukaryota > Metazoa > Chordata > Mammalia > Primates > Hominidae > Homo > Homo sapiens. Next base: position 156,190,319 of record NC_000005.10, read on the forward strand.
CTAGTGACCCATCTACCATGTATTTCAGATAGATTCCCCACCACCAAAAAAGGATCTGCCCGGAAGAAAGTCTATCAAACTGCTAATAGTTGTTAACTTGTTTGGAAGGAAATATAATAATAAGGGGCTTGCATGAAGAACAAAGAGGGGTTTTTAAGTTTTGCCCTATGTAATTTATTGACATCTACTTAGGGTAAATGAAAACTTCTCCAAATCAATAATATCTGCTATTATTCCTGCTGTGTACCTGGCATAATTCCAGGTGCTTGGCATACATTAGTGAATAAAATGGACAAAAATATCTACTCTTGTGGAGATTATATTTTAACAGAGGAGACAAAAAATAATAATCGTAATTACTAAGTAAGTTGTATATTATATTAGAGGTAACATGTACCTTTTAATAGGAATAAAGCCAGAGCAGGAAAAAGGTGGTAGTTTCCACTTCAAAGTACCCTATTTTAAAGAAGGACCCATGCCAGCTCTAAGAATTTTCTTCTGCACCATCTAAAATTCATCGGGAGTAGTTACCTGCTATTAACTTCTTTAGAATTTAAAGTCTTATAAAATTAGCTTCTGAGAAAATTTTCTAGAAATAATACCACTTTAAATATATATGATTTGTATATTTTCCATGTAAATAGCATGTACAAAATAAAAGTTCATTGATATTCATAATCTATGAATTAGGCAAACATGTCAAAAGGGGAATTTATTTCAATGTAATGGATTGGAGCTAATATCAGGCCATTATACTGAAATTTATTCCAGTGTAATAGATGGGAACGAAGTGGTGTAAAACTCTTGGTTTTACAGAGTACATGATATCCAGGATGATAACTCAGCATTACCCGGTTCCTAGTATAATAATTAGAGTTACACCTTACAGAGATGAGAAAAGGAGATAATCATACAACTTAATTGAAGATTCCAAAGTTGGAATCTTGAAGACATCAAAGTATAATTCCAGTTCCTCGAATCAAGATGCTAGATTTTTATTAGTTAACTTACAGGTGATTGATCACCAAAGGATGGATTTATTGATATCAGACTCAAAAAAGGTAGACGCATTAAAAGGAGTGTCAATCTGTTCATTCATTATGTGACATCTCTGCAGTTTCTAGGATGACTCTAAGTTATGTTCAGAATGTTAGGTATGTTGTTGGATTGAGCATAAGCCTCCAGGTTTGTAGGATGTTAATTGCATACACCCAATAATTTGTTTTGCATGTCTAGTTCTTTCTTTGTTGCTAGGGTTTCCTTCCCCCTACTACTTATTTCCTTAAGAGAGTACAAGGGAAACAAAACTTTGAGATGTGGGTCGTGTCTCTTTTGTTTCTGAGCTTAGTGGCTATACAGGTGCACTGCTAAAGGCAAGAAGTCACAGATAAAGCTCAAAGAGAGAGACATTCAAGCTGTCAATCTGGATCACAGCTCAGTGGGATGCAACCAATGGGTCTTGGGGCTCAGTGGGAACCAGCCAATCATTTTCACAGTTCAGCTGCAGGAGTGCTTGGCAGGTAATCAGCAGCCACTAGAGAGGTTTGGGATTCCCTAGTTAGGTTTCATCTGTCTCTCTTCTTCAGAAAACTGTTGAAAAGCAAAAACAAAAACAAAAACAAAACCTTATGCTTTAATGCATTCCAAAATGAATCATGATGATTGAGGAAGTTGTCAGGTTATATAAATTATCGAATGAGAAGAAACTTTGGAATGATCCAAGGAGAAAAAGACAATAGTCATCTCCATTTTTCCTCTTTTCCCAGAGATTACTGGTCTGTAAGAAAGGGAAAATTAGGAGACATCGTGACGGTCTATATTTGGGGCTGTTTCTTCCAAAAGGAGTCATCTTATAATCTTATGATAGTGATGCATTTAGATACTTAGTAGATGTCCTGGAAGTGATTTATCAGTGACATTTTAGCGTGCTTAATTAATCAGAAAATTCCAATAATGGACACACACAAAATAGTATTCCAGTATATATATACAAAACATTTTCTTTGTTCAGTAGAACTGGTAATTATTATGTTAAGTGAAATATGCCAGGTACAGAAAGACAAATATCATGTGTTCTCACTCATATGTGAGAGCTAAAAAAGTTGATCTCATGGTGATAGAGAGTAGAATGATAGATACCAAAGGCTGGGAAGTGTATGGGGGTACAGGAGGGGAATGAAGAGAGGTAAGTTAATGGATGCAAACACAGATTGAAGGAATAAGTTCTAACGTTTGACAGTAGAGTAGGGTGACTAGTTAACAGCGTATTATGTATTTCAAAATAGCTAGAAGAGAGAACTTTATTTGTTCTACAATACAAAGAAATGATAAATTCTCAGGGTGATGGTGATGGTTGCCCTAGGTACCCTGACTTGATTATTACACATTCTATGCATGTAACAAAATATCACATGTACCCCATAAATATGTACAAATATTATGTGTCAATAAAAAAAATCTAAAGAAAAAATAATAGGCACACACCTACAAAGGCATTCTGCTGGTTCTGTTAACACAGGAGTGGATGAACTTCTGTAAGAAGCCAGGTGTATATATTTTAGACTTTGTGGCCATGTGGTCTGTGTAGCAACTACTCTGTCATTGTAAAAGCAACAGTAGACCATATGTAAACTAATGAGTCTGGCTGTGTTCCAATAAAATGTGATTCATGGACACCGAAATTTTAATTTCATCTAACTTCTACATGTCACGAAATATTATTTTAATTGTTTTTAACCACTTAAAATTGTGAAGATCATTTTTAGCTGTCAGGCAGTAGTTTGCTGATCACTGTCTAACACAAGCTAATCAACACAATCAACTGGTTTTCTTCATGTAGTCAAAGGCTAATTCTTCAAACATGGTTCTGAAGAAGAGCAGCTGGACTCCTGTGCTTCCAGATTCTTTATCTAAGACTTTCTCAAGTCACTGTTGTTCCGACCCTGCTTACTCTCCTCTTGATTTCCAGCCATACAGGAACGCGTGCTTTTTCCCTGCTTGCCCTGTGGTGTAGCCAAGTCTATATTTGAACAATTAAACTAGACTTCATTCTTTTGTGCAAGTTTCTTTCTTATTTTGAGATAATGGATAATGTAGCTCACAAGCTAGTTTATGTATCTTCAGTTTAGTAACCTCCAAAAGATGCTTGCATTTCTCCTGGCCTCTGTGTGGCAGAAAGCACATTCCTTCTGCACAGCTGATATGTCCTAACATGTCTACCCTCCTTACGGGCCAGACTCATTAGAGGACAGCTAGGTGAGAGAGCATGGTGTGCCCTGGATGAACAGTGTGAGGCCTAGCTTCCACGTCTTGTTACAGGATTCTCCTTTGACCGAAAGGCCAATACCAGAATGTCTGCTCCTGTCAGTGGAGATCTAGCCACCCACTCAGAGAGATGGAACTTCAGTCTTTGATTTGAACAACTAAAAAATTTCTTCCTCTGTACCTATTCTGATTCATCAAGAATGCTTTTCTGGAGCCTTATGCATGTGCGTAGATTTTCAAGTTCGCAAACAGGTTCCATGGAAATGAGTTCAGAGGTTGATTCTGATGGCTGCATGAATGGCAACACTCATGTTGTTGACATCCAAGTCCTGGCCTGCAGCCTCAAGAAACCACTTCTATCAAAAAGTTAAAAGACCAGAGATACTTTCAATTGCAGGTGATGTCATACATAATAAAGACAGACCTTCCTCTGAGCATTTTAAAATTTAAATTTTTAAATAAACTCTGTCATTAGAAGTAAATTATTTGGGCATTTAATACTGTGTAAAAAGGTTGGGTGCTGTGGCTCATGCCTGTAATCCCAGCACTTTGGGATGATGAGGTGGGAAGATCACTTGAGCCCATAAGTTCAGGGCCAGCCTGGGCAACATGGCAAAACCCCATCTCTACCACAAAAAATACAAAAATTAGCTGGGCATGGTGGTATACACTTGTAGCCCCAGGTAAGTGAGAGGCTGAGGTGGGAGGATCTCTTGGGCCTGGGAGGTAGAGGTTGCACTGAGCAGAGATTGCTCCATTGCTCATCAGCCTGAGCGACAGAGCAAGACCCTGTCTCCAAAAAAGAAAAAGAAAAAAGAAAGGAAAAAATACTGTGTAAAAAGGTATATTTAATATGTGAAACTCTGCTACTTTTATTATTGTTGAGAAATTACCAGGCATGTTATAATTTAAATGATATACATTAGGTGGAGAGAAAAACAGTCAATTGTGTTATATTCTATTTTAGGAATTTAAGGTATTTTGCATAGATAAGCTACAGATTAAGTAACAGAATAACAAAACCAATAATTAGAATTTGAATTGATTAATATAATACCTTAAGGTAATTAATATTATAATATAATTGACAAGTAATATAATACCTTAAATTGATGGATAATATGATATAGTACTGTAATATAATAATATAAAACCCTGAAGAATTGAAGTTCCTGTAGAGTTCTGGTTCTGCTTTTACTGTTTGTATGATCTTGGGGAAAATAGTTGAACCTTTTATGGCTCAGTTTCCTAATAGCAAAAATAGGAATTATAACATAAGAACTATAGGATTATGGTGAACAATAAAGCCAGGTATGTATATAATACATATTGAACACATAGTATAATAAGGCTCAGTCAATAATAGCTGTGGCATTGGTGATGATGATGATGATTATGGTGATGAATATAGTCATCAAGTTATGGGGAACACAGAAATAAATCACAGAAACAGACTAAGAAAATATCCATTATTGTCAAATCTTTATGTTCTTTAGGATGTATTTATTTCTCTAACAATGATTTTACTCTGTTTCCATTGTAAATGGTGTTGTCAAAATTATTAACTAGTTGATTAATATCTGGTTTGATCCAGTAACCTCATTTAAACCCTGTGCTAGCCTATTTCACAAAACCATTACTGTGTTCAAAGAGAGAAGACTATTTATTAGTCTTACAGTGTGCTTCCATATGCTTCGCATTAATCATTGTTTAGCTGGGTAAACGTGGGTTTGCATTTTATTCTTGATGCCATTAGAGAAATTAGTGTAAATGAGAAATTTTTATTCTAAAAATTCCTTCAAATATACCACAGGTTTTCACATCTAAATGTTAGATGATATCATTTAACATTCTCTTACTCAGAAGTCAACTTTTTTGTATAATGTTAGAAAATTGTGATGAGTTATTTTTTGTGAATGGAGAATTGGAAAATGCAGGAAAGTGCCAGGAGAATTAAATCATTCAAATCATCCCTCACTATCCAGTAATATCCACTATTAACATGTTAATGTACATGCTTTTTGATTTTTTTCTATGCGTATGGATACATACAGGGTTTTTGTTAGGCTGTTGTCACTCCAAACCTAAACCTGCTCTTCCGTACCTTGCTTTATGATGCTGTGGCTGGGATTGGGCAAACCATCTCCTAGTCTGTTTGTGGTTCCCTGATAGGTCCTGCCTACTGGGCAAGCAAGAGCAAAACTGAAAGATGGCAGGCTAGCAAAGGGAATTACTATTTTGTCTTTGCTTATTAGCCTATCAACTGTAGCTCATCAAGGGCCCTACCACCAGAGGCAGCAGTTGATTCCCGTATCTATTGGTGTCACTTTCCATCTTATTCCCATACTCCCAGAATGAAACTCATGCCACCCGCTCCTGAGAGCTGCAGGTTTCAGCTTGGCAGGACCTCACCCAACCTCTGAAGGCACCAGCATCATCCAAGGAGGGCCCCTTTTCTAAAGTCTAGATCCCAGATCCCTTGGGGCTTCCTTGGAGATTCTTAGTTCTGATAATTCCAACTTCATCCCTTTATTTTCCCAGACCTAGGAGCTGTAGCCACTATATTGGGTCACTACCTCTGTGATGTCTCAATGTTCCCCTTGGCCTGTGCAGTTATATAGCTCTTGATCCACTTCTCTATATTAAATTCCATCTGTTAAAATAATTGAAGGACCCTGGCTAGTATGCCCATATAAAGGGAGGATTCTTGACTTTGTTATTCAATTTTCATCTTGTACTTGAACATTACCCATAAGACCCCAAACTACCTTTAACATACCAAATGCAGCCTTACATATCAGCTGGAGAATAGACATTTCAGACCATAGTATTATCATGCTGTTTGCCAGCCAACTGATTAACCTAGTCAGTATCACAATCTTTGCACATCAGAATTTGTGCAGGTGTTTAATGTTAAAGATATTTGGTCTGCCTTTTATAAAAATGAAGGAAAAAAAAGACAAAAGTTTTGCTACTAATGATTGACCATATTGGTCATGACTTTAATATAATTTGGAAAGGAAGTTTGGAGATCAATAAAGTTGGAGATGTGTCTTTGTCTTTCAACACTAGTGGATATTTGGCCTTAAGCCACCCAGCACTTGTGTTATATAATGAGAGAAAAGAGCAAACATAAATAATGTATACTAAATTCTAGAAATATATTATTAAAGATTGTGTCTTAAAATATTATATATAATTAGGAATCCAACACATATTTTAGTTCTTTGGAAATAAAACCTGCCTTAGCACACTAAACTATGGCCAGAATTGTTTCTTGTACTTAACGCATCCATACACTTTACATTTATCAAAGAAGGAGCTTTCCACAATTTTAAAAATTAAAATGACATATGGACTATGCAGTTCTCCATAATCTGCCTTTGCACTTAGTTTATTAATATTATGAACATCTTTATACTGTTAATCACTCTCCCAGTAAATGCTTCTTAATGGCCATTGCTTATTTAAACAATCTCCTATTGTCAGATATTTATGTTGTTTTTAATTGTCCAATATAAAAATAAAGCATTTGAAACTTTACTGTAAATAAATCTTCGCATATATTCTTAATGATTCCCTTAGAAAATTTGCCATAAAAGTGCCATGGAGGGGTCAAAGAGTATAGAACCCTTTTTTTAGCCTTTTGATGTACACTGCTATATTGCCCTGCATGAATAATGTTCCGTTGACACTGCCACTTGCAGTGAATGAGGACATGCATTTCCCAGCCCTCACGGATTAGTTTGAAACACATATAAATAATTTAAAATATTTCTCACCTAATTCATAGGACTCTCTTGGTTAATTTTTTAAAAAGCATATGTTGAATTACTCCTCCTTCCCACATATTAAATCTCCATTAACTCTTTAGAATTGAATAGTTTTCCTTTTTTTTTTTTTTTGGCTAAACAGCTTGGCCTTTATAGCTCACAGTATTAGGGTTGAAAGAGAGCCAGAGAAGTAAAAGTGATTAATAACAAAGGGAGAGTAGAAAATAATTAACAGCCAAGCAAGAGGATGAAGCACCATATTGTTCAATTAATAAGCCAAGAGTCATCAGAAATTGTGGCTTATATTTGTTCTCTTGCTTACAAATCTTAATTACATGTGATTTTTTTGCCTATTTACTTGGGCATGCTGATTTTTATCTCTCCCAAATTCTTTCTCTTTGATTCATTATTTTGTCCTATTTATTACCTTTTCCTATTGTCAATTAAAAATATGTTTTAATTGACAAATAATGGTATATATTTATGGGGTACAATGTGATGTTTTGATATTTATGTACATATGGAATGATTAAACTATGCTTATTAACATACGTATCCCCTCACCTACTTACGTAATTAGCATAGAGGAGGGAGGAAGCCGGGGTTATCCTGTTTTCTAACCCCAAATATGTTGGCTCTCACTTCTTAGCCTCCTAACATTTCTAAGTTCCTCTCTGCTCCTCTTCATCTTATTCCCTTTGTAAATATAGTGCGAACTTTAAAATTCAGTTAGATATTTCTAATGTTGAGCCATCTATCTGTTCTTTTCTGCCTCTGAACTGTGTTTATTCTTTCTATCTTTCTTAGGACACTATGTATGTCTAGAAGAAACAAAGGAGACATTAAAAAAAGATCTTTTCCAGTAAGGGCAGGTGCAGACCTAGATAAGAAGTCTAGGAGTTCTTGGAGCAAGTCCAAGTAAAAACTTGGCCTTGCAAATATGCTGTATCGATGATTGTTATGTTCACATAGGAAATAAAAATAATGTGTTTTCCTTTCATTTAGTAATAATAATTTACCGAGCACTTGGATTGAGAGACACCATGCTAGGTACTCTGCCTTTATTAATTCACTTAATTATCCCAATAGTCTTATGAAATAGGCACTGTTATAGTCCCTGCTGTGTAGAGAAGGAATCTGAGGCATAGAGTGGTTGGTAACTTAGTGAGCGAGTAGTTGGACTGGGATTTGTATTTAGCCTGACTTCAACATCCTCACTCTTTGCCCTTTACTCTAGCACTCTTAAAAATGGCTCTGTGTGGACCATGGTCCTCCATGTGAAAGAATAGTTTTTCCCTTAGTTGGTTATTAAATTGAATGCTACAGAATTTCTTACTTGGATTGATATGGACAGTGCCAGGAAATCTCTCACAACATCCTTCTTTATTTGAAGTGTGGCAGAGTTGTCTCCTGTGCTTCAAATTTCAGGGACTTGAGACACATTTAGTATAATAGATGTGTTTAGAGTCAGGACTTTCCAGCCAATGGTGGTTTTTATTTTATTATTATTATTATTTGATTTTAGAAATGGAATCTTGCTATGTTGCCTTGGTTGGATTCAAACTCATGGGCTAAAGTGATCCACTCACCTTAGCCTCCCAAGTAGCTGGGATATAGGTGCATGCCAACACACCCAGCTCAATGGTATTTGAATAATTATCTATTCGACATGAAGAAATAAGGTCATATATGCAAAACTCTAGCCCTAAACACATGTAGATACACACACCTACACACATACCTTCGCACCTCAGTGAAGAAAACATCATGAATCTGAACCTTCTGCCTGTAGAGTCTGTACATGGTCTTTAAAGATTTCTCAACACTTAGCTTTAGAGCCATTTCAGTGAATCAAGAGTTCAAATAAAGCTATCTTGCTTTTCCTCAGCTAGTCTAATCACTTCTACATAACAGCAGCAAGTTGATGCCCAAAGAGGTCATTGACTTATTTGCTTTGGCTATTGGCCCCAAATCAGGCATCTGACAATTTTCAACTAAAGAACAAAAATAATGTCTTCTTCACAGAATTGGGAAATAATAAATTCAATCAGGCATGCAAGGCCCTTTACATAGTGCCCTACACATACTTGCCTCTCAGGAAATGGGACTTAAAAGGCAGGTTGCTGTCTCACCAACCTCAAACTCCATTGTTAGTAATGGTAGTAGAAGCAGTACAGAAGAAGGAAAAAGGGACACTGAGATAGGCGTTTGGAGACTCCCTACTCCAAGTCAGACTTCCATCTTTTGGCTTTCTCTGCTTTGGCAAACTACTTCTTCTTGCCTTGATTCCTTCCTTTTTAAAATAATGGCATTAGATTAGCAATAATTTTGAGTGTTTATAGATCATTCACTCACCAAAAATCTATAAACTTCACGGAGGCAGGCTTTTCTCTCAATTTTGCTGCAGCATTTCCAGTGTCAGACATGTATTTGGTGCTTTATTGCTGAATAAATAAATGACTCATCAACTAATAAATTCTGTAGATCTTGCCACCCACCCAGAGAAGCTGTATATTTAAAAAGTTGTGTCCACTCTTAGGGCCTCATGGACTTTAGGTCACTGGGCCTCAGGTTAGGAGTATATCACCTACAAATTTTCTTTTACTTTTAATGTTCTAGGAATCTACTAAAGGCCCTGTTAACATAGTGTGATGTAGAAGAAATCAAAGACACAAATAAATATATTTCTCATACTTATAGCTTGGAAGACTTAATATTGTTAAAATGCTCATACTACACAAAGTGATCCGTGGACTCAGTCCAATCTCTATCACAATTCCAGTGGAATTTTTTGCAGAAAGAGAGAAAACATCATAAAATATATATGAAATCTCAAGGGACCCTGAATAGCCAAAACAATCTAGAAAAAGAACAGAGGTAGAGGACCTTCTCTTCCTTGCTTCAATACATACTGCAAAACAGCAGTAATCAAGATGTTGTGGTACTGGCATAAAGACAGATACATAGACAAATGGAACAGAATAGAGAGACTGGATATGAACCTTTGCATATATGGGCAAATAATTTTTGACAAGTGTGCCAAGACTACACGAAGGGGAAAGCACAGTCTCTTCGATAGATGATGCTGGGAAAACTGGATATACACATGGAAAAGAATGAAGTCACCATTACCTTATAGCATTTAAAAATTAACTCAAAATCAATTGAAGACCTACATTAAAAATGTAAAACTATAAACCTCTCAGAAGAAAACATGGCAGAAAATGTTCAGGACATTGGAATTGGCAATGATTTCTTAAATATGAAACCCAAAGCACAGGCAACAAGAGAAATTGGAACCCATTATGCAAACTAGTATGGAGGCTCCTCAAAAAGCCAAATATTTAATTACCATGTTATGATTCAGCAATCCCACTTCTGAGTATATATCGCAAAGAATTCAAAGCAGAATCTCAAAGACATATTCACACACCTATGTTCTTTGTAGTTTTATTCACAATAGCTGATACGTGAAAGCAACCCAGATGTCCATCGACAGATGAATAGATAAGCAAAATGCAGTAGAGACATACAGTGGAATATTATGCAGCTTTAAAACAGGAAGGACATCCTCTTACATGTGTTGTAATATGGATGAACGTCGAGGACATTATGCTAAGCAAAATAAGCCAATCACAAAAGGACAAAAAAGTACTGCATGATTCCATTTAGACATGAAATATCTAAAATAGTCAGAATCATAGAAAGTAGAAAGATGATTGCTGAGGGCTGAGGCAGGGAGAAGGAATTATTGATTGATGGGCGTAGAGTTTCAACTTTGCAAAATAAAAAGTTCCAAAGATCTGTTGCACAACAATGTGAATACATTTAACGCTACTGAACTGTGTACATAAAACAGTAAATTTAATGCTATGTAGGTTTTTAACACAATAAAAAAGTAAATAAAATGGTATAATGGAGCATGACACTCAAGTACACAATGACATATATCACTGTTATTTTTAAAACAGTATGTTTGATATTTTGAAAAACTGAGGAACAGAAAGTATCATCTTTGTGCAAGCTGTAGCCCAGAACATGCTTTCAGTAAACATGCTGACATCTTTCTTCACTCCCACTGTAGCAATGAGCAAAGCTGCCATCATAACACAATGTCAAGATGTCTTACGTTGACATTAAAGTGTAACCATAGGAGGTTTTGGTTGGAGGCCCACGGTTTAACAGAGAAACCAGTTTATGGCAAATTTGCCAACATCATAGGACCATGGACATTGCAAATGAGTCCAGTCTAGGAGGTAAAGCAATGAGTGTTTCCTAAGGGGAAAATGTGTTACTAAAATCAAATTAAAATCGAATGAATGCCTCATGCTGCAGGAGGGAAGAGGACAAGCCCATAATTCCCTAGTTTTTTTTTTTTTAATCTAATAAGTGCTTTATCACTTTCAGTTTTCTCAGCTCGAGCCAGGGATATTTTGGAGTTATTATGACATTTGAAAGAATGCTGAGTTTTTGATCTTGTCAGGACTGAAAGTGCTTTATAAATGTCAGAGTTGGTGTGTGGGAATCTAGGGCACAGCTCCAGTGTGTACCTTGTGAGTCAGCTAATGAGGCCACAGGAGAGCAGCCATCTGAGCAGCTCCCTGAGTGGTCCTGACTTCCAAAACAGCTTTCTGGTCTGCTCAGCAAAAGAGTTTCACGTTGTTGTTGTTGTTGAATTGCGAATGAGTATTCAGGTTTAGATTAAGTCATTCCCAGAACTCTCATTGAAAACATTTCTAATACTCTGGTTGCCTCTTTGTTGGAGGGAAGATAACCCACAGGGGGTTCTTTCTTGGCCTTTGCCGTTAAAGTGATCTCTCCATTGATTGTGGCCCCACTCACCACTTAACTCCTCCTGGATGGTTTCCTTAAACTGGATTATTATTCTTTGACTCATCAGAATTTAGCAATGTTCTCAGTGTAATTCACAGTATGTAATAGTAGGCTTTACATAAATACTTACTCAGTGAATGAATAGAAGCCAGACTGTTTTACAATTTTAAATTTGGCCATGATTCTGATGTTGCTTATATGGCCTCTGATTAAATGGGTCTGAGCTTCACTACGGCCTGTGAGATTATTGAAAGAGGTGTTAGGCTAATGATAAGCCTTGCAGTTGTTATAGTTTGTTTTTAGCACTGAGATTTCTTGACCCTCAATGATCAAAGAAACTAAGGCCATAGAGAAGCATTCATACTGGAAGAGACAGTCAAAGTCTCTTCTAAAGCATTTCATTTAGAGAAAAGTTATTGGTTCCAAATAAGGTGACAGCTCCCAGGTTTTGAAGATGTAGATCAACTGACTGCTTCATGTAGGGTCTCACAGGGGTGTCAGAATCAAGGCACAATGGAGAGTACTCAGTGTGTTCATGAAAACGCAGTGGAGTAGCAGAGGTTCCTTTTTTTTTTTTTTTTTTTCAATTAAAAAGACTGCAGTTTAAACCTGATTGGAGTTAATGCAGTTGGGCATGGACAGGGAGGTACCCTGTTTCTGTATGCCTCTTGTGACATAACAGTGTTTCCCAAAGTGAATTCTAGGTAAGGCTGATTGTAAAGGTTTTAATTTTCTACAAAAATTGAATTTTCATAGGCAAGCAAGTTTGAGAAATACAGGTTTTAACAAAGTAAGAATTATTAAAGCTTTGATATACTTACATGCCTTGAGACTCTGTCAGATTTGAAAGGATGCATCATATCCCAAAGATTTTAATCATAAAACTTTTTAAATTAAGAATATCCCAGAATTAGTGTTTTATAGAAGCCATGTGGGGAAACTATACTCTATAATTTGGAATGCAAATCCACATGTACTTTTCATTAGTGCCTCTATTTGCTGTGGCATTTTCTGTATCATTTGTTCAATTATGTTATATCTGTATCCTCTTTTTGCAAATCTTTAACTATTTGGATATTAAACCTAGATTGTAGGGACTTACAATTTAAATTCTTCAAGATCACCATAAGAATGAAGACCACAACATAACAGTATTTTCTATTGACTGCGCAAATAACAAACTACAAAGGCATTGTTCCTATGTAGTTCGATATTTGAGATTGATGAATAGTGGCATCAAAGGATAGGTTTTGAGACATGTACTTGATTGCTTGCATGGCTATATCATTACATATTCTTAGAATTATAAAGGTATTTAATGATTGTATGTCCCGACCACTTATTCATTTATTCTTTCATCCCACATTTACTGAACTGTATTACTATGTTCCTGACACTGTGCTTTATACTATGGAAATAAAGATGGATCATCATCTGTATTCGTGTCTGATTTGTAAAGTCCCTCAAAATAATTTATAGACAGTTCCTGGAGACTTCTAGCTGGAAATGAGCTTTCTTTTCATCCATTAAGACTCTGAAAAGGCCAACTGCTGAAATAACTTGTCCAATATTACAGTTAATTAGCGGCAGTGGAGAAAACAGGACCCAGATATTCAGGATCTAGGCAGTGCTCCATCCAGTACTATGACATAGCATAAACATGAGGAGGTAATTTTTTAAAACCAATGATTGAGTTTGTATGACTGGGAATAGAAATTTTTCCAAGTTGGAAAATATATTGAGATCTTAATCCAGTGAATATTTATTGCATATGTATCATGTGCTAAATATTATTTAGTGTTTAAGTCCAAGTTCTCATCAAACTTATATTCCAGTGGCTTCCATATTGCTTAAGACTAGAAATATTGTTTAAATTCATAACTACATTGATGGTTATTAGAGATACCCATAAAAGCCAAGAGTGTGGTTGTGGAAGGTGTCATCCCATTTAGTGTTTTGTTTCTTTTCCTGACTTACTCCTCAACAAGTGTTACTGGACCTGCAGCTCCAGAAGAAAAACAAGCTTAAGAGTGAGGAAATTTTCTCCCTTATGGGGTGGCCAGCACAGAGCTTTTTGTTATGTAGTAAGAATAATACTCCAAAATGATGGTTATGGTGGTGACTTTGTAGCTCATGTGAATCAGATATAATTAATTCACATCATTTCTTGAGGGCTTGCGGTGTGTATATTGTTATATGCTAAGTATGGTGGGTGATACAAATATATATATAAGGTATCCTAGTGAAAGATGTCACAGTTTAACTAGTTTAGCCAACACACTCATACACACACACACACACACACACACACACACAATATCATGTGAACTAGAGTGATTTTTTGATTGATACTACATGATTACATGCCAAATGAATGATGTAGGCATATACGTGTCAGCGTATGGGATCTTGGCAAGTTATGTCACCCTTCTCAGCCTCACTTTCTTCATCTGAGAGAAAGGGGTGATAACAGTATCTCATGAAATTGTTGTGAGGAATAAATATAGTTATATAGCTGCTCATATGGGGCACATTATGTAACTGGTATTAAACAAACTGGTTTGTGTTTTTCTTTATCTTCACAATTGGAGAGGCAAGATCACAATGAAATAGCAAGATGTAAGTCGTAAGTAGCTACTTAAAAATAAGTGGCAGAGGCTTATAATTCGAGTGTAAACTTTTCTCCACTGTGTTATCTGACAATGAGTAATGTAGGAATACAGGTATTGCTACAACCGTGATCTCAAAAGACCAGAGAAATTGTCACAGAAGGCACAGAGATGTTGAATCTTGAGATATTAGCAATGAGATGGACATATATTATTTTCACCTGAACAATATCAATTGCTGTTTTGCTGTTTTTCTATAATAGCATATAGATTTTTACTGTGGTAAACTGCCCTTCCTCCATCAGAGTGGGAGGTAAATCAAAAGCTCATGGTGCATTCCCAAAACAGACTTCAGAACTTCCAGACACCCAGACTTCCTCTGCTTATCTGGTCACTTTCTTTCTGAAAGCCTTGAGTTTTCAGGGATACTCCATGATCCTGCATTAAATTGCTTTTATGGGTAGGCTGGTAAGAGTTAAGATTCTTTTGTTGGAAGCTGCAGAAACAAACTAATACAGGTTACAGTTGACATAAAATAGTAGCACAAACAATGGCAAATAAATGAAGAATTACGAGACACAATGAGTAGATAAGACTAATAAAAGGCAATGTTTATGCTGAAGAATAGTAGAAGAGAAGCTTAGAAAGGTTGAATTAAGCTAGATTGTTGCAGATTTTGAAAGACAATCATACAGGCTGTCATCGTATAAGACAATAATCTGTTGTAATATCAGAAATCTATTGAAAGGGTAAATGGCTATACATTTTATCCTATTTTTTAGTGTCTGTGAGTTTTCCAGCCAATGTACAGAATGTCCTTGATATCTGTAGACTATATCTTCTGAAAGTGCAACTTGGATATATATACTTTTCCATAAAGGTACAGGATAGTTACTTCTACCTAAATGAAATACAGCAAATTCCTAACACTTTTATGTCAGTACCTTGTTAACATCAATAGTCCTAATCTCTTTGTATGTGGATGAGGATAAATTGTACTTGGGGAAATACAGTTATCTAGGAGTCAATGGGATTCTCGTCGTCCTAGCTCCATTACAGATGAGGTAAATGAACATGGACAACTGCTTAAGCATCCCTAGACCTCTGTTTGGTCATTTGTTCAAGGGAGATGACCTGTCCTGCCATGTCTATTTTTCTATGTTGCACATATATGTGTGTGTATATATATATATTTTATATATATATATTATATATTATATATATCTGTGCACATATACAAATGAATATGTGCATCTATGTCCATATATATGTAGACTTACTCATATTTAGCCATACTTTGTACTCAAAGATCATGCATGATATATATTATTTTATACCTTGGTGTTTTTACCCAATGGTATATCTTGAAAATGACTCCAAGTTTTTCATAAAAATGTGTGAAAATTGTTTTGTACTTCAGAATACTTCATTGTGTGTACGTACAGTGGTGTGTTCAACCAGTCTTCTGTGGCTTGGCATTCGGGGTTTTCCCAATATTTTTTGGTCACAATTAATACTACCATGAATAAGTGCACATGTTGCTTAATTATTGTGGACATATTTTTTTGGATAAAACACTAGATTTTTGGGTCATAGGATGAATATATATAGAGTATTCTTAGGTATTGCAAAATTCTTCCTAGGGATTGAAGCCCTATGCAATTCCACTAATAGTGTATGAGGTTACCTGTTTCCCTATGGCCTCAAAAGCATAATTTGTTTTTGTTGTGAAGCTCTTAAATGTGGCCAGTCTGATCAATAAGAAATGTAAACTTTATTATTAATTAATACAAGACCAGTGTGGTTAAATGGCTTTATGTAACATCTTAAAAATTAAAGTTTTACCAAGGCAAGTATGGGACACCAAGGCATTTAACCAGAAAGATGTAAAAGTTAGATCTTGTATACTATAAGTTTGGCAGTGAATAATTTTTTTTTTCATTCAAGGAAGGGCTGCTTCTTTGTCTCATTTTTTTGAGGATTTGTATGGCATAGAGCATATAGAATATATCCAAAAGAAACAAGTAATTTTTTTACATGAAAATGCACTGCCTTATTCAAAGGTGACTCCCTAGGCTCTTGAAAAGACTGATAGTTATTTTTTTTTCCCCTGCACACTTGGCCACATGTTTACAGGCTCCAATATCAGGTGATTGAATGATAAGACCTAAGCTGAAATGTTTATTATATCAAAAAGATATTAATAAAATGTTCTTTTATTGGTGAATATATCCCTTTGAGCTTGCCAACCGTGTTTTACTTGAAATGTTTTTAGAAAGGATGATTTAGATCAGAGAAACACCTGCCTGTAGTGGCCCTTTGGAGATTTTAGATCTCACTATTTTGAGAAAGGCAAAAATCAGCTGTGTGGGAGGGTATGACTTCTACTCTTCAACAGAGGTCACTGCATGTACACTTTGATGTCTTCAAGATACTTGTGACTCGGTCAATATAATTTTTAAAATACATACAAGTTGTAATAGGAAAAAATTCAGTAAAATGGCATGGAGAGTTCATGTTTTTGGGGGCCCAGCACTGTACTTTATAACCTAAAAAGTCATTTAATATTTCTGGACCTCAATTTTTCAAACCTCTAAAATGTGAGCAGCTTAGGCTAGTTGATCTCTAATGTCTTTAATAGTTCGAAAATGTGCTCATGATTTTAATTATACTATCAATCTTTGCTGTCTACATTTAACCCACAGCACTTCCATAGGGAATATGAAGGTCTACATAGAAATTAGCTTGATCTAGAGTTTTAAAAATCTTTCTTAAAATTAGTAGTTTGGTGCAAAAGTAACTGCAGTATTTACCATTAATGGCAAAAACCGCAATTACTTTTGCACCAGCCTAATATTTTAATATAAATTGTAAAGAGTCTATTGATTGTTATATACCATAGAAATTTGAAAATGGTAAGATAAAGAAGCTACCACTTACCTAAAATTACAGGTAGGAGCCAGAGGCAGAAAGAAAACAAGTGTTCTTTATCTACATTTGTAACTGTGCAACAAAAATTTTATATATATGTATATATAATGTAATTGATCATCTTGATAGGCTTCTTTTTCCTGAATAGAAAAATTTAAAATTGAGGTGAAAAGCAGAATTGACTGGTATGTTTACTTATAGTCTTCATCCATTAAAGCATAATTGTTAAGAACCCTTTATGTAAAACCATGTCTTTAGATATGAAAAGTTAGACACACAATTTACCATTATCAATAAGCATACAATTTAGCTGTGAGAGATAAAATATAAATCAATGAGAAGAATTACAAACATAAATTCTAAAATACAAGTTATAGTAACTATTAATATGTAAAGGAATATTTATAATCAGTGGAATTAATCCAAGAAAGCCTTTTACATGAGAGCAACTTTAGTACACAACTTGAAGACAGTCAGTCTGCTTCTCACTGTGGATTAAAGCCCAGTTTTGCCTGTCTTCAAGAGCTTGACTGTTCAAGTAAGCAGTACAAATCAGATGAAACAAACTTCAGGCCTATTTTAGATTTTAGTTTTATATGTTGAGAAATTACTCAAAATAAAGTAATTTGTGCTTGATGACTCAGAAGCTCAGGTAATGTTCTCTGCATCTTCTGCCTTTTAGGGTTGACTGCCAGGAACTAGCATTCTGACTCTGGTTTGTAAGAATAATTAGAAGCACTTATGATTCAGCACCTTGGAGAGCTACATGAGGATGTGGGTGATATAGGTGTATCATCAATCAACCAAAGGATTGGGGGTTATCTGGTTTTATTGAAAATGTTGACTGCACTGCTTGAGGAAGATGGACAGTCTTTTCTGACTTTCTGTACTTAATAATCACAATGTGCCTTAAAATATTCAACTATTTCTCTACTGAATATGATACTTATTGTGTTTGGTCTTACAATTATGTCTTCATTAATTGTCTTTGTGCTTATATTCTTCTGCTCTGGTGCTCTTAGTTCCGTAAAGACAAACTCCTAGTTGGTCATCATCAACATGGTGGAATAGAACTTTCCAGCATTTGTCACTCTGCAGAAGCATCACTTTGCACAACTATCCATTCAAGAAAATACCTTCACAAGAACTAAGGAAATTATAGCACCTACATGTAGCACAAAAATAAGAAAAAATGTATCAAAGAAGGTAGGAGGGAAAGTCTTACAGGATCTCCATCACTCTTCTTCCAAAATCAGGCAGTACAGGCTGGAGAGAGATACCCTCCTCTTGGGGCGAGTAGAGGGAAGTGAGCACCAGACATTGCCTCAGACTCTAACACCAGGCTTATTGCAGTAAAATAAGGCACTAGACAGGCCCCCCACAGCCACAGATTCCAGGATAACACCCATGAGCAAAGCCTGCAACCCATTTACTGCCAGGCAGAATTTCACAGCCTCTGGCTTTTAGTCTGCACAGAGGACTTGGTCTCTGTGTTTTCTCCACTGCCAGGCCAGCCCCAGTGGCCCCAGATTCCAGACCAGTGCTAGATCAACCCTCAGAGCACCAGGTTTCAGGCCTGCTGCAACACCAAGCTGGCTTCCATAGCTCTAGTCATCAGGCTAGCTATTATGGATACAGGCTTGATGCCAACTCAGTGCCAAGCCAGCCTCTGAGGCACCAGGATTACTCTAGGTTACAGATCAGGCTTGCCTCAGCACCAGGTCAGCACTCCCAGCTTCAGGCACCAGGCAAGCATCTGCAGACACAGGCACAAGGCCTGCCCAGCGCTAAGCCCATTCATGTGGCACAACATTCCAGCTGACACAGGCTCAAGGACTGTTCCAGTGGCCTCAAGGACAAGTACTGGACCAGCCAAAATAAACCCAGGTTTCAAGATCACTCCTGTAAACCCAGGTTGCAGGTTGGCCCCCACAATCTCAGGATTAAATCCAATAATGTGGGCATAGGTTCCAGTCCAGCACCCACACATCCAGCCTCAAGGCTGGCACTTGTGGCCTCAGGTCTCAGCAGACCTTGTCTCAGCCCATCATTGAAGACCCCAGTGCCAGGCCAATCTCTGTAAACTGAGGCCCCAGAACCCCTCTGAAGACCCACACTCTACACCAGGTCCCTTACACCCAAGACCCAGACCTGCCCCCACAAATTTGGGCCTCAGTGCCACTATTGGGCAGTGCACAATGGGCTCAGATCCCAGGCTCGTTCCAGTGCCAGCCCAACTTCTGCAAACAAAGGCTCAAGGCCACCTCCAGTATCAGGTCATCTCCTGTGGACCCAGGCTTCAGATTTGCCCTTGTGGATACAGGCTGCAGGCCTGCCCTCATGGGTATAGTCAATAGGCATGCAACCATGGACTCAATAAAAAGGTGGACTCCTATAGACCTAAGCTCAAGGCCCAACCCCACAGACCCAGGTAGCAAACCCACCCATCTGCCGACCCAGGCAATAGGCACCCATCTGCTCACCTAGGCCAGCCTGCTTAAAAAGACTTCGGCAACAAACTCAGCTACAGGCCAAACCAGATGTCCTGCCCAGAATGTTTGGATGGGCTGACTAGTGAAGGACTTTTCTGGATAAAGCCGGTGTGTGAAGACTAGAATAAGCCGCTGCTTTGACAAGTACATAGATATTAATATAAGGCAACAAGAAACATGAAAAACTAAGGAGACATAACAGCACCAAAAGGACATAATAAAATCTCTCAGTAGCTGACCCCTAAGAAATAGAGACATATGAACAACCCAACAAAGAATTCAAAATAGTCATTTTAAGGAAGCTCAGTGAAAATCAAGAATATACAGAGAAACAGTTTAATGAAATCAAGAAAAGAATAAATGACCTAAGCTAGAAATTTAACAGAGATTGAAATTATGTTTAAAAATCAAACAGAAGTCCTGGGACTGAAAAATATAATTAATGAAATGAAAAAAAATGCAATGAAGAGATTTAGAAGCAAAATTAATCAAGCAGAAGAAGAACCTGTGAACTTACAGACAAGTTATTTGAAAATATACAGTAAGGTCATTGAAAATAATGAAAGGGACTGAAGAAAGCTTATGGAATTTACAGAAGAGCATCAAAAGAGCAAATGTGCAAGTTACAGGAGTTCCAGAAGTAAAAGAGAGAGAAAATGGGGTGGAAAGCTTATTTAAAGAAATAATAGAAAACTTTATAAATCTGGGGGAAAGAGTGAATATCCAGGTACAGGAAAGTCAAATAAAATTCAGTCATGCCAGACTACACCAAGACATATTATAATTAAACTGTTAAATAATCAAAGACAAAGAGATTATCCTAAAAGCAGCAAGAGAAAGGGAGCATATAATATGTAATGGAGTTTCAATAAGTCTAATAGCAGATTTCTCAGCAGAAATCTTACAGGACAAGAAACGTTGGATGATATATTCAAAGTGCTAAAGGAAAAAAAAACAAAAAACAAAGAATACTTTACCTGGCAAAGCTGTTTTTTAGAAATGAAGGAGAGAGAAAGTCTTTCCCAGACAAACAAAAGCTTAGAGAATTCATTATGAACAGACCAGTCTTAGAAGAAAGGCTAAAGATAATCCTTAAAGATGCAAGGGCCAGGCGCGGTGGCTCAAGCCTGTAATCCCAGCACTTTGGGAGGCCGAGGGGGGCGGATCACGTGGTCAGGAGATCGAGACCATCCTGGCTAACACAGTGAAACCCCGTCTCTACTAAAAATACAAAAAAATTAGCTGGGCGTGGTGGCGGGCGCCTGTAGTCCCAGCTACTCGGGAGGCTGAGGCAGGGGAATGGCGTGAACCTGGGAGGCGGAGCCTGCAGTGAGCCGAGATCGTGCCACTGCACTCCAGCCTGGGCGACAGAGCGAGACTCAGACTCAAAAAAAAAAAAAAAAAGATGCAAGAAAACAGTGATAATTAGTAGCACTAAAACATATGAAAGTATAAAACCCACTAGTAAAATTAAGTATATATCAAATTCATAATATTCTAATAATATAAGGAATGATGGTATATAAATTACTTATATCTTTAGTGTAAAAATTAGAAGACAAAATTATTTAAAAAGCAATAGCTATAATAATTTTTATAAGATACACAAGATAAAAACAACTAAATTCTGACACCGAAAACAAAATGTAGGGTTGTGTGTGTGGAATTAAAGTGTAGAGTCTTGGTATGTGGTCAAAGTTAATTTGTTATCAGCTTAAAATAGCCTGTTATAATTTTAAGATGTTTTATGTAAGCATCATTGGAACCGCAAAGCAAAAACGACAAGAGGTACACAAATGATAAAAAGTAAGGAATCAAAGCTTAACACTAGAGAAAATCACCTAATCACAAAGGAAGCCAGCAACAGAAGAAGAAAGGAACAAAGGACCTACAAAACAATCAGAAAATAATTAACAAATGGCAGTTGTAAATCCTTACCTATCGATGACTACCTTGATTGCAAATTGATTAAATCTTACAATCAAAAGTTATGGAGTGATTAAATGGATTTTAAAAAGATCTAAATGTATGCCATCTGCAAGAAACTCACTTCTCATTAAAGAACACATATAGAGTGAGAGTGAAGGCATGTTCTTTGCAAATGGCAACCAAAAGAGAGCAAGGGTAGCTATACTTAGATAAAATAGACCTTAAGTCAAAAGCTAAAAGAAAGAGAAAAAGAAGGTCATTATATAGTGATAAAGGTATCAGTTCATCAAGAGATTATAATAATTGTAAATATATGTGCACCCAACATTGGAGCATCTAAATATGTGAAACAAATATTAATAGATCTGAAGGGAGAAATAGATTGCAATACAACAACAGTAGAGGACTTCAATACCCCAATTTTAGCCATGAACACATCATTCAGAAAAAAGTCAACAAGGAAACATCAGATATAAACTAAACTTTAGACCAAATAGAATAGATCTAATAGAAATACAGAACATTCCATCCAGTCAGAGCAGAATACACATTCTTCTCAAGTATACGTGGAACATTTTCTCGGATAGATCACGTTAGGCCACAAAGCAAGTCTTAATGCATTTAAGAAGATTGAAATTCTATCAAGTATTATTTTCTGTCCACAATGGCCTGAAACTAGAAATCAATAACAGGAGCAATTTTATAAAATTCACAAATACATGGAAATTAAACAACATATTTCTGAGCAACAAATCTGTCAAAGGTAAATTAAAAGGGAAATTTAAAAATATCTTGACACAAATATAAATATACATTTATCATCCCAAAACTTATGGGACATAGAAAATGCCAATTTAATAGGGAAGTTTATAGTAATAAATGTCTACATCAAAAAAGAAAAAATGTTCTCAAATAAACAACCTAATTTTATATCTCAAGGAACTAGAAAAATAAGAATTAACTAAGCTTAAAGTTAGTAGAAGGAAGGAAATAATAAACATGAGAGCAAAAACAAATGAGATCGAGACTAGAAAAACAATAGCAAAGATTAATAAAACTAAGGGTTGTTTTTTGCAGTGATAAACAAAACTGTCAAACCTTTAGCAAGACTAAGAAAAAAACTCAATATAGGAAATGAAAAAGAAGACATTACAAGTGAGACCACAATAGCATGTGACTGCTGTGAAAAATTATGGGCCAAAAATTGGGCAACGTGGAAGAAATGGATAAATTCCAAGAAACATACAACCTACCATGACCAAATCATGAATACACAGAAAATGTGAACAGAACAATAATGAGTAATGTTATTGATTTGGTGATAAAAAGTCTCCCACTGAAGCAAAGCTTATGGAACTGATAGCTTCACTGCTGAATTCTATCAAACATTTAAAAAAGAACTAATATCTATTCTCCTCTACCTCTTTCAAAAAAGCTGAAGAAGGGCTACTTTCAAACTTAATTTATGAAGACAGCATTACCGTGATATTAAAACCAGACAATGCCACTGTAAGGAAAATTTAAAAATACAGGACAGTATCCCTAATTAGGATTAATGCAAACATCTTCAACAAAATACTAGCAAACTGAATTCAACAGCACATTAAAAGTCATTCATTGTGATCAATTGGGATTTATATCTGGGATTTAAGCATTTTTCAACATACAGAAATCAATAAATGTGATACCTCACATTAACAGAATGAAGGACAAAATCACTATGATCATCTCGATAGATTTGACATAATTGAACATCATTTTATGTTAAAAACTCTCAGTAAATTAGGTATAGAAGGAATGTACCTCAACACAATGAAGGTTGTGCATGACAAACTGAAAGCTAACATCATTCTCAGTAATAAATAGTTGAAAGCTTTTCTTCTGATATCAGGAGCAAGACAAGGATGCCCACTTTTACCATGTCTATTCAAAATAAGATTGGAAGTCCTAGCCTGGGTAAGTAGACAGGAAAAATAAATAAAAGGCATCCAAATTGGAAAGAAAAATGTTAAATTATCTCTGCTTGCAGATATCAGGATCTTAATACACAGAAAACCCTCAAGACTTCACAAAAAACTATTAGATCTAATAAATGAATTTAGTAAATTTACAGGATACCAAATCAACCTACCAAAATCAGTATCATTTCTGTACACTAACAACAAACTTCTGAAAAATAAATCAAGAAAGCAATCCCATTTAAAGTAGCTACCAAAAAATAAAAGAAATACTTAGGATAAAATTTAACCCAGGAGATAAAAAAGACCTGTATGCTGAAAACAATGCAATATTGATGAAAGAAATTAAAGAAGCCATAAATAAATGGAAAGATATGTCGTGTTTATGGATTGGAAGAATATTGTTAAAATGTTCATATTACACAAGTGATATAAATATTTTACAGATTAAATATAATCTCTATTAAAATTCCACAGAAATAGAAACCATTCTAAAATTTTTATGGAACCACAAAAGACTTTAAATAGCCAAAGCAATCTTGAACAAAAAGAACAAAGCCAGAAGCATCACATTACATGATTTCAAATTATATTTCAAAGCTGTAATAATCAAAACAGCATGGTGCTAGTGTAAAAGCAGACACATAGACCAATGGAATGGAATAGAGACTCCAGAAATAAATCCACGCATTTACAGTTATTGATCTTTGACAAGGGTGCCAAGAACACACAATGGGGAAAAGACAGTATCTTCAATAAATTCTGTTGGGATAAATGGATATCCACATGTAGAAGAATGGAATTAGACCCTCATCTTACATCAGATGCAAAAATAAAATCAAAATGTATTAAAGTCTTAAATGTAAGACCTAAAACTGTAAAACTACTACAAGTTGAGCATCCCAAATCCAAAATCTGAAATACCTCAAAATCTGAAACTTTTTCAGTGCCAGTGTGACTGATGCTCAAAGGAAATGCTCATTGGAATATTTTGGATTTTGGATCTTAGAATGTGGGATGCTCAACTGTTAAATCTAATGCAAATATTTCCAAATGAAAAAAATGATATCCAAATCCAAAATACTTCTTGTCTCAAGCATTTCAGATAAGGGATATTCAACCCATTGAAGAAAATCTAGGGGAGAAGCTCCATGATATTGATCTGGATAATGATTTTTTGGGGTATTAGCCCAAAGCACAGGCCAAAAGGTAAAAATACACAAATGGGATTGCATTAAAATAAAAAGCTCATGCACAGTAAAGGGAACATCAGAATGTAAAGACAGCCTTTGCACTGGGACAAAATATGTGCAAACCATACATCTCATAAGGGATTAATATTCAAACTATGTAAGGAACTCAAGAAACTCAATAGCAAGAAGACAAATAACCTGATTTACAAATGGACAAAGGACCTGAACAGACATTTCTTAAAAGAAGACATACAATAGGCTAACAGGTATATGAAAAAATGCTCAACCTCACTAATCATGTAAGAAATGCAAATTAAAACAACAATGAGATATCACCTAACACCAGTTAGAATGGCTATTATCAAAATGATGAAAGATGGCTGTTATGAAAAAAGTGAGGATGTAGAGAGGGAACCCCCACACATGGTGGGAATAAAATAGTATAGCCACTATGTAAAATTGAGTGGAGGTCCCTTCCAAATTAAAAAATAGATCTACAGATCTACCATGTGATCCACCAGTCACACTAGTTGATATATATACAAAGGAAATGAAATCAGTATGTCAAAGATATAGCTGCACTTGCATGGTCATTGTAGTATTATTCACAACAGCCTGACAGGAAATCAAACAAAGTTCTATCAATGGGTGAACAGATAAAGAAAACATGGTATATATACATAATGGAATAGTATTTAGCCTTAAAAAAGAAATCCTGTCATTTATAACAATGTGGATGAACCTGGAGGACATTATGTAAAGTGCAGTAAGCCAGGCCCAGAACAAATAACATGTGATCTCACACCTAGAATCTAAAAATGTTGAACTCATTGAAACAGCGAGTGGAATTGTGGTTATTAAGAGGCTGGGGAGAGAGTAGTCGAGGAAATGTTGGTAAACTGATAAAAAATTTCAGTTAGACAGAAGGATTAAGTTCAAGAGATCTAGTGTACAACAAGTTACTACAGTTAATAACAATGTATTTATTCTTCAAAATTACTAGGAATAGATTTTAAATGTTCTCGCAACAAAAATGATAAGTGTTTGTGGTAATGCATGTATTAATTTGCTCAATTTAGCCATTCCACGGTGTATACATATTTCAGAACATCATGCTGTGCACAATAAATACATGCAATTTTTAGTAATAATTTAAAAAATGAATTTCCAAGTTTGAAATAATAAATTGGTTTGTTTATGTAAGCATCTGTGTAAAGCATGTTAATACTTATTTTATTACCAGCTCTCTCTTATGTCACTACCCATGAGTCTCTTGAGTCCTGCATAGCACCTTTTAAATACAATGTGAGATTTGTTAAAAAGAGAGTAAAAGCATGCATTTGGCACAGTTTTGTAATTTGTATTCTTCTAATCTCAAGCCTTTAAAAACATGTGTTATAGGGATGAGGTAAAAATATTTTGAGAAAATATAGGAAGAAAATACCTAAATAATATACATTTTGAAAAAATTAAAATGAGTATAAGAAAATGAATGTGGCCGGGCGTGGTGGCTCACGCCTGTCATCCCAGCACTTAGAGAGGCCGAGGTGGGCAGATCACCTGAGGTGAGGAGTTCGAGACCAGCCTGGCCAACATGGCAAAACCCCAACTCTACTAAAAATACAAAAATTAGGCAAGCATGGTGGCTGGAGCCTGTAATCCAGCTACTCTGGAGGTTGAGGCAGGAGAAACACTTGAACCTGGGAGGCGGAGGTTGCAGTGAGCCCAGATCGTGCCACTGCACTCCAGCCTGGGGGACAGAGTGAGACTCCATCTCAAATAAAAAAAATAATAAAATAAAAAAGAAAGAAAGAAAATGAATGTCGCATGTTAATAGTAAGAGTTCTTAGACCAAAAAGTATTAACGTGATTGACAACAGGGTACGTGACTCTTTAAACATTGACCTCACTGAAAGTGAAATTTGTTGTAAATATACTTCTGTTAAGTGTCTTAGTGTTAGACTGAAATTTATTCAACTGTGAAAATTTTTAAATTTGATTTTTAATACTGTAGTGAAACGTATTTTTGTTTTAAGGGTTATTTCAAAATCAAATCCTAATCTTTCTAAGAATTACATTATTATCATACCTCTATAGATCACCAAGGAGTTATACTAGCCATGGTTTTCTAAGGTAACCATCAAATCATATTTTTTCCTTCTTTTCTTTTGGCTTTCTTTCTACGGTTGATTTTCAAGTACAGGGGATTCATGTGGGATAACATTGCAACAGAATTTAGTGTCTCCCTAACTTTTCATTTCAACTGTACTATTTTTACACAAACAGCAGTTCTTATTTCTCTCTTTTAGTTTAGGTAAAATGCTGAGAATGCTTTAACCCAGAGATACTTAAACTTTTGAACTCTACAACAATTTTTTAATTGCTTCAAAAAATTTTTAATCAGGCAGGGCATAAATAAATTAATTTAAAAATACAGATATTAGTATTTTGATCCATATATAGCCAGGTAAAAAGAGAGTAGATACACAAATAAGTGAATGTATGTATGTATGTATATATATATACACACACACACATACATGTGTGAGAATTTTAAAAATTATTTCTATATCTAGTTTATTCTTTCATTATAAAAATCATGGCCAGAATCTTGTAATTATTTGCTTAATGAAGGGAAGAATCTCTAATATAATTTTAATAACAGCCTTAGACTTATTAAAATGATGTTTCAGTCTGGGTGTGGTAGCCATACCTGTAATACCAGCACTTTGGGAGGCCAAGGCAGGCAGATCATTTGAGGTCAGGAGTTTGAGACCAGCCTGGCCAATATGGTGAAACCCCGTCTCTACTAAAAATACAAAAATTAGTCGGGCATGGTGGCATGAGCATGTAATCCCAGCAAATCGCTTGAACCTGGGAAGCGAAGGTTGCAGTGAGCCGAGATGGCGCCACTGCACTCCAGCCTGGGCAACAGAGCGAGACTCCATCTCAAAGATTAAAAATAAAAATAAAATAAAAGTATGTTTTGATGTTGTCTTTCAAACAACATGAAAGATATTACATATATCACTCTTTGGGGGAAAAAAGAGAAGAAAAAATTAAAATGATTCAAATTTACTTAAAGTCTTGAAGGAAAGAAAATTGCAATAGATTTTTAGCATCTAGTTATTTCATAAGATGGCAAAAAATTAGTAGAAATTAACCTAACCACATTTTGAGGCTGAAATTGAACCTTATGGCCAGCAGTTTATATTTGAGAAAACTTAATCACCTTCAGTTACCTAACCTGGAATTTTGCTGACATGACTATTTTTGCCTGAACCCTTTTTTGAGGGCTTGATGAGGCTGGCCTGAATTTTGTGTGAGAAAGGTCAGAGTCATAAGCCAGGTTCCATTCTTACTCTATTTCCTGGTCACATTTTGTACAACTACCCACAGTCATTTCTTTGCAAGCATTAGCACTCTTTCTACCAGTGGGTGAAAGAAAGGCCAAGTCCCTGTATGTACATGTGTATATTCAGCCTGCCAATATAAATAGTGCATTAGCTTATTTTTACTGTTTTCATGTTTATCTTAAATTTCCAGAAAATAATAAATATCCCCTATTTATACATAATGCTGTCTTCTTTCCATCTCCATTCCATAGGAGGCCTAGTACAGTGTTTTGTACATAGCAGACTCACCTATCCAGTCATTTTTTTACTCACTCGCTGTCCTGTCTTGTCATTATCTGGTAATAGAAATGTGTCATCACCTCAAAGGAGAAGAGATGTTCATAAGGAAGAAATTAATTTAATCATATGAGTGTTTCTGGACAGTTTCTTACTGTATTTTTTTGTACCGCTACTCAGTTGAGAATTTCAATGCTGTCAGTCAAATGACCTAGCTAGATTCTTACTTTGCAACCTTGCGAAACTCATTGGACCCCTTATCTACTTTAGTTTATTCATCTTTATAAGAATATTCACATTCATTCAACTTTTCCTATATTAAGTATCATATAAGGATAGAATTGGGGAAAAGTGAAAATGCTGGGAAAAGATAGTTTTTAAAAATGCTTATTCAATTTGTTAAAAATAAACACATCGATCATGTACATATAAATACACATATATACACATATGTATGTGTGTATGCATTTCTTTAATGAAGGAGAATTTCCATTCTTGTCGGACATAGTAGGTCAGTATAACTTATATCGACAAGAATGAAAATTCTGAAAAAATAAAGCATCTGAATCTGATATTTTTGCACATACTCTGCGTTGAGAAAAAATTTTTTCACATGATTAAGGATCACCAAGTGTGTTAAAATGAGACCTTGTGATTTGAATAGATGAAGCTTCATTGAGAAGTGGCTGTAACTCTGTAATACTTTATTGAGGTCATACTAAAAATAGAAGCCAAAGCCTTAGCGCTTAGTGCTGTCTCTTAGTGATATAGCTACAACTGCCATTTCTGCTATCTAGACCTCAGTTGACTCAGTGACAGCTGAGGCCAGCCATAAGCTTTAGTAATGGTGGAAATAGTTAATAATCTCATCTGCTTCTGTGTAGCATTCAAAGTTTTAGCCCCGTATTGGAGAAGTATTTTAGATCCTATTATGCAGAGGCAGAATTCACAAAAATACCAGGACAGCTGCTGCACATTTTGTATTAGTATTAACAGTGCCAGTTCAGAATGTGATCTTTGCATTTAAGTTCTCAGGTATAAGGTTACAATGTTTTAGGTCTTGGGCTATTTTAACCCCTTTGTAGAGTTTGATGAATACTGGAGGCAGGATATAAGACAAAATACATATCTACACGTAGCTACTTTTAGTTAAAACCTGATATCCTTTTTATACATATTTAAGAATTCATACGTGCTGGAGCTGTCATGGTAATTCAAGGTTTAGGGAAGGAGCATTTCCAGTTTTGTTTGTTATTTGTTTTGCAAAGTGCTACCTTTATTAATATGTATTTCTGCAGTTTTATTGCTATAGAAGTCCTGCTCCTCAGATTTTCAATTTACACTTCAGAGTACTAGCAAGGTACGTTGGAGTTTGTTCCATTTTGATGTTGTCTGTGTGTGCTCACATCTTAACATGTCTTAATGCTATAAAGAATTCATTCATGTATCCAACAGTCTATTAAATAGATCAGCTTTTTCTGACTTTATAAATCAAAATCTTCAGGTATAGGCATGAAATTACTTATTGAAAAATTATCAGAATACCATATTGTGTCTTAAAAGGACAAATTAATAAGTGATGTTATGAATGGTGGATTGAATATGACTGTGATATAGATGTAATGACATAAGAGAAAATCTCTCATGGCCTCAGTCAATCCTACTGGAAAATAAGGAGAGCCCTAGGACCAGTGTTGCCTATTTGAGCTACTGGACAATTATTTTTCAACTGATAAAACATGGACACCTACCAGTCAAAACAGGAAGATGATCACTGTGCTCTTTAAGTACATTTGGCTACATATCAGCCCCTCTCCCACCTTTTCCTGCAACATTTCTACTTGTAGCAAGTAAATCTCAGCCCACAAACTCATCTTTGCCCCATTTATAGCTTTATTTCTTCCTTTAACTGAATTTAATACTTGTTGTGCATAGCAACAGGGAGTTAGTGATTTCAGTCTCCCAATATTGAAAATGGGCATGTTCATTTTGTGTGGCTCCATGTGGCATAACTAGGACCAATAGGTGGATGTCACAAACAGGAGCATTTTAGTTATTCTCTTGTCAGGAAAAAACAAAGCTGTCTCCAGAATGAATGAATTACCTGTCATTGCAAATGTTTGTTCTCAGATATTTGGATGGTAGTCAAGGAAGCATAATATCATAATATAATGCTGTAATAGGTACATTCACATTGCTATAACGGAATAGTACAGACTGGATAACTTGTAATGAACAGAAATTTATTGGGTTATAGTTCTGGAGACTGGGAAGTCCAAGATCATGGGGGTGGCACCTGGTGAGGGCTTTCTTGTTATAACTTGTAGAAGGTGAGACGGTACAATTCTTGAAGTTTATTTAAAATGATAATAGTCAAGGAATAAGAAGGATGTATTCATTGAATCATTACCCTCTGTAAAAATTTAGAATTATAAACAAAAATTTAGAAATGCAATATAGTTAACAACATGAACTTTAAAGTTAAACAGATAAGAATTACAACTTAGCTTCGCTATTCCTGAGTAGAGCTTTGGCAAATTGCCCAACTTCTTAGAGCCTCGATTTTCCCATCTGTATATGGAGAATAGCACCTACCTTCTGGGTTGTTGGGAGAATCTAATGAGATTTAAAAAAAAAACAAAAAACAAAAACAACAACTTATCAAACATTCTACCTGTAGGGTAACTGTGATCATCACAAAAAAAATAATTTTTATGTTTATTATTCTCATTATTATTGGAGATTTGTTGTATTATTGGGAATAAAATCCCTAGAGATGATAGTAAAGCAAAGCTGATGATAATAGCAGTGCTTTTTTGAAAGTTTTAAAGTGCTCTTTAAGCAAGTAATATACATTACTTGTAACCCTTATAACAAAATTGTGAAATAAATAGTATTATTCATACATGAAAACTTAAGTTTCAAAGAGGTTAAATAACTTGCTGAGGATTTGCAACTAATGCCAGATAGTACTCCAGGGGTAGGTAAACTTGACTTTTCATTTTCTAAAATGAGTGATGGAAACAACTGGTAGCCTAGAGAATAGAAGACTTTGAAGTTTGTTTACATGAACTGGATGTATTTGAGGGTCTGTCATGTTGAAACGGTTAAGCTTATTTTGCATGGCTCCATATGGCATCACTAGAACCAACAGATGTTGCAAGCAGGAAAATTTCAGTTCTGCTCTTTTCATTAACAAAATAGAAGAGGCCGCTTCTAAAAGGAATGAGCTCCCTGTCAGTGGAAATGATTGATCTCAGACATATATACAAAAGTCAAGTAGAAGAAGTTCCCATGAGGGACAGGATACTGGGCTAAAGTTCTGAAGTTCTGTTTATTGCTCACATTCCACATTTTAAGTATTAACTATTTGCAAGTGTTGATTGGTGGACATAAGGTAGAAAATATCACTAATTCCTACATTTTAAGATTCCATTTATAGATTCTACTTTACATTAGTGATTTCACAGACTTAAAATTTTTTTTTGCAGAGGAGTGGCAAGTTTTGAGAAACTCTTATATCTGACATCTTCCATTAGCTTTTACGGCGATTATACTGTGTTTAGTGAGGTACATTGCTGTTATATCTTTGGTGACAGAAAATTTCAGGTAGAAGTTGGTATTTTAAAGAATGCTTGAGTAAAGTAAAGTGGTCAAAGCCACTGCTCAAAGCATTATTCTTTTGAAATGGGATTTATTCTGGATTTGTTTGTCTCAAATTTTTACAAAACCTACATCTTGAGGGTTATAGATGAAATGTTCTTCTTTATTGTTAATTGAGATTTTAAAGTAAATAACATTTTAAATACCTACTAAAATAAAATATAATTCTTTTATTTACTTTAAAAGATGCAATTAAAAGGTAGCTCATATGATTTCACTAGAAACTACTGGGCCTGTCTACTTGCTTAAAATATTTTTTCCTACTTAGTACAAATGTTAAATTATCATTCAGGAAACCTTCCTGTCAAAAATGTTTTACTGATTTATTGTTTTAAAGATGGGTTTCTCCCACCTTGGTGATTCTTATGCACCTCCCTGGTACATTGACCTCCCCCTACCCACCCAACAACCATACATACTATTGAGATGCATTTTTCTGGATGTAAATAACAGTTATGATAAGTATGAAAATAAGCCTTCTATTTGGAAGAATGTAAAGGGGAGTCTGTGGTTTGGCAGTGGGTGGTCTTTTTCCTACCTTGGATATATTGGTTTATCAGATGAGAGAGACAGAATTGATAAAGTTCAAAGGAAGTAAGGACTTCTGACTCTTTGAATTGAAAGTAGTGGCGTTCATGACACAAGATTGTGGAAACTCAGGGCCTGTTGGATAGACTGACTCTGAAGAAATAGAATTCTATTAGATGATAGTGGAGATTGCCAGGTGAGTGGTCAGAGTTATAAGAGTACCTAGAAACAGGATCTTATTACGATTGTTAATGTGGTATGAAAATCACCTCTTCAAATGAAGAAGCCTGCTATGATGTAAGCAAGCTGAGTTAACTGATTTACAATGGAGAATAGCGGAAGTCCAAAATCAGACTTCTGGGGGCAGCGAGCAAATGTTTTCTATTGCTTGTGCTTTGGGTGTAGAAGTTGTTAGGGCAAGACTTCGGGTGTGTTGATTTCTTAAGGTAACAGTTGTTGCAAGTGAGGTAGGTCCATGGGAAATAGTTTGGATTTAGCTTGAATTTGTGATAATGAGGGCCAGAATGCTGTGTTTATGAGAATGGAGAGCATGGGGCTGACATTAGTGATGCCTTAGAAGAGAAACACAGCAGTACGTGGTGACAGGCTAAATGCAGAGGGGGGATAGAAGTGGCATTGCTGGCTTTGTGGCTGATGTGACAGCAAAAAAGCAGGATGTAGATTGTGTGACAGTTGCTTTCAAGGATAAGCAAGGGCAACCATGAATGAAACAGTAATCACAACGGAGTGTGTTTTTCTAAGTAAATGAACATATGTGATAAGGTATGCAACTGATGAAGGTAAACTTAAAACTGGCCTGTAAATTAATGAATCCAATTATGATCTATATCTTCTTTGACTTCTGCTTGGCCTTGGTAACAAATGTCAACACAAAGAAGTTACAAATTCGTGTTAACATAACAATGGCTCTCATTTATTGATTGCTCACTTACTATAAAATGGGCATTATGCTAAGTGTTTTATATGCCTCATTTTGTTTAGTCCACATAGTTACAGTTTTTACCCCTAATCTATAGATGGCAACATTGAGGTGCAGGGAGATAGAGAGCCTTGACCATGGTTACACGGTCAATAAATGCTACAGCCAGTATTCAGTCCTATTCTCTCAGACCCAGAGCCCATTCTCTTAAGAATTTGGCAGCCTACCTCATGATTATCTTTCTGATCATAACCTACCTTGGAAACAAAACCATTATTCCTCAGTTTGCCTCTGCAGTGGACAAAGCATGAAGGGGAGTGGCCCAGACAAAAGGAAAATATTATTTGTTTTTTGAGGAAAGCAAAGAAACAAACAAAAGACCAGATAGATTTGTAGTGCTTCAATCTATCGTTATCATCATTAATAACAACCATACTCTAAAGAGATTTGTTTCCAAATTAGTTTTTGTACCAATTGGCTGCATTTTAAGTTTACGAAATGGCAGTTTTATAAGAACCAGTAAGTTTTGATGTTACTAGTCTATCTCAGATTAACCAAAGAAAGAACTGTGTGTGGAGGAAAGGTTGTTATCAAGTTTTAAAAAGACTTCAGCTCTTTGTATGCTTTATAATTCATACCCAGCAAACAAGGATACTCACACAATTTCTTTTAATCCAAAATCCCGAGCAAGTCAAAAGGCCACATGCCTTTGTCTCAAGCATTAGGCCTTTTCATTAAATGTAATTCATAGGACATGCATTTAGTCTATAGCCTTTCTTTCAAAATATGTAGGAAAATATTCTTTCTGTACCTATTGTACAAGATAAAGTAGACAAAATCTTCCTCAGTTTAGAGTTTTAAGAACTTTGAGTGAGGCTGTTTTAAGACTGTTAGATATTATAGAAGGTATATTTCCCATTAGGTTGGCTATTTTGCTTATTGTGGGCAAGTCACTTAAACTCTTTGTACCTATTTATCACCTCTGAAATAGAAACGTGAATATCTTCATCACCAATGGCATTGTTGTGTACCTCCAATGCAAATCTATTCATTCCACTAGCAACCAATATGGCACTACCTAGGTGTCAGAGGGCCCCTGCTCGAAAAAACACTTTATTCCCTTGGTGTTTCAGAGTTAGGTGAACTTTAGTATCCAGTACAAGACCTGATTCTTGACTGAAAATAATCTTTGATGATAAGAAATGTAGCTATCAAGCTACCTTGAAATATTAGATTTTTAATAAACATAACAGTAATTGTCACCCAATGAAGATTAATAGGGTGTTTGCCAAATAATTGAAGCTACTTAACACAAAACTTTTATGAGCACAACTGATCTCAAAAAGTGATTATTGTTTTTATTATTATTAGAATTACAATAATTTATCCCAGTCAGACATTGAGGCCATGCACGCTGCCAACTGGAAAGTTAAAGTGAAAGAATACACAGAACCATGAAATGGCATTCTGTGCCTCCGACAATTTTGTCTTTAGGGCCACTTAGTCAGCATCCTTAAGTGCTTGCTGCTGTTGCTAGATCAGAATAAACCATTTGTTAAGAGAATGAATGCCAAGTTTGCCTGTAGTTGCAAAAGTACGATTTGATTATTGTCTCTATCAATAGTATCCTTAAAATATCTATGAAATTATAGAGAATAAGAATGAATACTTACTGAAGTAGTAATTGTAACTGACAGGAGAGAATTTTTGATTTAGACTCAAAAGCAGAAAGAAAAGCACAGATAATAAATATTAAAAAAAAAACCTTAAAGGTTAAGAGAGATTCCCTTTTTATTCAAGAGTTTTCTTCCATTTTGCAAAAGAGCAATAATATTTATACCATATGAGGATTTACACAGATGCATGATTTTTATATTTATAAAGGAGAGAAATGAAAGCTGTTGGGCATATGGATAATTTACTGGAAATCATTTTGTGTGCAAGTATTAGAAACAGGATATAATCAGCAACATTCTTTTTTTATCTTTGTTTGCTTCTTTTTAATTTGTTTTTATTTCCATAGGTTACTGGGGGGACAGGTGGTGTTTGGTTACATGAGTAAGTTCTTTAGTGGTGATTTGTGAGATTTTGGTGCATTCATCACCTGAGCAGTATACACTGTACCCTATTTGTAGTCTTTTATCCCTCACCCCGACTCCCGCCCTTTCCCCCTGAGTCCGCAAAGTCCATTGTGTCATTCTTATGCCTTTGCATCCTCATAGCTTAGCTCTCACTTATGAGTGAGAACATCCGATGTTTGGTTTTCCATTCCTGAGTTATTTTACCTACAATAAGAGTCTCCAATCTCATCCAGGTCACTGCGACTGCCATTAATTCATTTCTTTTTATGGCTAAGTAGTATTGCACTGCATATGTATACCAGTTTCTTTATCCATACATTGATTGATGGGCATTTGGGTTGGTTCTATGATTTTGCAATTGTGAATTGTGCTGCTATAAACATGCATGTGCAAGTATCTTTTTCATATAATGACTTCATTTCCTCTGGGTAGATACCAAGTAGGCAGATTGCTGGATCAAATGGTAGTCCTACTTTTAGTTCTTTAAGGAATATCCACAGTTTTCCATAGCGGCTGTACTAGTTTACATTCCCACCAGCACTGTAGAAGTGTTCCCTGTTAACTGCCAACAGGGATGTAGTAGATGTTCCATGCCAACATCTACATCTACTATTTTTAGATTTTTTTTTTATTCTTACCATTCTTGCAGGGGTAAGGTGGTATTGCACTGTGGTTTTGATTTGCATTTCCCTGATCATTAGTGACATTGAGCATTTTTTTTTGTATGTTTGTTGGCCATTTGTGTATCTTGTTTTGAGAAGTGTCTATTCATATCCTTAAGCCCACTTTTTGATGAGATTGTTTCTTTCTTGCTTGCTTATTTTTTTGAGATCGTTGTAGATTCTAGATATTATTCCTTTGTCAGATGTGTAGATTATGAAGACTTTCTCCCACTCTGTGGGTTGTGTGTTTATTCTGCTGACGGTTCTTTTGCCATGCAAAAGATCATTAGTTTAATTAAGTTGCAGCTATATATCTTTGTTTTATTGCATTTGCTTTTGGGTTCTTGGTCATGAAATTCCTTTCCTAAGCCTATCTCTAGAAGGGTTTTTCCAATGCTATCTTCTAGAATTTGTTTTATACTTTGAGGTGTTAGGTTTAAGTCCTTAATCCATCTTGAGTTGATTTTTATATAAGGTAAGAGATGAGGATCCAGTTTTATTCTCCTATCTGTGGCTAGCCAATTATCTCAGCACCGTTTGTTGAAAATGGTGTCCTTTCTCCACTTCATGTTTTTGTTTGCTTTGTCGAAGATCAGATGGCTGTAAGTATTTGGGTTTATTTCTGGGTTCTCTATTCTGTTATATTGGTCTATGTGCCTATTTTTATACCAGTACCATGCTGTTTTGGTGACTATGACCTTATAGCATAGTTTGAAATCAGGTAATGTGATGCCTCTAGATTTGTTCTTTATGCTTAGTCTTGCTTTGGCTATGTGGGCTCTTTTTTTTTGGTTCCATATGAATTTTAGAATTGTTTTTTCGAATTCTGTGAAGAATGATGGTGATATTTTAATGGGAATTGCATTGAATTTGTAGATTGGGATTGATTTGTTCTTGTTTCTCTAGTTCCTTGAGGTGCAACGTTAGATTGTCTGTTTGTGCCCTTTCAGACTTTTCGATGTAGGCATTTAGGGCTATGAACTTTCCTCTTAACACCACCTTTGCTGTCTCCCGGGGGTTTTGATAGGTTGTGTCACTATTGTCTTTCAGTTTGGAGAATTTTTTAATTTCCGTCTTGATTTCGTTTTTGATCCAATGCTCATTCAGGAGCAGGTTATTTAATTTCAATGTATTTGCATGGTTTTGAAGGTTCCTTTTGGAGATAATTTTCAGTTTTATTCCACTGTGGTCTGAAAGAGTGCTTGATATAATTTCAATTTTCTTAAATTTATTGAGGCTCATTTTGTGTCATATCATA
The DNA here is from genome assembly GCF_000001405.40 of Homo sapiens. Lineage (NCBI taxonomy): Eukaryota > Metazoa > Chordata > Mammalia > Primates > Hominidae > Homo > Homo sapiens. The sequence continues at coordinate 156,228,065 of NC_000005.10, forward strand.
TGGTCTGTCTTGGAGAAAGTTCCATGTGCTGTTGAATAGAATGTATATTCTGCAATTGTTGGATGAAAATGTTCCGTATGTATCTGTTAAGTCTATTTGTATCAAGGTATAATTTAAATACATTGTTTCTTTGTTGACTTCCTGTCTTGATGACCTGTCTAGTGCTGTCAGTGGAGTATTGCGGTCCCCCACTATTATTGTGTTGCTATCTCATTTCTTAGGTCTATTGGTAATTCTTGTATAAATTTGGGATCTCCAGTGTTAGGTGCATATATGTTTAGGAATGTGATATTTTCCTGTTGGGCAATGCCTTTTATCATTATATAATGTCCCTCTTTGTCTTTTTAAACTGCTATTGATTTAAAGTGATTTTTGTCTAATGTAAGAATAGCTACCCCTGCTTGCTTTTGATGTCAATTTGCATTAAATGTCTTTTTCCACTTCTTTACCTCAAGTTTATTTGAGTCCTTATGTGTTAGGTGAATCTCTTGAAGGCAGCAGATAGTTGGCTGGTATCTGATCAATTCTGCAATTCTATATCTTTTAAGTAGAATATTTAGGCCATTTACATTCAATGTTAGTATTGAGATGTGAGGTACCATTCCATTGATCATGCTATTTGTTGCCTGTATACCGTGGTTTTTTGTTTTTGTTTTTTAAATTCTATTTTTTGTTTCATAGATTCGGTGAGATTTATGCTTTAAAGAAGTTCTGTTTTGATGTGTTTCCAGGATTTGTTTCAAGATTTAGAGCTCCTTTTAGCCATCCTTATAGTGGTGGTGTGATGGTTAATACTGTCAACTTGATTGGACTGAAGGACGCAAAGTATCAATCCTGGGTGTATCTGTGAGGGTGCTGCCAAAAGAGATTAACATTTGAATCAGTGGCCTGGGAAAGGCACACCGACCCTTAGAGTAGGCACAGTCTAATCAGCTGCCAGTGCAACTAGAATATAAGCAGGCAGAATAAAATGTGAAAAGAGAGACTGGCTTAGCCACTCAGCCTACATCTTTCTCCCATGCTGAATGCTTCCTGCCCTCAAACATTGGACTTCAAGTTCTTCAGTTTTGAAACTTGGGCTGGCACTCCCTGCTCCTCAGCCTGCAGGTGGCCTATTGTGGGACCTTGTGATCATGTGAGTTAATATTTAATAAACTTTATATACATATACATACATATATATATATACATACATACATATATATATACATACATATATATATATATATATATATAAAATTAGTTCTTCCATTGGTTCTTCCCTCTAGAGAACTCTGACTAATTCAGGTGGCTTGGTAGTGGTGAATTCTCTCAGCATTTCTTTTTCTGAAAAAGACCTTATCTTTCCTTCATATATGAAGCTTAGTTTCACTGGATACAAAATTCTTGACTGATAATTGTTTTGTTTGAGGAGACTGAAGATAGAGCCCCAATCCCTTCCATCTTGTAGGGTTTCTGCTGAGAAATTTGCTGATAATCTGAGAAGTTTTCCTTTTTACGTTACCTGGTGCTTTTGTCTCACAGCTCTTAAGATTCTTTTATTTGTCTTAACTTTAGATAACCTGATGACAATGTGCCTAGGCGATGATATTTTTGTGATGAATTTCCCAGCTGTTCTTTTTGCTTCTTGTATTTGGATGTCTAGGGCTCTAGTAAGGGAAGTTTTCCTTGATTGTTCCCCCAAATATATTTTCCAAACTTTTAGATTTCCTTCTTCCTCAGGAATGCTGATTATTCTTAGGTTTGGTCGTTTAACATAATCTCAGACTTCTTGGAAGCTTTGTTCATATTTTCTTATTCTTTTTTCTTTGTCTTTGTTGGATTGGGTTAATTCGAAGACCTTATTTTTGAGTTCCGAATTTCTTTCTTCTACTTGTTCAATTCTATTGCTGAGACTTTACAGTGCATTTTGCACTTCTGTAAGTATGTCCGTTGTTTCCTGAAGTTTTGATTGTCTTTTCTTTATGCTGTCTATTCATTGAATATTTCTCTCTTCACTTCTTGTGTCTTTTTATAACTTCCTTACATTTGGCTTCACCTTTCTCTGGTGCTTCCCCTTTCTCTGGTGCTTCCCTGTTTAGCTTAATAACTAACCTCCTGAATTCTTTTTGGAGTAAATCAGGGGTTTCTTCTTGGTTTGGATCCATTGCTGGTGAGCTAGTGGTGATTTTTTGTGGAGTGTTAAAGAACCTTGTTTTCCCTTATTACCAGAGTTGGTTTTCCACTCCTTCTCATTTGGGTAGGCTCTGTCAGAGGAAAGGTTTAGGGCCGAAGGCTCTTGTTCAGATTCTTTTGTCCCGCGGGGTATTCCCTCAATGTGGTACTCTCCTCCTTCTCCTATGGATGTGGCTTCCTGCGAGCTGAGCTGTAGTGATTGTTATCTCTCTTCTGGATCTAGCCACCCAGTAAGTCTACCAACTTGGGGCTGGTATTGGGGGTTGTCTGCACAGACTCCTGTGAACCATCTGTGGGTCTCTCAGCTGTGGATACCAGAACCTGTTAGTAATTGGGGTGTCTCCTGGGTCCTGCAGGAGCAGTCCGCTTCCTTCAAAGGGTCTATGTGTTCTCTTGGATTTCCTGATTTATTCCTGTCGTCATTCTGAAGCAAAAATTCTCGATGCGAACCTCCACATGCTGCTCTGTCTGTCTGAGTGGGAGCTGTAATCTAGTTCTGCTTCCCGTCCATCATGATCCACCACTATATCTCAGCAACATTAACTTCTGATGGCTTTAGTGTCTTGCATAGTGCTGAACATATAGTAAATGCTTAGTAACTGTTTAGTGGTCAGATAAATAAATTCTAAAAAACGCTAGTATATTTACTGATCATCACCTATATCATTAGTATTCTTAATTATCATACAAGACATTTGGATATCCAAAGACTGCCTAAAGTATTTCATCTTCTCAACGTTAAGGATACACAAAAAGCAAATAAAAAGGCTACAAGGAGGGTTGTTTCAAAAGGGAAGGCATAGAAAAAAATAAGGAAGTGAAAGGTAATGAGTTTGGTTTTGAACTTGATGAATATGTGACGCCACCATAAAATCCAAGGAGAAAAATCTAGTTGGGTGGTTTCAGAGGTTCATAATTAGCCTAATTGAAGTAGCTTGCTTTCCTTTCTTGGAAATACTCTTATATGCCTTGTTGAAAGGTAGATTCTGGCAACCTGTTAATATTGGTGAACGTGTCCAGGCAAGTAGCTCAAGCCTGTAATCCCGACATTTTGGGAGGCCAAGCTGTGTGGATCACTTGAGGCCAGAAGTTCGCAAGAAGCCTGGCCAACATGGTGAAACCCCATCTCTACTAAAAATACAAAAAATTAGCCGGGCATGGTGGCACGTGCTTGTAATTCCAGCTACTTGGGAGGCTGAGGCAGGAGAATCGCTTGATCCTGGAAGGCGGAGGTTGCAGTGAGCTGAGATCGCCCCACTGCACTCTATCCTGGGCAACAGAGAAAGACTCTGTCTCAAATAAATCAATCAATAAATAATTAAATAAATAAAAAGGTGAACAGAAGATAATCCTGGAAAAGTGTATTCGATAAGAGGACTTACTGATGCAGGATGAGCCACTCAGGTTATCTTTATAGTTTGGACTAAGAATTAGAAAGTAGAGCTATAGGACAGGGTATTCAAACTTTAGATATATAGAGAGCTTGTAGGGATATTGGTACCGTGGTTATCCAAGCTGTAGACTTCGTTTTCTTTGGTGGGAGTAGGACTCATGTATAACATAGATCTGCCACTCAGGAGAAAGGGAAGCTTGCTTTAGAACATGATTCTTTTCTTCTCAGTTATACTTCACATGGATCTCCCTACCTGGACTTCCTGCCCTTGGTTGTGTCTGATGTATTCCTGCCTTTCCTTGACATGAGTCAACTAAGACAGCTTGAGGACTAGCTTTAGGATTGATCCTCAGAGGCAGTATCAGTAGCCATTAGAACATTAGATGGAAGGACTGAAAAAATAGTTCCTCCAACCCTGACTAATAACAGTAGGCTGAGTAATTCAAGTGATTCTATCAAGGAAAATGAAAACAAAGAGGAGAGCCAACACCAGCTTACCTTTAACATAGTTGGATATACCCAGACATTTTCTTTAAAACCTCCATAGGCCTCCATTTAATATCCTCATACTTTGCTGCAATTAGCTTAAGTGTTTATGATTTTTTAAAAATCCATAGTGACATGGGTTAGAACTCTGAGGAGTGAAATCCTTAAGAATCCCTACTTGATTATTTTTGCTTGGGCACCTCCAATATCTGCTTCTAAAACTAGACTATTTCACCCTCAGGTAGTTCTAACTATTGGACAGCTGCCTAATGTTGAGGCAAAAAACCCATCTGTGTGCTCACCCATGGATCCTTGTTCTGCCTCCCTTGGGGCCACAAGTAGACAGTCGAAAACCCGTCTTATATTTGTGAGCCTTTCACACTCTATCTGGTGACTTAACTCTCATAACTCTGCTTCCCTGAGAAACTAATGGTAATAACCTGTGTTTCTTTTACTTATATGGGCTGCATTGTGACTGATGTATACACCATGCATCATTAGGATTCTACTTATTCTAGACCTGGAAGGATTTGACAGACCGTGAAATCTTACAGGAACTGTAGCTCCCTCTGAGTATATTAGTGTGTCTATTAGTATCTCCTGTAATAAACACATCACATTTATGTTAGGCAGTTGTGGGATTCTGCCTTGCCTTTATTCACAATTTACTCCATGTGTATTTATTGAGTAATATAGTCTAGAGTTCCTGCTGTACATTCCCCTACTTCCCCAGTGTTTTAACTTTCATTAAAAGGACCATTTATCCCATCAGAAAAGACTGGAGACAAAGATATAGGAATTTCCTTTTTATGTACACAAAACAAGTGCCTTTTAACTCATCTCTAGTGTATGGTAGCTAGAGATGAAAAGCTAGTGGCAGACTGGCTGAGAGGAGTTCTTGATGCATAGTTTTCCCTTTTTAAAGGATAATATGTATATATTCTTGACAATAGGACACCAGGGAAAGCTTGCTAAATTGTAATTCATTTCAATTCATTTCACCTGTCTTAATAGAGCCATGATAAAATTTGTAGCTATGTAGAAAAATCCTACCTAAGAAAAATGAATGTAGGCTATATCCACTGCCTTTGTAAAATACTAAGATTTGCTCCAACTTTATCCAGAGAAAGGCAATTATTTGTGTAATGCCTTTGCAGTAAAGTATAATAAAACAGAGTGATAGATGTTATATTCGAAAGCTGCTATAACTTTCAATAATTAAACATCATAACGGGAATTCTCTAACTGTAGCTTGCCTGTTGGTTATTCTTCATATGGATTGCCACTTACTTTGACTAAATCTGTTTGATGAACAAGGTGGTATTCTAGAGGCAAGCACTAAAAGCTCGGGTATTTAGTACTGATGAAGGAAATACAAAGTGGAGAGGGTGTTTAAAGGTACCTTTGAGCATTCATGCAATTTAAACTAGTTAGTGTATTGACAGATGAGAATCTGAGGGGGATGGGAGTTGGAAACAATGATCTTACAGTGTCACATTTTTGTGTGCAACTAAAAGGGAACACGTGACCATGGTTTGATTCAGTCAAATGAGAAGGCAGTTGTCCTGCTTCAAAAGGAGCTTAAAAGTAAATGCTCACGTTTTTAAAAAAGCAGCTAGAGCCAGGCAGGGTGGTGCCTGCCTATAGTCCCAGTTCATTGGGAAGCTGGGGTATGAGGATCACTTGAGCCCAGGAGGTTGAGGCTGCAGTGAACTATGATGGCCCCACTGCACTCTAGCATGGGGAACAGAGTGAGACCACATCTGTTTTTTGTTTGTTTGTTTTTGTTTTGTTTTTTTAAAAAAGAAATGTGTTGTTTTTTCTCAAAAACTTTTTGTAAAAAATTGTTAAATTGTCTTCCAAAGTGACTTACTATTTTACATTCTCATCAGCAGTGAATGAGAATTCCCATTGCTCTACATCCTTGTCAGCATTTGGTGTTGTCAATGTTATGGACTTTAGCTATTCTAATAGGTGTTCGTTGTTGTTTCAGTATCAATTCCCTAATGACATAAGATGTGAAGCATGTTTTTAAATGATTATTTGCTATCTGTATGTCTTCTTTGGTGAGATGTTTATTTACATTTTTAGCCTATTTTTAGTTGGGTTGTCTATCTTTTTATTATTGAGTTTTAAGGGTTCTTTGTATATGTTGGATACCAGACCTTTATCAAATATATGTTTTGTAAATATTTTCTCCTAGCCTGTGGTTTGTCTTTTCAGTCTCTTAACCCAGCAACTTTATACATATTTAAAAATATAAATTTTAACCCAGAACTTAAATAAATATTTGATATTATAGTGGGAGCACAGATGAGAGGCTTGACTCCTTCTCTAATGGCTCTATGGAGGTTCATTAGAACCTAAGCATGTGCCACACAGTTTAAAAAAAACAATAACAACAATATTTCTCTAAGTGAAAACATGATTTTGTTTTGGAAGAACATTCTTTACCACTTTGGTCCATGGGGCTAATGGGAGCATGGCACTAGGGTCTGAGAATCAAAATCACAGCACTCGATTCTACTTACTTCAGGGAGTGACCCATACATGGAAATATGATCAGTCAGAGACAATCTCTAGACACTTGCTGGAAAACTTAAAAGAACTTATAATTTTCTGCTGGGTTTAGACCCTAGGCAAATGTTATTATGGTGTTTCTGGAAGCCATAATACTACTGCATGGGATCTGAGTATAATGCCAATAGGAAGGAGAGCAAAGACAAGAGATAAAGGAACTAGGTAGGGTTGTAATCATATGATTCCATAAATCAAGCCATACCTGATGTGAGGCCTATACCTGGGCTTTCTATTACTTGCAACCAAAGGAGCCCTAACTGATACAAGGGAAGAAGGGTATATTCTATCAGTGTATAACTCATTTCTGATAACACAGATTATGGTTCTGAAAGATTTTCTTATAATATTCATGATAATTGCCTATAAATCAAAGTCTAGAGCCTGATAATGTATGCTTTCCCCCTTCCTTAACCTTTTCTGGTTAAGAGAAGAGAAAACTATTTTAATGAGGAGAAGGAACCATCAATGGCAGAGACTGAAGGATGAAGTTTGAAAGAATAATGTAGGCCAACTATTGCAAATGAGATTTGGAGGACTGTGCATGTGGCTTGGGACTCATCATTTCATTTGGTATTCAGTTTTGTTCTGAGGCAGAAAATCAATTCTGTTGAATCATGTGACTTTGGGATAATTTATATCAGAGCAAGGATAAAGGAAATGAGCAAGCAAGGAACACAGTTTTCCTTTTTTAAAAAATGTGTTTTGGTTTTTGGTTTGACGTGTCACCTCAGCAAGCTACTTGCCAATAGCACAGGAAGGAAATGGCACCAGAGAAATATCAGACTTGGATATGCTTCCAACAGCCAAGTGTAACCATGTCTTTGCTGAGGACAGATGTAGCCTATAGCAGTGTCAGAGATAGAGTTGTTCTCTATTGATTATGAATTAAGTTCATTTCTTAATGATGGCAGAAGCTCTTTTTTTCTTCTCTTCCCTACAGATGCTTTTTGGTCTGTCTTCTAATCGAAACTACTGTAATTACATACTTTAGTCTTAGAATTTTCATTAATATGACTGTATTATATAAAAGTTTATTGGAAAGCTGGATGTGTGTCAATTAACAAGGTTATAATTAGATACCATTTTATTTTGTGCAAGGTATTTTATTTCCCTAAGTTCTCTGCAAATCTGAGAGCTCAGTCTCTCTTCTCACTTCCTCTTATAATGGAAATTGGGAAATCCAAAGAAGAAGAAGGACTTTTGTGAAATGAGTCTATTCTACTTTACCTTCTCGCCAAATGATTCTTGAAGGTAATGAATATATTGTAGTTCATGGGATGGAAAAATGTGGTGGATTTTTGTCTTATGAAAAGAAAAGATATGCATACTTGTTGATGCTGTAATCTATCCAATCTTATTTTTAGAATAGATCATTTTTGAAAAATAATTGAAAGAGAAAAGTCTTATTTATATTATCTTTAGTATTAGTCCCCCATTCTATCAGACATTAACACATCACAAATTGATCAAAACATGTTACGGTTAAATCATTTTTTTTTCTCAGATGTTCTATATTTGAGAATAGGACAAGATTACAGTGTATGCTCTCTTATTCACTCAAGACAAACCTCATTTAGTTGCAGTATTGTCCCTTTGCATTTAGTGTAAGGACAGTAATTTTAGCTGTAGTGAGTTCTTACTTTATGACAATTCACTATTCTACCACCTAAAGTTAAGATTATCTACTGATAATTTTACACATACAACTGAAACATACAACTGAATTACAGGTGGATAATGCTAATTCGTATACTTTTTTTTTTTTTTTTGAGACGGAGTCTCGCTCTGTCACCCAGGCTGGAGTGCAGTGGTGCCATCTCTGCTCACTGCAAGCTCTGCCTCCCGGGTTCATGCCATTCTCCTGCCTCAGCCTCCCGAGTAGCTGGGACTACAGGCACCTGCCACCACGCCCAGCTAATTTTTGTATTTTTAGTAGAGATGGGGTTTCACCGTGTTAGCCAGGATGGTCTCGATCTCCTGACCTCGTGATCCACCCTTCTTGGCCTCCCAAAGTGCTGGGATTACAGGTGTGAGCCACTGTGCCTGGCCTAATTTGTATACATTTGTTCTTAATGCTCCTGCTCCCAACACCAAAGGAACAAGGTTGTAACCAGTAGGGTAATGGATTGCTGAGCCAGATTTTTTTTTTTTTTTTAAGATAGTCTTGCTCTGTTGCCTAGGATGGAGCACAGCGGCAGAAGCTCGGCTCACTGCAATAATCACCTCCCAGGTTCAAGTGATTCTCCTGCCTCAGCCTCCCTAGTACCTGGGATTACAGGCAGGCACCACCATGCCGGACTAACTTTTTGTACTTTTAATAGAGATGGAGTTTCACCATGTTGGCCAGGCTGGTCTTGAACCCCTGACCTCAGTTGATTCATGTGCCTTGGCCTCCCAAAGTGCTGAGATTACAGACATGAGCCACTATGCCTGGCCTGAGCCAGAATTTTAAACAACAACAACAAAAAATTTAAATTAACTTTGGCTATTTTATATCTAAAAGTAGCACTTGAATTGTCAGATCAAATGTGACTGGAAAAGTCAACCAAAATCATAGGTTCTGTTCTCATTTTTCTCCTTGCACCTTATTTATATGTCCTGTAAACTAAAGTGGCCATAAATTTTATAAAACAAAGTGGGACATGGCCGGGTGTGGTGCCTCATGCCTGTAATCTCAGCACTTTGGGAGGCCGAGGCAGGCAAATCACCTGAGGTTGGGAGTTCTAGACCAGCCTGGCCAACACGGTGAAACCCCCTCTCTACTAAAAATGAAAAAATTAGCTGGCCATGGTGACATGGGCCTGTAGTCCCACCTACGTGGCAGGCTGAGGTGGATGAATCGGTTGAAACCAGAAGGCAGAGGTTGCAGTAAGCTGAGATCACGCCACTGAACACCAGCCTGGGCAACAGAGTGAGACTGTCTCAAAATGAAAAAAACAAAAAACAAAGCGGGACACTTTCAGAAGGGACAGAGGATCCTATTAATAGATCCATTAGAGCAACTGACATAAATTGAATGGAGCTGGTAAAGCAGGATCTGTGTTCACCCTAACTATAAGACTTTTAAAGATCATTGTTAAGGTTAACATTCATTCGGTAAATATTATTGAGCCCCAACTATGTGCCAGATACTGGAGATACAGGATACAAGAGTCACAGACCTTGCCTCAAAACAAATGATAACTGAATAGGGAAAATAAGAAACAATACAGTTCCCAAGGCTAGAAGGAAAAATTAATAATGGATAAGATGATTTTTTTTTTTTTTGAGACAGAGTCTCACTCTGTTGCCCAGGCTGTATTGCAGTGGTGTGATTATGGCTCACTGGAACTTTGAACCCCCGAGCTCAAGTGATCTTCCCACCTCCCTCCTGAGTAACTAGAACCACAAGTATGCACCACCACACCAGGCTAATTTCTTCTTTTTTGTAGATACTAGGTCTTTCTGTTTCCCAGGCTCTTCTCAAATTCCTGGGCTCAAGCGATCCTTCCGCCTTAGCCTTCCAAAGTGCTGAGATTATAAGTGTGAACCACTGCACCTGACCTAAGATAAATAGTTTTACGTATCTAATTTTGTATGTTTGATTTTATACTTTTGTTTTTATTCAATAAAGTAATAGAACCTGCAGTCCTTTAGAGTAGGTGGTATAGAGCGGGGATCCCTTTCCCTGGAGTGGGCATCCACCCTCCAGTGGTGTCGGCTGTTCATAGCTCACAGCTGACCCCAGCCTCTGGGCAACTGCTTTTGCCTCATGGAATTACCTTTCATCACCATTGGAAGTGCAAAAGGCTGAACCTCTTGGTTCAAGCCCTCTCCCTGTGGATAAGGCCAAGAATAGACTTTATGTGATATAGTCCCCTGTGGCTACTGAGTGCTCGAAATGTGGGTAGAAACTGAATTTTTAATTGAATTTTAATCTGTTTAAATTTGAATAGCCACATGTGGCTGATAATGACTGTATTGGAAAGCACATTTCTATGGTAAAATGTACAGAGCCAGGCTTCTGTGGTGGCTTTCACTGATCCCCAGGACCACAGAGTGCCAATATCCCTAATGAAGGCTGGTGCTCAACTGTGGTTTGACTGTGCATGTGTTATGATCCCCAGGCATTAGTGTTCTGTAGCCTATTTTAGAGTATTATTAAGGATATTTGAGGATGCCTTTTTAATTATGATATTAAACTTATGGAAGAATTCCTCAAACAGTGCTCTCCTGGAGTATCTGAGTAAGATATTGGGGTTTGGCCTGTCCAAGAAGCTGTCATTTCTGTTTTTGGACCAAAGACATTCTGAATGGTGGCTCAGCACTGTGGAAAAGTGGGGCTTTCTTTGGGGGCCTCATTCATTTTGGAACCATTTTCACTTTGGGTCTGGGTCCCGTGGCGCATCAGTAATTTGGGAGTAAAGAATCAGATTTGGAGGCTGGGCATGGTGGCTCATGCCTGTAATCCCAGCACTTTGGGAGGCCGAGGTGGATGGATCACTTGAGGTCACAAGTTCAAGACCAGACTGACCAACATGGCGAAACCCCATCTCTACTAAAAATACAAAAATTAGCTGGGTGTGGTGGCAGGTGCCTGTAATCCCAGCTACTCAGCAGGCTGAGGCAGGAGAATCGCTTGAACCCGGGAGGCGGAGGTTGCAGTGAGCAGAGATTGCGCCACTGCCCTCCAACCTGGGCCACAGAGGAAGATTTCATCTCAAAAAAAAAAAAAAAAAAAAAATTAGATTTGGTCAGTGCAAGGGGGAATAGTATAGTGCAAAGTAGTGGAGGAAAAATACTTTTTAAAAAAATCTATCAACTAGTATGAAACCAAATAATCTGTCTCACACATCCACTTTAAGGTTTGAGAAGATAAATATGAAAATAGATTTTCTACATTACAGAAAAAAATATTGTTTTCTATCATACTTAATATGTTAGAAAACACTTAGGGAATGAAGGCACTGAAATTAGTTTGTGGCTATTCAGCCTACTGCTACATAGAGCTACTGAGTTTATCACCTATTTACCAGGGAGTGTGAAGAAAGTATTTATTCTCTAAACCTCAGTTTTCTTGCCTGTAAATGGGAACAATTGTATCTACCCAGTCTCTCTTGTGTGGTTTTATGAGGCTCACCCAAGGTAACAAAATGTTTTGGACCTATAAACTGTTAGGGAAACAAAAACTACTCTAGTAGTTTGCTGAGACTCCTTTATTTGTGCTTTTATGGTTTTGTTTGGCAGTTTGTTGACCTTGACTTTTGAAATTCACCTAGATCAGTGATTGTAATTTCAAAAGGGTCAAAGTCCCAAATAGGTAACTTAAGCGAATTGGCCAAGTCGGGACTGTGGGGAACTTGACAGGCTCACTTGTCTAGAAGGGGAAGCCTTACCCAGTGCTGTGCTTTTGATGTGTGCTAATGTGAGCCCAGAGTTGCCAGAGAGTTTCTTTTTAACATGGTAGAATTATTTTAGTGTAATGTGTGGGACAAACAAAGCTCATTTATTGTCTGTATCCAGTCTGCAGGCCACCAATTTGCAGTTTTTGCTTCTTTCCAAAAAGGATTTAAAATATATTATATTCAAATATAGAATAGAAGTAGAGGAGAAAAGCAGAGGAGGGAGTGAAAGGAATAGAATAAGCTGTTTTCTGTTGATCAATAATAATTTATTAAGCCCTATCAGTCTGAATGCTTGGGGGAATGCTAACAAAATAGAAAAGATCATCTCTGACCTCAAAGGGCATATGAGGTCCCTAGGGAGATAAGCAGATGCATGCAGTCTTAGGGAATAATAATAATAATTTAAAAACAAGATATAGTTCAGTGTGAGATGGGTCAGTACAGACAAGTGCTTCTCAAAATGTGGTCTCCAGACTGGCACCAAGCTGTACTGTTTGTTACTCATCTGTGATGAGATAAGAACCGAAATTCAGATAAGAACTGAAATTGAGAATACATGCTTAGGAACATCCAGAGCAATTTGGCAGAGTGCTTCTTCGTCTGCTTAATTTAATAAAAAAAAATGGGCCATATGTTTTTGAGTTTTTGTTTTGTGTTTCGTTTTTTTAATTTTCACTTTTCTTGTAATTCATATTTATTGTATTTTACAAAGTATCAGTCAGCAACAATTTGAGTTAAAAACAAACAAAACCAAAAGCCGACAGATAAGAAAACACTGGCTCTTCACTATGAATATGTTGAGAAGCACTGTTAGACATCAGTATTTGAGAAGTTGAAGAATGTATAATTTGCTCTCAGATGAGATTTTTTGGGCTCTAGATTAATTTATTAAATGACCAATTCTTTCAAACTTATTAGAAAAATTGCCTTAAACTGATTTAAGACAATTCACCAAAGCTGTTCCACTGTGAGAGTCAGGGCATACACTGAAAGATCTATAGAAAACAGTAAACTGTGTTTAAGGGAAAACTTATCCAATTACACATAAACGATTGAGAAATTGAGATCTGCTGAAAGTCTGAAATTTGGAAGATGAGAAATTGATATTCAGCTGAACAATCCTTATAAGTTCACAGCTAACTAACTGGCCTTGGAAATTAGACCAAAACGTGTGTGTGTGTGTGTGTGTGTGTGTGTGTGTGTGTGCATGTATGTGCATAATCTTTAGTTAGAACCAGTTGAAAGTTTGGAAAATAGTCATTCAGAAAATTGATTTCTAGTGAATAAATTTAATTCCAGTATTAGAGAATGCTTTGTGGACAAGTTAAGTTAGATCACAAATTTCTCTCCTGATGACTTTGGCATGGCAAGTGAATGACTCATTGTGGGCTTACCAAGAACATGTATGCATAAACCATGATGTATAGACAGGGAGAAAGCAGCTAGGATAGGACATGTGATTCCAGGCTGCTCCATCCAGTTTTTCCTTCTTTAAGAACTTTCCCAGCATTTTCTTCCATTTCTTTTTCTTTTATGGCATCATTTATTTTTACTCCTCATCTGAGGACTTAACATTCAACAATTGCTAGATTAGGAAATATCCAATTTGCTGAGGAAGGAAATTCTCCAACTCTTTTTATCTCATTGACAGGCATTCATGGAGCGACTACTTGATGCCAATCACTATGCTAGTAGGTACTGGAAATACACTCACCAAGCAGCCCTTGCACAATGTTTACACTCACTACGGCCACTTAGTATTCCCCTTTTTACTATTCTGTCTTAAAATCTAGTAGGTAGGACAGAGCAAGGGAGCTATCCATGCTTGGGGTTGGGAGAGATGGGCTAAATGGAGCATAGTGGCCCAGAATGAGAGCTGGCCCTCAAACAGGTTGAGAAAGGTTTCTCTGTGAGGGTACAGGCCAGTGCAGGGTGTCACAAATAAAGTAGGGGGTTCATACAAAAATCCTACTTACGAATGTTTATAACAGTTTTGTTCATCATAGCCCAAAACTAACACAATCCATATGTCCTTCAGTGGGGCAATGGTTAAACTGTGGTATATCTATACTGTGGCATATTATTCAGAAATAAAAATAAATGGACTATTGCTAAGTTCAAAATCTTAGGTGGATATCCAGGGAATTTGGCTGAGTAAAAAACAAGTCAGTCTCAAAGGGATAACATCCTTTAAGTAATGCAATTATAGAAGCTAGAGTAGATTAGTGGCAGGATTAAAGGTGGTGGTGGTTTAGGAGGAAGATGAGTGTGGCTGTAAAAAGGACACCATAGGAGATTCTGGTAGTCATGGGACTGTTCTGTGTATTGACTCAGGTGGTGTAGACATGAATCTCTACATACGATAAAATTTCATAGACCTAAAGACCTACGCACGTGAGTACATGTAAGACTTGGGAAATCTGAATAATTAGTTAGTTATATTAATGTCAATCTCCTAGTTTGTGATTTTACATTACAGTTTTGTAAGATGTTTCTTTGTGGGGAAATTAAGTAAAGGGTATGTGGGATCTCTCTGTATTACTTATTATACCTGTGTGAGTGAATCTACTTTTTAATCAAAATAAAACATTTAATTTTAAAAAAAGAAAAAGCTAACCAACATCAAGAGGGCACCCTTGTAGGCGGACTGCCCCATGCAGGGTGCCAGAATTGAGGAAGCTGTGGAGGGTGTTGCAGGCTGCCCAGCGTGTGGTGTTGGAGCCTGAGATGATGAGAAAGAAGTCTCTGTAGGGCTCAGGTGGCGGTGATTCTGCACAGAATCCCAGAACCTGAGAGGCAGATAGAGGGGTCCACATGGGGCAGCCAGAATGTCAAGGGTAACAAAGTTGTTGCTACAGAGACGTGGCTGGGTAAGGAATACCTGGTAAGGTGGTCATGCAGGTTGCCTTTGATGATGGGAGGTTGAAGGGGTGACTGGCCACGTCTGAGGGTGGTGCATGAGAAGATGCCAGAACTTGACCACGGAGAGGACTGTGTCTGCACAAAGGGGCAGCCTGGCATGGGATATTGGAGCCCACACAAGGTGATGAGCATATCTATGTGATAAAGTAGCTTGGAATGGGGAGTTGGGGCCCAAGAAGGCTGAGAAGAGGTCTATGCTCAGGGCATTAGAGCACAGGTCAGGTGAAGGAGGGCTTCCACATGGAACAGTGGCACATGCGGGTGCCTGGTGGAAGCGCAGGAAAGCAGTAGCTAGATGTGGGATGTTGGAATCTCAGTAGACTGAGGAGGTCATTTGCCTGGGGAGAGGGTTATGACAGTGATGGGAGATTGTTTACATTTGGGAAATTATCCAAGAAGTAAACACATTAAGGGTAAGAAGAACCAGATTTTTTTTAACTATTGGAGATAGGAGTAAAAAATATGGAAAAGAAGAAAACTAAAATTAACCCAGTGGCATTGCATTGAGATTGGAAGCAATACTATAAATTTGTTATGTTTTATATATATGTAGAATATATAAAATACAAGGATTTCCTATCTGTCTACTGAGATAGCACGGAAACAGTGACATCCAATAGCATGTAACACATGTAACACTCAAATATTGATTTCTATATTCCTGTCTTTGCTGAAAGAACTAGGGGTCCCTGAGGAAATGTCTGATTCTAAGTCTAGAACAAGGAAAATATAAAATAAGTCTGAAGTATCTTGTTTTGCAATAAAGCAAGCAAGTGCTCAAATAGTCATGGGGAGAAAGCAAAAGGATCCAGAGGCCAGTTCAGAGAAACTTGCACTGAAACAATAATAGCAGCAAAATAAATGTATTACAACCCAGTGAATACAATGAAAAATGAGTTCATAGTGATACAAATAAGTAAATTATGAAATTTACAGATCAATGTGGAACAGAATGTTTACCTTATTTCACGGTACCTCTCCCTAAACTACTTACTGGTTTTAAAGAGTCACATGACAGTGAAGAAGCCCTGCAGAAACTCCCCTAATTAAGTCAGCAAAGTGATCATAATGTGATGAATCAAAATTGTGTGCTACCTGGTAAAATGCAGTAAGAAGAGCACAACATCACTTCTATGGTATTACTGTAAAAGATGCAACCCTGTCAAAGATGCAAACCTGAATCTAATCAAGACAAAACATCGGACACACCAAAACTGAAAATACAGTCTTCAAAAGTGTCAAGACCCTGATAGTCAAGAAAAAAAATTGAGGAACCGTGTCCAGTTGAAAGAGCCTTAAAGGCCCAGGGCAATAGTGTCCTTTTGCTGTAAAAAACATTTTGGGACAATTGGCAAAAATAATGGAGTCTCTAAGGATTAAATGGTAGCAACATCATATTCATAAGAACATGAAATTTCCTGACTTTAATTGATCTTTGCTGTATAACAGGATGTCCTTATGTAACAGAATGTTCTATAGGAAATACACATTAAAGTATAGCGTGGTAATGGGACATTGGGTTCAGTGTTTTAGTATTGAATGGTTTTACTCCTAAATGATTCAGTGTTTGTTTGTTTTTTAAAGTTATTTGTTCCCTTCTGGCAATATTTCTGTTAAGTTTGAGATTGTCTCATTTTTTAATAAAATTAAAAGTTGAACAAAAAGTTTAAAAGCCAGAATCACTTGGGAAGATTTTAATAGCCCCATTCTTAGATATTGATGGTTATAAATATTAACATGAAACACATTACTGCATCATAATTGCAAACCTGTAACATAATTTTGTATTTTAAACTATAACAGAACTTCAGTCATCAGCATAGAGAGTGGTGTCATAGATACCCATGACCCAGATTCAACAATTAGCAACATGTGGCCAATCTTGTTTCATTGAAACCTTTCCCCTACTAACAGATTACTTAGAATAAAGTCCAGACATCATATCATTGGTAAACATTTTCAGTGTTCATCTCTACACAGTAACATCTTGTGTGTATTTTTCAGCTGTAACCACAACGCAGATACTCTCACACATGTGTTTCACCATTGTATTCCCACTTGCCAACAGCCAGTTGCTAATGTGAGGAATAGGGAAAGCTGGGAGGCTGGTTAGTGACATTTTTTTAAATTACAGAAAAAAGGACACCCTTTCATAGTCTTCTCTCTGGCATTTATTTTACGGTGCTTCCTCAAATATCTTCTCATTAATCTTAACAATTGTCCTATCATCCACCTTAAAGTTTTTGATGGTGATAAATAAAGGAAGTGTTAAACATTCTTTCTTGTGTGAACAGCACCTCAGGATATTCGATAGTTGTTCAGGGAAAGTTATTATTGATAGGAAAATGCCAGCTAATAAATGAATGATGAACGATAGAATTTGAATACCACCATTTTACATTCCCTGTTGAGATAATAGAACCAGGCAATAATAATAAATGACTTATCAAACTGTGAGGTGAAAACCCTGTGGGGAATTTTATAATGGTTGTATTGAACTAATAACATAAAAAAATCCATGATTAATCTTAACAAAAATAGAGGCATCCAAGTATTATATATTCCTTAATGTAAAGCAATAAGATTCACAAACCACTTTCAAAATAAGGCAGAAACTTGAAACTGATTCTGATAAAGCCTCTAGTCTAAATATCATGTTACGGGAAATACAGGGGATAAATGAGCCCATTAAATAACACCATGGGGATGCAACCAACCAAAGTCCAGAATGGAGAAATTCTAGAAGACAACAAATAACTTAAAAAAAATAGAAGGAGGAAGAGAAAATTTTTTCAAATTAAATGAGATCTCAGCAATATATTAGTGTAATGCAAATGTGTGCATTACAAATTGTACAAAATATGGGCCTTCCACTGGCTCTCAAGAAAAGGGTGGCTATACCTATTTTCTAAGTTAAATATTTAGAGGCTTCATTAATGCAAGAAAATGGATATTGAGCAATTAAGCTTGAGGGAAAATGCAAACTATACATACAACCACAGTGACAGGACTCAGATTACAATATATTTACATATGATACATTTAAATGGTGGCTGCCTTTTCAACATGACAAATTTCTAGCTGTTTATTCTGAACTGTGGTTTGTCTCTATTGTCTGTAAGAGTGAGGATTATCAGCTCCTTGCTGTTACATAGATGGTCCATCCACTAAGCATAATTCATGCCCATCACTAAAATCACGCTTAATGTTTCTGTGATCTAAATATTTTATGTTATTTACATTTGTTTTTTCTGCTTCCATGGAGAGTTCTCCAGTGAGCTGTAGTTCCATAAAATCAGCACATTTTCATCTTTGCCACACAGATAGTGGCAGGAGACTGATGTGTAAGAGAGAAAAGGATGCTTAAAACAGTAAAATTCTATTGAAAAAAAATCAATAATTTGTTTTCAGTTAGGAACAAAAGAATAAGGTTATAGATTTTTTTTTTATTCTGAAGACACAATATTGATGGGTTCCATTAAAGCCCATGAGAAATTCGATTTTTAATGGAGTTGTTCTTTCACATATGCTGAACAGATTGATTTAGGAAGTTCTTATTCACACTATTTGAAGGCAAGTGTGGAAACTGTTTCATATAAATAAGGAATATGCTAAAGCCGGAGAAATTTTTTAAAACCATGTGCAGAATATAGAGTATCACTATATTTAAATATGCTTTAAAGTAATTTTTGTTAAAAAATGTCTTTTTTTGTGCTCAATTTAAGCCACAAGGTAGTGAAATGCCACTGTGTAATTCAGCACCTTTTTCTATAAATGGCTTTCCGCGTTCCAGGAGTTTTGTAGTGCTAGACCCTAGAAACACTGACAACAACATACAATCCACAGATATCACCAGCTCGCCTCTTAATAATGACCACTTTAGGCCTAAAACATGTAATTAAGCTCCAGTACTAAGCATCTCAATGAAGGATATTGCTAAGTAACCAGTTTGCAACTTACTTAATTAGCATAAACAAAAAAAGCACCACTTAGACTTTAAGTCCTGGGGCACCAATGGGCCTCTTTTCATTTGCAGCGCTTCTTGAGCAATTTTGAAAATAGGAAGTGATAATGAAGATTATTACCCTGTTGCCCTGTTAGCCACACTTAGCATTAGAACTGGAAAGAATAAGAAATTAGAGAATCACATTAGCCCTTTTTCATATGAATTCTGAAATTCATGAATTGTTAAGTAGATTTTATTCTGGATATAGGAAGGATTCTGCGGGGGCTTAATCATTAGCAATTATTCTTGACCTCTTGAGAAAGCTTCCCGTTTTTTGAAACTCATGATGAGACTCAGTGTAAAAGGGGCTCCTGACTTGGCTCAAGGAAACACTTAAATTTTATTTTAAAGCAAATTTTGGCAAAATAGATTACAGTCCATGTTCATTCAATGATTTATAATAGTTTTTTTGGTGTCTACTACATAGAAATTATTTTAGTAGAACAAGAAGAATGTAGGGAAACCAGGTGAGAGGTTATTGCCATCATCTGAGAAAGAGACAGTAGTGGCTTCGACCAGGTAAATTTAGTGATGCTAGAAATAAGAGATCTGAAAGGATCCAAGATAGATGTGGGAGATAAATATAGCAGGATCAGCTGTTATAGAGAAAGAAAGAAATCAAAAGGATGTTTAGTCTTCTAAGATAGACAACTTGGTAGAATATGGTCCTAATTAGTTCAATACAAATACACAACGGAGGTTAGTTATTTAAAGTCATAGCTTTGGAAACAGTTAACCTTTTCATTTTTAGTGCTGTACTTTTTGCTCTCATGTTGGATGTTCTTTAAGGCAGAAATTCTTTCATTCATCTATATTTATTGAGTACCTACAATGCCTTGTGTTGCAATAAGCCTTTGGGGACCCAGCCCCTGCTTCGTGGAAAAAATGGATATTTAACAAATAGTCACACTAATGAAACTGTAATTATAAACTGAAGTAAACGTTCTGAAGGAACAGAGTATGGTTCTCTGGGAGTATATAGTAAATAAATTTGCCAGAGGCAGGGATGGAGTGACAGTGTTGAAAAGGCTTCCATGAGTAAATGTCTCTTGAGCTCAGTTCTAAAATGTAAGAGTTACATAGAATAAAGTGTGTAGTATGTTTATGTATGTGTGTGTGTGACAGAGAGAGAGAGAATGGGAATGGAATGGAGAGGAATGGGATATTCCAGGTAGAGGGAACAGAAACTGCTAAGGTTTTGGCTTCTAGAGATTAAAACCAAGGCCATTGGCTGGGCTGGGTGGCTCATGCCTGTAATCCCAGCACTTTGGGAGGCCGAGATGGGCAGATTACAAGGTCAAGAGATCGAGACCATCCTGGCCAACATGGTGAAACCCCGTCTCTATTAAAAATACAAAAATTACCCGGGCGTGGTAGCATGTGCCTGTAATTCCAGCTACTCAGGAGGCTGAGCAGGAGAATCACTTGAACCCGGGAGGCAGAGGTGGCAGTGAGCTGAGATCATGCCACTGCACTCCAGCCTGGAGACAGAGTGAGGCTCCGTCTAAAAAAAACACAAACAAAAACCAAGGCTGTCTAAGTACAGAGAGGAGGAAGAGAAAAATGCAAGGGGAACCTCAAAAGACAAGTAGAAGCTACCTCATGCTGGGCGCTGGGCTTCGTAGGATAATGTACAGATTTAGGACTTTATTCGAAGACGATAGCAATCCACTGAAGCGTGACAAGACAACTCTGGCCACTATGTGGAAGCTGAATTCGGACACTGTTGGGAAAATAGTCAGGAGGCAATGCAAGTTCCTGAGCAAGAGATAAAGATGGATTAAACACGGATGATAGCAATTGAGAAGGAAAGAAGCCATTCTTAAGAGGACTTTGTATGAACAGGATATTTGGGGTGAGGGTGGGTTGGCAAGCTGATGTCAAAGGTGATTCTAGGCTTCTTGGCTTGTGTGACCAAATGGAATACAGTTGTTGCTCACCAAATTATTTAAACCTGGAAGGAGACTGGGTTTGGAGAAGGGAGACATTCATTCTCTTTGAGATGTATTGAGTTCTGAGGTAACTTTGAGACACTAAATTAAAGATTTAAAGATGCCTTTGAATATATAGATTTGGAGTAAAGGACAGAACTTCTGGATGCACATATGTGGATAAGTAGAAATCCAAGCCATGAATGGTGAGATTATGGAGTCACACAAGAGATTTGAGGACTGAGCCTTGAGAAGTTTTGGCATTCATGACTGGGTGGAAGAAGGCAAACTTGTCATGGTGAGAAGGCAGGACAGGCCACAAAAATAGGAAGAGAATGAACGGCAGAGTGAGATATTATGGAAGCTGGGAGATGAGAGTGTTCAATTAGGGGAGAGAGGTAACAGCAGCAAAAACTACTGAGAAAAAAGTCAAGTAAGTTGAGGACAGAAAAATATGTGGGATTAGCAACAGTAATTCACAGTTTTGATGGGAACAGATGCCAGATCAGTGCCCTAATATTCCTGCTTGTAGTTGGTGTTGAGCATATTCCTGGGACCTTTGATTTTCTATGTTCTGACACTCACAGATTTCAAGACAAACAAATGATAGAAGGCAGAAATCTTTGGACTTGGTATTAGAAGACTTTACTTCAAGTCTTTGTGCCTCTGCCTACCGTCACATGACCTTAGGCAAATTGTTTTCTCTTTCTCTTTAAGCCCCAGTTATGCAACTGCAAAGGAATTGGGATAAAACAATTACTTCATAAGGTTATTGTAAAAAAAAAAAAAAGTGTGTGTATTATCTCATTGCCTGCTACATACAAAGAACATAATCAACTGTATATATAATGTATATACAATTTTATCTGCATTTTCTAAATTCTCTAAACAGCATATTATTAATCTTTTAATCAAAGAAAAACCAAAATCATAAACTTTATTTGTAAGTGAGAAAATTATAATGGAAAAGGTCTTTGAAAAATCTGACTGTCTAATCAGTAAGAAACATTCCTGGGCCATGTGCCCATACAGGATTTTAACTATATGTGTCCATAGATTTTACATGTTACAGAATCCAAGGTAAAGAGCTGTTTTGTGTGATGTGGCTGTCTCTGGGCTCTCCTAGATTTTTGTAACTATAATGAGCGTTGAAACTTTGATTCACTTTCCTGCTTGGGTATTCTTCTATGTCCATGGAAATCAACATTGTCAATTTTGATTTCTTCTTTTTTGTCATTTACTATGAAGTCAGACATAATTTATAAAGAAACATTGAAAACTACCTCTGTTACCACTGATATTTCCCAAAGATAGCGAGGTACCTTTCTAAATTGAACTCTGATTTTTGCAGAAAGGATGAGTGATGGTTATTCTTTTGATGATCAATATGGAAAAGGTGTGAAACCCACAAGGATCACTGAAAAAATTTAATGAGGCTTCAATTTAATTATGTCAGAATTCAGTGTTTAAAACTCCAAATAATTTGCTTTACCCAGTATAATTTCAGAGGCAGAGGAACACAGAAAGAAAATCCTGGACTGGGGATTGGTGTCCAGCTCCTGCCCTACCACTAATGAGCTGTGAGACCCTGGATGAGGCTCACACTGCTCTAGTCCAGTTTGCTTTGGGGATAAAAAGATAAAGAAAAAAAAGGGAAAGAGAAGAGGTTGAACCACTGTTCCTTTTGTTTGTAATATTCACCAACTTTCCGATTCTGTAACAAAATCATGACATCCCTTTAAGGAAGACTCTGTTAGGGTGTTTTAGTGTTTGTTTACAGATTATTAACTGACACAGAACTGTCAGTTGGGAGTTAGCGATCAGGGAAAATTAAAAGTCCTTCGTTTGGAGTCAATGCCAATAAAAAATGAATCTAAGATGGAAAATAAAGCATATCTGAAAATGCTGTGTAAGTCTGTAGGGAAAGTAATGGTAATAAAGAGATAACCAAGTATCTTGTTGCTCTTTTAATAGACACGTAAAAGCAGGGGCTTGAAAACACGCATTGCTCTGGAAAGAGTTTAATGATTTATTTTGCTTTAGTTTATTGAATTTAACTTAATTTTATGATGTGCCAAATTATTCTTAGGAAACACAAGTTAAAATGTTATTAAAATATAAACACATTTTACATTAATAAAATTTTAGTGGAAATTAGAAAAGCAAACTATTAAAGGATCTGTCTCTTCATGTTTTAAAAAAGCAACCAAATACCACATTTCTTTTTTGTGTACAGTTTTTACTTGTACGTTTTAGGCAGCAGAATTACAGAATTTTTTCTCTCTCTCTTATCAGTGACTAAAGATAATCTGGAAACATTTTGGTTGCAAAATAATTGTTTTTAGAAAGGAAGAGCCTGCTTGCATGCAGAAGAATGCAAATAAGATACTGAAAAACCCTCTGATCTTTTGCCTAGACCCCCTTTTCCCTCTAAAGCAACTACTGTTAACAGTTTGGATTGGATCTTTCCAGACCCTTTCCTGTGGATTTTATACTCATAAATAAGTACCTATGAAAATATACAGAATTATTCAGTGTTTTGTATTTTTGTTTGAATTAGATTTTATATTATTTATACTACTTTTTTTTTTTGAGATGGATTCTCGCTGTGTTGCCAGGCTGAAGTGCAGTGGTGCCATCTCGGCTCACTGCAACCTCTGCCTCTGCGGTTCAAGCCATTCTCCTGCCTCAGCCTCCCCAGTAGCTGGGACTACAGGCACCCGCCACCACACCCAGCTAATTTTTTGTATTTTTAGTAGAGACTGGGTTTCACCATATTGGCCAGGATGGTCTCGATTTCTTGACCTCATGATCCTCCCACCTCGCCCTCCCAACGTGCTGGGATTACAGGCATGAGCCACTGTGCCCGGCCTATACTACGTTTTAAAACTCGAAACTGTCTTGGAGATACAACATTAAGATTTACCTTACTCTACTTAACTCCTCTATAGTACTCCTCATTAACCTTGGACCATAGTTTACTTAACTTTTTCTCTAAAAAGCATCTTTGTTTCAAAATGCTCCTAAGCTTAACTATAAACTTAATAACTTTGTCTTACTTTAAAACTCTAGTCTGAAATATGTTTAAATCCACTAATGTAGTACTCATTTTGATATTAGCATTTTTTTTTCTTTTTTTTTTGAGACGGAGTTTCGCTCTTGTTTCCCAGACTGGAGTGCAATGGCATGATCTCTGGCTCACATCCACCTCCGCCTCCCGGGTTCAAGCCATTCTTCTGCCTCAGCCTCCCGAGTATTAATCCCCTCCTGGGATTACAGGTATGTGCCACCACACCTGGCTAATTTTGTATTTTTAGTAGAGATGGGGTTTCTCCATGTTGGTCAGGGTGGTCTCGAACTTCCAGCCTCAGGTGATCCACCCACCTCGGCCTCCCAACGTGCTGAGATTACAGGCGTGAGCCACTGTGCCTGGCGATATTAACATTTTGGATCCAGTAATGTGAATATGTGGAATGGAAGTACACGAATCATACAGGATGTTGTCCAGAGGCTATTGTGGATGTCTAAGTATTTTGCGTCCTTTTTTAAAGGAAATATAATTATAGGTTTAATTGTCAAGAGATTCTGAGACTAAATTATATATGTTGGCAAATGGAATTCCTTTCGGACTGTTTACTTGTTACTATAATGCGTGAGTGTTGTTCAAACTTTTTAAGAACCCCTCATGGCAGAGGAAAGCAATAGTGGCCCCATTAGATGCAAACTTAGCCTGAAGCAGTTTACCAGCAAGCAGGGAATTTCTTTGAAGTCTAGTATTTTATCTTAAATATTCATGTGAAGTCTTAGTTTAATTTTAGAAAGTTATTTTAGATTACATAATATATAGTAAATTTGAAAGTCCAGGAAGATGCAGCCTATTTATCCTGTGGCTTTGAGTGCTCACAAGGTGTATTGCTGGATGGCCTTGCAAGTCCAAGGGTCCCAGTTAGAAACTGACACACAGTGCTTCCTTATGAGGTACTACCATTGAGAAGTGTCTGGCAAAATCACTAATACCTACTCTTAGAATATCCTTGTAGTGCATTAAAACCTAATTTTTCACATATGTCTTTATCAAGGCTCTATGCTTACAAGTAGTAAAAACCCATACAACTACTTTAATTTTTAAAAATGTGTGTGTTGGGAGTGGGGGTGTTTATTAAAGGCAGAGAGATTAGTGTGTCTCACGGAACTAATGTCAGAGAGTAGAGGGCTTCATGAAGAACCACAGTTGGGAACAGGAAAGGAACAAAGCCCAGGTGAGCTGGGATCTGTGCCTCACTGGGTCTAACTGGATCTTCTCCTGACTTTTCTCTGAGCATATGATCCACGAGTCTCCATCTCTTTGCATATCACGAGCCAACATGTGAGACCTCTGCTCAGCTTCTGTATCAATGTGCTATCTGTTCAAATGACTAGGAGAGGCTAATTAGCATTTTTCAGTTTCAATTTTATATTTACAAGGAAGGGACTCTGTATCAGAATAGGTCTCCAAACATGGGTATACTTGAGTTGGGATAAGAATTCAAGACTAAGAATTATTCACAAAAAAGTGACAAAATGTAGTACTGACATATTTCGGTTACCTTGTAATTGACATAATTGCCTTTAAATTGTCTATAGAAGGCTTCCTATCGCCGTATAACTTCCCATCTTCCAAAATACTTATTTCAAGAACCTATAAATCATAACAACGAGTATATTAATACATCAAAAATATATCTGGCTTGTGTTCTATTACTCGGATTCCTCAGGTGCCAGAAACTAAAGATGAAGTCAGTTAATTCAGTTAAAGAAGGGAAAATAGGGGTAATTTAACTGTCCTCTAGCTGAAAGTCCAGGTTCAGGGTCATACTCTGAACACAATTATATAATAATTATTATTTATACTTGGACAGTTTACTTAAGGGAGAAAATCAATGTTTTCCCTAACTCCAAGGGAATCTAAATTTTCTTGGAATGTTAAGTTGATTATACCAAGATTAATGAAACTATAGTCAGTGAGTAAAACAGTAAAAGCCATCTTACTAAACTCTTCTATCACTTTTAATGATTTGTCTATATATTTGGTAAGGCAGAGTTCTATATAAACAATTATATCATCGCAAATGATGTCAATTTCATTTTCTTCTTTTCATTTCTTTCATTTCTAGTTCTTATTTTAATGCCTAGAAATCCGATACAATTGTTGACTAATACACTGATAATAGGCACTCATGCCTCATTCCTGATTTTAAAGGAAATGCTTCAAAGATTTTACCATTTATAATGATGTATGCTCTAGACATTTTTAAAAATTATACTTTAAGTTTTAGGGTACACTGCACAACATGCAACTTAGTTACATATGTATACATGTGCCATGTTGGTGTGCTGCACCCATTAACTTGTCATTTAACATTAGGTATATCTCCTAATGCTATCCCTCCCCGCTCCCCTGGGAACTGAACAATGCTCTAGTCGTTTTTAAAGCATGCCATTTATCAGGCTAAGAAACCTTTTGTTCCTAATTATGTAAGAAATTGTGTGGATTTTTTCCTGTATATGAGTGTTACATTGTGTCATTTTTTTGGTATTAGAGAAGATAATTATATGATATTTTTTCTCTTTAAATCTCATATTGTTGGCCAGACATGGTGTCTCATGCCTGTTATCCCAGTGATTTGAGAGGCTGAGGTGGGAGAATGGCTTGGGCCCAGGAGTTAGAGACCAGCCTAGGCAACATAGCGAGACTCCATCTCTACAAAAATAAAAAATTATTTGGGCATGGTGGCATATGCCTGTGGCCCAAGCTACTTGGCAGGCTGATGTGGGAGAATCTCTTGGGCCCAGAGGTTTGAGGTTGTGGTGAGCTATGATTACGTCACTGCACTCCAGCTTGGACGACACAGCAAGACCCTGCCTCTTAAATAAATAAATAAATCTCATTTTTTTTTGTAAAAGAAATTTATAAATTTTCTAGTACAGATTGAGCATCCCCAGTCTGAAAATTTGAAATCTGAAATGCTCCATAATCTGCAACTTTTTGAACACCAACATAATACCACAAGTGGAAAATTCTAGGTGTAAGTACTTAATACAAACTTTGTTTCTTGCATAAAATTATTAAAAATACTGTATAAAATTACTTTCAGTCGTGTGTATAATGTGTATATGAAACGTAAATGAATTTTGCGTTTAGACTTGGGTCCCATCCCCAAGATATATCATTATATATATGCAAATATTCTGAAATCTGAAAAAGTCAAACACTTGAAACACCTCTGGTTCCAAGCATTTTGGATAAGTGATACTTAATCTGTAGTAAACCATTCTTGCATAATCGATATAAACCCAATTTTATCATGGTATGTTACATAATATATTACAATGTTGGGCTCAATTTGAAAAGTTCTTTTAGGAATTTAAAAATTTATATTCCTTATTAGACTGGGCCTCTAATTTTCTTTCTTATAATGTTTATCTGGGTTTGGTGTCTGCTTTGCCCTGACCTATACCTCCTTTTCTGTTAACTGGCACAATGTGCATAAAAGTTGGATCTCTTTCTTTAAATTTTGGTAGCACTCATCTGTGAAATCGACTGTACCTGTTCTTGTGTTTTGTGTTTTGGGATTTTGGGGGAAGGAGTTTCCTTGAGTCAGTTGTGATTAATTTGTTTTCTGGACATTTCATTCAGGTTTTAAAAATTGTTGGCTTATAGCTATTGGTAATACTTTTCTTTTTTTGTTTCCTTGAAAGTTCTATTTTTTGTGTATGTTGTTGTATCTTGTTTTCATTCATAATCGTTCTTATTTGAACCTTCTGTCCTTTCTTGATCTCACCAGAGGTGTGTTTATTTTGTTGGTTTTTCAGACAACCACCTTTTGACTTTATTGAACTTTATGTAGTATTTTTTTCTATTTTAATAATAGCTATATTATATTTTTACCTCTTTCTATTTTCTTTGTTTTACATCTTTTTTCTAAACTTGTAAGCTGGACACTTAGTTCAATAATTTTGAGACTTCTTTGTTGATAAGTATTTTTTGTACAAACAAATCTGTGAGGTGATAAAGATACTCCCACTACACAGAAAAGGCTGGTTCTGCTCACATTATATCTAAATATGCTTTTAGTTTTGCATGTATCTGTTCATTCAAAAAGCATTTATTAAGAGCCTATTGTTTTCCCAGTTCTGGGTTTTGCAAGTAGAGAAAGGGAGACATAATCTAAAAATTCCAAGAGTCTATATTCTTTTCTTGTTTCAGAATAAAAACTCTGTTATTTTGTTTAATAAGCATGCAATAAAATGTGTAAGTCTTAAGCACTTGAATTGAGTTTTGAGAATTTATAGACTCAAAACAAGTTAAGAATATTTATTTCCCAGCGGAAATCTCCCTTCAGCCCCTTTCCAGTTGTCCCACCTCTCCCTGAACGTGATATGCTTTCTATCATCACAGATCAGTTTTGCTGGTATTTGAATTTTGTACATATAGAACCAGACAGTATCTACTCATTTACGTAGTTCTCCTCTCACTTAACATCATGCTTTCGACCAAAGCATCCAGTTGTCGCATCTATCATTTTTTTATTGTCTAGTATCATTACATTCTGTAGATATATGATGATTTATTTATCCTTTCTCCTCTTGATAGATATTTGGTTCATTTCCCGTTCTTAGTAATTTTGATGAGATTGCTACAAACTTCCTTCACAAGTATTTTGATTGACATACATTTTAATTTATTTGTGTAAACATTTAGAAGTGAAATTGCTAGATTGTAGGGTAGAAATTTGCTTAGACTTTAAACCATGATTGTCAGAATATAATCTGTGGATCTCTGGGAATCTTAACAATATTGCAGGAGGTTCTCAAGGTCAAAATTATCTTTGCGATAATTCTAACATGGTATTTTAGTTTTTGCTGAGTTGACATTTATTGCAATGATATAAAAATAATGTTGGATAAAAAAATGAGGCTGAGCGTGGTGGCTCACACCTATAATACCAGCACTTTGGAAGGCTGAGCCAGGGTGATCACTTGAGCTCAGGAGTTGAAGACCAACCTGGGCAACATAACGAGACCCCCATCTCCACAAATAATTTAAAAATTAGCCAGGCATGGTGGCATGTTCCTATGGTCCTAGCTACTCAGGAGGCTGAGGTGGGAGGATTGCTTGAGCTCAGAAGGTCAAGGCTTGCAGTGAGCCCATACCACTGTACTCCAGCCTGGACCCTGTCTTCAAAATAAATAAATAAATAAATAAATAAAAGGCCAGGCGCAGTGGCTCACGCCTGTAATCTCAACACTTTGGGAGGCCGAGGCGGGCGGATCACGAGGTCAAGAGATCGAGAGCATCCTGGCTAACACGGTGAAACCCCGTCTCTACTAAAAATACAAAAAATTAGCTGGGCATGGTGGCGGGTGCCTGTAGTCCCAGCTACTTGGGAGGCTGAGGCAGGAGAATGGCGTGAACCCTGGAGGCGGAGCTTGCAGTGAGCAGAGATGGCGACAATGCACTCCAGCCTGGGCGACAGAGCGAGACTCCGTCTCTAAATAAATAAATAAATAAAAATGAGACTTTACCAATAGTGATGGTATTACAGTATTATTTGCTACCACACACCCTCTGTATGCCAGTTTCAATTAAGAATGTCCTTGGGTCGGGCGCGGTGGCTCATGCCTGTAATCCCAGCACTTTGGGAGGCTGTGGCAGGTGGGTCATTGGAGGTCAGGAGTTTGAGACTAGCCTGGCCAACATGGTGAAACCCCGTGTCTACTAAAAACACAAAAATTAGTCAGGTGTGATAGGGCACGCCTGTAATCCCAGCTACTCCAGAGGCTGAGGCAGGAAAATCCCTTGAACCCGGGAGGTGGAGGTTGCAGTGAGCCGAGATCACGCCACTGCACTCCAGCTTGAGAGACAGAGCGAGAGTCTGCCTCAAACAAACAGACAAACAAACAAAAGAATGCCCTTGATGAATCAGTCATACGTTTTTAATTTTATTAAATTTAAACTCTTAAGTATTCATCTTTTGAATAATATGTGCGGTAAAATGGGAAGGATTGTTTGAGTTACAAGCTGAACCAGCTGGTTTTTTTCATGGAGTACAACTTTTTATTGACAACCTGTTATTCAGTCTTACATATTTGTCAGATATGTTCTTGTATGTGAACAAAGTAAGCTTGTCACTTTAAGGAAAATCATGTTTGTTGTCAGTGACACAATTTGAGCTTTCAAACAAAAGTTAGAATTTTAAGCCATATGTATTGGCCACCAAGAGATTAACAGCTTTTTAGTACTCATGCTCTTTCCTGATGATATTGCTGGTGATATTAACAAATGCAATATCAAAAGATTGCATAATGAAATGAGCCAATATTTGGAAGACCCATATAACTCAGAGAACCAGTATTCTCTAAATGATCACTGCCTGGTGTTACAAAATCATATATGGGGTAAAAATGAATTCAAAGTAAAAGGAGGACCAATGAACTTTAATGTAATTGAGTAAATAAAAGTTCATTGATATGATTTGATTCCATATTGCAGCCAACTTTTAAGAATCTACTGCTAATTGGGTGTTGGTTTACTATCAAACAAAAATAGCCACGATTGTCTAAAAAATGGCTATTAAAATAGCCCTTTCTTTCCTAACTACCTTTCTCTATGTGGTCACATCTTCTTCATATACTTCAACACACAAAAACAGGAGAGTGAACACAGAGAAAGATACAAAAATCTAGCTGTCTTCTATTAAAGCAGATTTTAAAGAGATTTGTAAAAATGCAAAATGTTTTCACTCATCAATTCTTTGTTTTATCAAATATTGTAATTTCTCATTAAAATGTTACTTTTGTTATTTTAAAATGAACTCATAAGGGAATATTTAAAATTTTGCTCAGTTTTAATTTCTAATATGGCACATATGGTAGATAATTACCATATAAACAAAAGCTCTTTGGGCTCCTTAAGAGAGTAAAGGGGTTCTGACTAAAACTCTTTACTCTCTTAATTAAGAGAGTACTTAAGAGAGTAAAGGGGTTCTGACTAAAATTCTTTACCCTCTTAGTTATTAAGTGAGAAACACTTATAAGAAACTGGCAAACACGTCTTCAGAGTGATTTTACAATTTTATACTCACAAGCAGTGTATGGGTTTCAGTTTCCCTATATCTTCTCAAACACTGGCTGTTTATTTATTTATTTATTTATTTATTTATTTATTTATTTTAACCATCCTTGAGGGTGTGAATTTATAACTCATTGCAGTTTCCATTTGCTTCATTCTGTTTGTTAATGATATGGAGCATCTTTCCATGCCTAGTGGCCATTCCTATATCTTTGATGATTTGTGTGCTCAAGTTTGTGCCTATCGTTTTATTGGGACATTTATCTTTTTATTATTTTGTAGAGTTTTATGTAATCTGTACACAAGTCTTCCATTAGATATTAGCTATAAATATATATTTTTTCTGCTCTATAGTTTGTCTACTCATTTTCTTAATGGTGTCTTTTACTGAGCATTTTTTTTTAAAAGTTAATCAAGTCTAATTAATCTTTTTTCCTTTATGGTTTCTATGTTTGCCTACCTAAACATTGCAAATATATTCTTGTTCATTTTTTTACAGCTTTATGGTTTGGGTTTTATGTTTAGGTTTGTGATCCATATCAAATTAACTTTTGTTTCTAGAGTAAGAAAGGGATCTAGGTTTATTTTTTAATATCTGCTATGGTTTGAATATGTCCCCCACATTTCTTGTATTGGTAACATAATCCTCAAATTCGTATGTTCATTGGCGGTGGGGCCCTTGGGAGGTAAGTAGGATTAGATAAGGTCGTCAGGGTGGGGCCCCCATAGTATGACTCATGGCTTTATAAGAAGAGGAAAAAAGACCTGAGCTGACAGGCACACTCTTGCCCTCTCACTATGGGATGCCGTTTGTCATGTTATGAGGTTGCAAAAAGGCACTCACCAGATGCCAGTACCATGCGGCTGGGCTTTCTAGCTTCCACAGCTGTAAGAAATAAATTTCATTTTTTTATAATTCATTTCTATATACTCTCAGGTATTCTGTTATAGCAACACAAAATGAATTAAGACAATTTAGTTCATTTGCTGTAGCAACAGAAAAAACACTGTTCACTGAATTCTATTTCTATTGGTTACCTGTACTCTCCATGTTTCTGTGCATCTATTTTATATGAATATCATGTGGTCTTGATTATTGTAGCCTTATAGAGAGCCTTTAAATAAAATAGCATATGTCCTCTAAAGTTATACCTTTCTTTAAAAAGACTAGCCATTCAGTATTCTTTGCATTTCCAAATTAATTTTAGAATAGTCTTGTCTAGTTCTTAAGTAGCCTTTAGAAATTTTGATAAGGATTGCACCAAAGCTATATATCAATTTAAGGAGAATGGACATCTTGACAATATTGAGTCTTTCAAATTGAACATTTAGATATCAATTTCTAGGTCTTACTAATTTTACTAAGCAATATTTTATAATTTTCAGAATAAACTTCTCACATATATTTATTCCAAGATATTTGTTTTTGATGCTATTGTAAATGGTATTGTAAGTTGATTTTTCTGAATACCCATTGTTAGTAAATATTGATATTATAATGTGTGATATTGCTAAATTTACTTATTAGCTCAAGTAGGTTGTGTATCCTTTTGGATAAGTGTATAATCATGTCATTAATAAATTAAAATGTTTTACTTACTTTCTAAACTGTATGTGTTTTATTTCTTGTTCTTGCTTTATTGAGCTCTCTGGGAGCTCCAGTAAAATTTTGAATAGAAGCACTGAGAATAAATATTGTTTTCTCTTTTCCTGAATCTTAAGAGTATTTGGTTTTCACCATTAAATAGATTTTAAATTTGTATTTATTTTAAATGTATTTTATCAAGAGGAAATTCTTTCTATTTCTAGTTTGCTGAGAGTTTTATCATGAAGGATGTTAAATATTATGCCTTTCAAAGCATCTATGAAGGTGGTTATGCTATTCTTCATTGTATTAATGTGATGTATTCTATTGATTGATTTCCTAATGTCATATTCCTCTTGCATTTCTAAAATACATCAATTGATAATGATGTTTTATCTAAATTATATGTTACTAGTTTACCTTTACAAATACTTTGTGAAGATTTTGTGTCTATGTTCACAAGCTGTGGTGTCTTTTCTTTAATCTTTTGTAGTTGTGTTATTAACAAAGTTATACTGGTTTTATAAAATGAATTGGAATTGGCCTTTTCAATGTTTTCTGAGTTTCTATAGTATTAAGATTGTGGATGTGAAAATATTTTTTCTTTAATTCTGATTGTATTTGCCTTTTGGGCATAGGATACCCTATTTTTAAGAACGTACTTATTTTGGTGTATGTTTTCCTGGTTAATTGGTTCTTTTATTATTATTTCTATTAATACAGACACACACCACACAAGGATGTTGTAGTCAATGATATACCACATATACTATGGTGGCCCATAAGATTATAAATGGAGATGAAAAATTTTTGTTGTCTAGTGACGTCACAGCCATCATAATGTCAGTGCAACGTATTACTCACGTGCTTGTGGGAATGCTGGTATGAGCAAACCTGCACTGCCATTATCTAAAAGTATGTTGCTGATTTATGCATTTGCTATACTATATACTTTTTATCATTATTTTAGAGTGTACTCTTTCTATTTATATATAAAAAAGTTAACTGTAAAATAGCCTCAGGCATGTCGTTCAGGAGGTATTACAGAGAAAGGCATTGTTATCCTAGGAGATGACAGCTCCAAGTATGTTATTGCCCTTGAAAGACCTTCCAGTGGGATAAGATGTGGAGGTCAAAGAAAGACAGTGATGTTGATGATCCTGACCCTGTGTAGCCCCTAGGCTAATGTGTGTGTTTTGTCTTAGTTTTTAACAAGAATTTAACAAGAATTTAAAAGTAAAAATTAAAATTTAAAAACAAAAGCTTACAGAGTAAAAATATAAAGCAGAAAAATATTTGTGGTATACAGCTGTACGATGTATTTGTGCTTCAAACTAAGTGTCATTAAGAAGGAGTAAAAAAGTTAAAAAATTAAAAAGTTTGTAATTAAAAATTGACAGTAAGCTAAGTTTAATTCGTTACTGAAGAAAAGATATTTGTAATAAATGTAGCATAGTC
This sequence comes from Homo sapiens, assembly GCF_000001405.40. Lineage (NCBI taxonomy): Eukaryota > Metazoa > Chordata > Mammalia > Primates > Hominidae > Homo > Homo sapiens. The sequence continues at coordinate 156,262,096 of NC_000005.10, forward strand.
TAAGTGTCCAGTATTGATAAAGTCTATGGTAGTATAGAGTAGTGTCCTAGGCCTTCATCTTTACTCTCCCCTCACTCACTGACTCACTCAGAGCAACTTCCAGTCTTGCAAGCTCCATTCATGGGAAGTGCCCTGTACAGCTATACCATTTTAAAAAATCCTTTACACTGTATTTTTACTGTACACTTTCTATGATTAGATATGTTTAGGTACATAAATTCTTATCATTGCATTACAGTTGCCTGCAGTATTTGGTACAATAACATGCTGTACAAATTTATAACCCAGGAGCAGCAGGTTATACCATGTAGCCTAGGTGTGTATTAGGCTCTATCATCTAAATTTGTACAGGTGCACTCTATGATGTTCGCACAATGACAAAACCACCTAATGATTTAATGATACTAAGTATTTAAAACTGTGAATTATTAGGTAAATTTTTATTTTTTTTATTTCCATAGGTTTTTGGGGAACAGGTGGTGTTTGGTTACATGAGTAAGTTCTTTAGTGGTGATTTGTTAGATTTTGGTGCGCTCATCACCTGGACAGTATACACTGTACCCAATTTGTAGTCTTTTATCCCTCACCCTCCACCTATCCTTTCCCCCAAGTCCCCAAAGTCCACTGTATCAGTCTTATGCCTTTGCATCCTCATAGCTTAGCTTCCACTTACGAGTGAGAACATACAGTGTTTGGTTTGCCAATCCTGAGTTACTTCACTTAGAATAATGGTCTCCAATTCCATTCAGGTTGCTGTGAATGCCATTATTTTGTTTCTTTTTATGGCTGAATAGTATTCCATGGTGTGTGTGTGTGTGTGTGTGTGTGTATACATATATATATATACACACACATATATACACACATATATATACACTACAATTTATTTATCTACTCATTGGTTTATGGGCATTTTGGATGTTTCCATATTTTTGCAATTGTGAATTGCACTGCTATAAACATGGGTGTGCAAGTACCTTTTTTTATCCTTTTTGTGTAATGACTTATTTTCCTCTAGGTAGATACCCAGTTGTAGGATTGCTGGATCAAATGGTAGTTCTACTTTCAATTCTTCAAGGAATCTCCACCCTGTTTTCTATAGTGGTTGTACTAGTTTACCTTCTCATCAGCAGTGTAAAAGTGTTCCCTTTTCACCGAATCCTTGCCAGCAACTATTATGTTCTGACTATGGCCATTCTTGCAGGAGTAAGGTGGTATCTCATTGTGGTTTTGATTTGCATTTCTCTGATCATTAGTGATATTGAGCATTTTTTCATATGTTTGTTGGCCATTGTATATCTTCTTTTGAGAATTGTCTATTCATGTCCTTAGCCCATTTTTTTTATGAAGTTTTTTTTCTTGCTAATTTGTTTGAGTTCCTTGTAAATCTGAATATTTGTCTGTTGTCGAATGCATAGGTTGTGAAGATTTTCTCCCACTCTGTGGGTTGTCTCTTTATTTTGCTGATTGTTTCTTTTGCTGTGCAGAAACTTTTTAGTTTAATTAAGTTCCTATTTAACGCTGTTTTTGTTGCATTTGCTTTTGGATTTTTGGTAATGAAGTCTTTGCCTAAGCCAATGTCTAGAAGGATTTTTCTCATGTTATCTTCTAGAATTTTTATGATTTCAGGTCTTAGATTTAAGTCTTTGATCCATCTTGAGTTGACTTTTGTATAAGGTGAGAGATGAAGATCCAGCTTCATTCTTCTACTTGTGGCTTGTCAATTATCCCAGCACCATTTGTTGAGTAGGATGTCCTTTTTCCACTTTAAGTTTTTGTTTGCTTTGTCAAAGATCAGTTGGCTATAAGTATTTGGGTTTATTTCTGGGTTCTCTATTCTGTTGTGTTGTTCTATGTGCCTATTTTTAGGTTCAAATTTTAAGATATGTCTTTTGCTCAAGCAAGTCTAGTGAAATTTCTGGAGAATTCTTCTGGAATGTTGTTTAGATTGATTGTAAAAAAAAAGAAAAGAGGATAGTTAGGAAATAGAGAGGACAGTTTGGAGGCTTTAATATACGTATATGTTAGAGAAGAAAGTGTAATTTCATTTAAAAATAGAAAGTGAACGTAACATTTGAAGAGATAATAGCAAAGAATTTTCCAGAAATAAAGTCAGGAATCATAAGATTGAAAGTGAACCTTCAAGTCCCAAAGAGGCAAGACTAAGTCCCCAGTTAGATATTATCTTTGTGGTAAAACTTCAGATCATTAAGGAACACTGAGCACTCTTTAAAACTACTAGAAAGAAATGACAGATTCCCTACAGAGAAACTAAATTGTCTGTTAGCATCAGCAGTTTTTCTGGAAAATATAGAAATTATATGTGCTGAAAGGGAATATATACAAAATTTTCATAAATGTCTTGTAATAATTATATTTTAGTTAATATCAAAGTCATTGGCATAAGATATTCCTGAGTTCAAATTCCAATGCTATCACTTCCCAGGTCCTGAGATTATCACTTTGTTTTAAGCATTCCTTTCCTTTTTTGGGTAAATTGATACACTAATAATACCCATGTAAGAGTTGCTTCAGATTTAAATTAGATAATGCATTAGAAAGTACTTAGCACAACAAGTATCAACCAGAAAGCACTGAAAAGTTACCTGAGAGACAAAAAAGTTTGAAACCACAACAGTTTGGGCATGTTAACCAAGCTCAGAGCACTGACCAACCTACTAGCATGTAACAAGGTAGAGGATTTTGTCAATTTTGTTCACTGCTTTTTTCCCCAGCACCTAGAACAGTGCCTGGGAATTCAGTAGACATCAAGTAAATGTTTAGCAAGTAAGTGAATGAAGGAGTGAATTCTTCATTCCAAACTCTGCAGCTGGAATGAGAAGCAGAGAGCATATTAGAACATGTTATTTCAACACACTCAGTCACCACCATCATTCAGTGAATTAGATGAGTGGGGAGAAGTGAGCAACCCAATAGTGATGATAACATAGCAGCAAAGGAGAACTAGAAGCCCAGCCTTTTCAGTCTTGCCTAATATTCCTTTATACTTTACCACTGAAGGCAATAGAAACAATGGCTCTGCATCAGTCTCTGCATTCCAGCCTCAGCCTTCATCTATTGTAATTAGTGGGATTTCTTTACTTCTTTGGAACAATGAGTCAACCTGGTTCTAAAGCTTATACTCTGAATAGTTATGCTCTGCCCCCCTAGTCTTTGGGGAGGGAGGTAGGGAGAAGTTCCACTATGAAACCAGTGGATAGTATTAGTGATGGATAGGAAGATTCTAAGAAATATTGTTTCCTAATTACTCAGTTACGGAGAATGGATTTGCATGTCCTTTGAAAAGCTAGCCAGTTAAATGCAATTGATCCTCATTACGTTTTCTGCCAGAAAAATGAATGTGGTTACATGGGCCTGTAATTTTAGATATCTAGTTGCTACTTAAGGTTGTCAGTTGGCTGTTGGAACCAAATATATTTGTATTTGAGCTCATAGCCTTAAGAAAAATTTGCCAGGTAATTAAATATCTTTTCCCTCTCTTTCATTAAGACAATTTATTATTATAATTTAATAATATATTGTTAATTATAATACTGATATAATTATATTATATTGCTTATAATAGTGTGTTATATATTCTCAAAGAGGATATAGTGATCTTTCCATGTGGGCCCCATAATTTATTTTTGCTTTGCAAATCACCAAATGAACAAGCATAATGGAATAAGAAGTATACAGAAGAGCTGAATAAGTGATACAATGGATTAACTCTTGACAATGGAGATATCCTGGGATATCTGAGGGTAATTGCTTGCGATTTTCTCACGAATCAGCTAGTACCTAAGAGTAAACTCTCAGAGAGATCTCTAATAAATAATGACTATTACTGACAGACATAGTTAATCAGGAAGTAATGTTGACCATGAGTACATGGTATAGATATTTAGATCTGCAAAATTTTGACAATGAAAAATTGTACTTGTTAGAAATATTGGAGTTAAAAGACAACTGAATGTTAGTGTTTGATATGGATAAATGTTAATAAAATCTTCTGTGATATTTACATATAAAAAGCTTGATCTTGGTAAAAATAATTTTAACAAAATTTTAAATTGGAAAAAAGTACCTATTTTGTAGTGCTGGATAGGCTATTGACCAAGGTGTTAAATTGACTGAATGTGGCTTACGCCAAAAATGTTTTTCTTAAAAAAATCATTTATATTGGAATAATGCTACAAATACAGCCTAACATGGAGTCAGAGCATCCTCTGGTCCCAATAGCAGAATTAAAAAATGGAAGGTTAAACCAGTAATGTCAAAAATGTCCTGTAGCTGTGCAATCTAATATCAATATAAGGTTCAAAACCATTTATGTCATGAAGCACTTTGTACCATGTCTCTTTTGATTTGACATTTAAAAATGGTTTTGACATTAAAAAATTTTGTAGATGGAGTCTCATTCTTTCACTCATGCTGGGTGAAGTAGCCTGATCATAGCTCACTGCAGCCTCCAACTCCTGGGCTTAAGCTATCCTCCTGCCTTAGTCTCCCAAATAGCTGGGATTACAGGCACACACCACCAGAACCAGCTATTGTTTAAATATTTTGTAGAGAAGGGGCTATGTTTCCCAGGCTGGTCTCAAACTCCTGTGCTCAATAGATCTTCCCACCTCAGCCTCCCACAGTGTTGGGAATACAGCTGTGACCCACTGGCCCCACTGTTTTTTTTTTTTTTTGGTAGAATATCATTTCTTTATTAAAATTGTATTAAGATGACAGAGAAAAAATAAAAAATAAGTTAGTTACACTCATCTTGGCAATGACTTATCCTGAGAGAAAGCTCAGCATGTTGGGTCTCCGGACGCTTTGAAAAATTGAAAGAAAAAAAATAGCCCTCATTGATCTTCTTACTGTAAGATATCAGATTTAGTATAAAGCTTTCCTTCCTGTTAAAATGGTATTGAAAATATTAATTGTGTTCTAGATCCAGCTCTGTCACTATATGTGCAACCTTCAGCAAGTCATTGAACTCTCTCAGACTCCACTTCCTCATTTGTAAGATGGGGGTATCAAATGTCACTTATTCATTGTGCAGAACTAGTTACATAACAAGTATTGAGTGCTTAGCATTAGTTAATCACTTAATAAGCGATAGTTTCCACTGTGTCACATTTCATCTTAAGTCTTCCTGTTGTTGAGACTGTGAAATTTACACTATTCTCATTCCAAGACTTCTCTTAAAATCTCTTTATCACTTGTTTTTTATTTCCTGGTAATGTAGTATTTCAAAGTTGTTTCCTGGTTCTGAAGGTTTCAGTTCCACCCTAATTATCCAAAAAAGAAAAATGTTGAATTTTTGCCAACAAAAGAGATACCTAGAACATAAAACCCATTAGCAAACAGATTGGCCTCTGTGCTTGATAATTCTGACCTGCCGGATCCAAGGCTTTCTAGCGGTTTTTCGGAAACCAGCCTGAGGCAAAGCTCCAATTTCCCTCCCTGAGCACAGGCAGAGCACCCTGCACTGTGATACTACATGTTCTGATGCCTTCTTCACTTTTCCTTTTCCAGTCCCATCAAGCCAGCTGCAGGGACAGCAACTGATACACACTTCTGCAAGAATGAAACTGGTTTTTTTGATAAAAGTTTAGGCCTACTGGTAGATATAACCATCACCAAGTAAATTGACAAAGCCAAATGGCATATGATAGAATTTCCATCTACACAATTTGACCAAGGCAAATTTAAAAGTTCACATTATAATTCAATCTTTTAGGCTGTCTTTTTTTTAACTTTTAGGTTCAGAGGTACATATTCAGGTTTGTTATATAGGTAAACTTGTCATAGGAGTTTGTTATACAAAATATTTCATCATCCAGGTATAAAGCTTAGTACCCAATAGTTATTTTTTCCATTCTTCTCCCTCCCTGCACCCTCCACCCTCACGTAGACCCCAGTGTCTGCTGTTCCCTTCTTTGTATTCATGTGTTCTCATTATTTAGCTCCCACTTGCAAGTGAGAACATGCAGTATTTTGTTTTCTGTTCTTGCGTTAGTTTGCTAAGGATAATGGCCTCAGCTCCATCCATGTTCCTGCAAAAACATGATCCCATTCTTTTTTATGGCTACATAGTATTCTATGGTGTATATGTATCACATTTTCTTTATCCAATCTGGCATTGATGGGCATTTAGATTGATTCCATGTCTTTGCTATTGTGAATAGTTCTGCAGTGAACATTTGTGTGCATGTGTCTTTATGGTAGAATAATTTATATTCCTCTGGGATTTTTGAGTGGAATGATAGTTCTGTTTTTAGCTGTTTGAGCCATATTGGCTTTACACAATGGTTGAACTAATTTACTCTCCCACCAACAGTGTATAAGTGACCAATAGTGTATAAGTGTTCCCTTTTCTCTACAACCTCACCAGCATCTGTTATTTTTTGAGTTTTTAATAGTAGCCATTCTAACTGGTGTGAGATGCTATCTCATTGTGGTTTTGATTTGCTCCTTCCTTCCTTCCTTCCTTCCTTCCTTCCTTCCTTTCTATTTTGAGACAGAGTTTCTCTCTTGTTGCCGAGGCTGGAGTGCAATGGTGCAACCTCGGCTCACTGTTACCTCCGCCTCCTTGGTTCAAGCAATTCTCTTGCCTCAGCCTCCTGAGTAGCTGGGATTAGAGGCATGCGCCATCACGCCTGGCAAATTTTTGTGTTTTATAGTAGAGATAGGGTTTCTTCATATTGATCAGGCTGGTCTCGAACTCCTAACCTCAGGTGATCCACCTGCCTCAGCCTCCCAAAGTGCTGGGATTACAGGCATGAGCCACTGTGCCCAGTCAGATTTGCATTTTTCTAATGATCAGTGATGTTGAGCTTTTTTTTTCGTATGTATATTGGCTGCATGTATGTCTTCTTTTGAAAAGTTTCTGTATTAGTCTGTTTCCAAGATGCTGATAAGGACATACCTGAGACTAGGAAGAACAAGAGATTTAATTGGATTTACAGTTCCACATGGCTGGGGAGGCCTCAGCATCATGTCGGGAGGTAAAAGGCACTTCTTACATGGCAACAGCAAAAGAAAAATGAAGAGGAAGCAAAAGCTGAAACCCCTGAAAAACCCATCAGATCTCTACTGGGCGCACGGTGGCTCACACCTGTAATCCCAGCACTTTGGGAGTCCGAGACAGGCAGATCACGAGGTCAGGAGATCAAGACCATCCTGGCTAACATGGTGAAACCCTGTCTCTACTAAAAATACAAAAAAATTAGCCGGGCATGTTGGCGGGTGCCTGTTGTCTCAGCTACTCAGGAGGCTGAAGCAGGAGAATGGCGTGAACCTGGGAGGCGGAGCCTGCAGTGAGCCAAGATCATGCCATTGCACTCCAGCCTAGGGGACAGAGTGAGACTCCGTCTCAAAAAAAAAAAAAAAAAAAAAAAAAAAAAAAAAAAAAAAAACCATCAGATCTCATGAAACTTATTCACTATCATGAGGATAGCATGGGAAAGGCTGGCCCCTATGATTCAACTACCTCCCACTGGGTCCCTCCCACAACATGTGGGAATTCTGGGAGGTACAATATAAGTTGAGATTTGGGTGGGGACACAGCCAAACCTTATCAGTTCCTTTGCATGTCCATTGCTCACTTTTAAATGGGATTGTTTGTTTTTCTCTTGTAAATTTGTTTAAGTTCCTTGTAGATGCTGGATGTTAGACCTTTGTCAGATGCATAGTTTGCAAAAGTTTGCAAAGGTTTTCTCCCATTCTGTAGGTTTTCTGTTTACTCTGTTGATTGTTTTGCTGTTCAGAAACTCTTAAGTTTAATTAGATCTCATTTGTCACTTTTTGCTTTTGTTGCAATTGCTTTTAGCATCTTCATCACGAAATCCTTGCCTGTGCCTACAACCACAATGAAAGTGCCTAGGTTGTCTTTCAGCATTTTAATAACTTTGGGTTTTACATTTAAGTCTTTAATCCATCTTAAGTTGATTTTTGTATTTGGTGTAAGGAAGGGATCCAGTTTCAGTCTTCTGCATATGGCTAGCCAGTTATCCCAAGCACTGTTTAGGGGGTCCTTCCTCCATTGCTTGTTTTTGTCAGCTTTGTTGAAGATCAGATGGTCATAGCTGTGTGGCCTTATTTTTTGGCTCTCTATTCTGTTCCATTGGTCTATATGTCTGTTTTTGTACTAGTACCATGCTGTTTTGGTTACCATAGCTCTGTAGTATATTTGAAGCCAGGTAGCATGATGCCTCCAGCTTTGTTCTTTTTGCTTAGGCCTTCCTTGGCTATTCAAGCTCTTTTTTGGTTCCATATGAATTTTAAGATAGGCTTTTGTTTCTTTTTACTTGTAAACTAGTTAAATTCACAATATAAAAAGCAATCTATGTTTAAGCAATACTATTATTAAAGATAATTAAAATATCATATGTTATAAATGAGCTGATAGGTACCTTTAAGATTGTCTGATCCCCACTTCTAATTTTATAGCTGAAGCCAAAACAATCAAGTGATATTACCATGGTCGTTTAGTAATTTGTGGTGTCCAGAATAGGATTGGGACTTCAGAGGTATGTGATATGTTTTCTATAGATAAGACTTAAGACTCTAGAACCAAAGGACCTGGGTTTGACTCTTCAACTCTCTATTTACTGGTGCAAAGAAAGTACTTCCTGTCTCTCAGCCTTTTTCTCCTCATCTGTGTAGTAGGGGCATTGACAGTGTCTGCTGGATAGGGCTGTGGCAAGGGTTAAGCCACAATATACAGTGAGGGAATATTGTAGAGTGCCTAGCACTCTATTGTTGTTTTTAGTCCATAGTCCCATAGATGGTGGAAGACACCATGCCTAGAATCCTTTCTTTATACAACCTTTAGTATAAAAAATAGACACTGAACTTTTCTTTATAACATCAACCAAACTCAGGGAAGTGTAAATGGCAAAAAAACTTAAAGATGTCTCTTCCACCACTGGAACTGATAAAATGGCTTAAGTAAAATAAGGAGTTTCTAATAGAGGCGTTTTGGAAAGACGGAGATTTTCTTGACTCTTAAGTTTTTCTGCAATAGTAAACAACTATTCTTAGGAAGAATCAGTTGATGGTCATTTTTTGAAAAAGGTAATTCTATTTCCAGGATATTTTTGGAGAATATCAAGGGTGGGAAGTTTAAATTGGGATCTGATCTGCCCTAAAACACCATGGCATATAGATCTTAGATTCCATGGTCTTTCCAGAGTGGAAAAAAGATTGTTTTGTTGCCTTTCTATCTGGAGGGGTCCTGCAGTTTATGGAAAAAAGTGCATTGGTCTACAGGTTCGTCTGGTCTTATCTGATGCTAGTCAAAATCATAATATCTCTGAGGCAGGAGCTTCTTATGCTGGAATCTGTAGGTAGGCCAGGGCAGGGGAGGGAAACCATGAATTTAAGCCTTTGGAAATTATATATAAATATTTATGTGTGTTTGTTTTTCACTTGTATAAAACATAGCTTTATCTAATACTTGAAGCAGTGCTTGATCCAAAAATATTAAAACTATTTACTGAGAGTGTCTCAATTTAGGAATAAAAGAGATGTGTGTGTATGTGTGTGTGTGTGAGAGAGAGAGAGTGTGACTTTTTTTCACCAAGGACAGCAGTCCTTGGGAGCTATTTCTGTAAATACATCATGATCCAAGGGACATGTCCCAGAGAACATGATGGATTTGTGCTCTCCCCTTGCATACAGTCTAAAGTTAGCTTGCTAAATGCAGCAGTGGCTCAGGCAAACTTTGCAGCAGGTGCAGTGGATAGCTCATTCCCAGACAGAACACCAACATTCTGATAAATAAACTTGACTTCTGGCAATTTCTGACTTAAAATTTATGCTGAAAAGAAAGAGGGATAAAAAATCCAATGTAAAAAGTTTTGCTTTTCCTTTCTTAGCAGACGAAAATGTCACTTGTCTTATAATTTATTTTTATAATTTTTATTTTTATTTCAATAGTTTTGGGATACAGGTGTTTTTTGGTTGAACATAGGTAAGTTCCTTAGTGGTGATTTCTGAGATGTTAGTGCACCCATCACTCAAGCAGTGTACACTGTACCCAATATATTGTCTGTTATCCCTTACACCCTTCTCAATCTTCCCCCCACTCTGTGAGTCCCCAAGTTCCATTATATTGTGCCTATGCCTCTGCATCCTCATAGCTTAGCTCCCACTTATAAGTGAGAACATGTGATATTTGGTTTTCCATTCCTGAGTTACTTCATTTAGAATAATGGTCTCCCATCTCCATTCAAGTTACTGCAAAAGACATTACGTCATTCCTTTCTATGGCAGAGAAATATTCCGTGGTGTATATATACCACATTTTCTTTATCCACCCATTGGTTGATGGGCACTTACGTCAGGTCTATATCTTTGCAATTATGAATTGTGCTGCTAGAAGCATGTGTGTGCATATGTCTTTTTCATATAATGACTTCTCTTATAATTTTCCATTCACATGAAGTCCCATGGCAGTCCAAGGATGAGATCCGCGTTATGACAAGGGCCATAGGAAAAGCATAGGCACTCAGCTCCAAAGCTGAAACATGCCTTTTCTCAAAGAACTAAGCCTTCTTGCTGTCTGCTAAAAACTATATATTTTTCTTTTTCTGTAAGTGGGGTGCCTGTTTGCTTGTTTATTTGTAATATTCAAGAGTCATGAAATTCCAACATAACACCAGTTATCTTTTAGAGCAGGGAAAGGCAAACTGTGGCCCACAGCCTGTTTTTGTAAATAAAGTTACTCTTTTTGGCTTTGTTTGAAAAAAACACATCGCCACACTCATTTGTTTATGTATTGTCTGTGGCTGCTTTTGAGCCCTACAATGGCAAAGTTGCATAGTTACAAAGAGATGGCATGGCTCACAAAGCCAAACGCCTTTACTATCTGGCCTGTTACAGAAAAAATGTTTGCTGGCCCCTAATTTAGTGAATGAAAAATTGCCTGAGGGAAATTTAACATTTCCTTTCTTCATACATTTTCCATGATCAGTTCCTGTGCATAGAAGAGAAACTATTGGATGTATTAGAGGTAGGGTCAGTGAAGGGGATATTGGGGGTGGGCATGAGGTACACAATGAGGCTAATTTGCTTCTTTTTACCCCCACATCATCACCTAGGATTACAAGCCCCAGGGCCCCTCTCTTCCCTTACCATTCCCTTAAGTGGAAAGAAGCAAATACGAAATAATTGCTGTGCTTGTAGTGTTTATTTATAGTATGTCTTTTTTCATATAAAGAAGAAAGAACAAAAACTGCAATAGGCTGAGTTGAACTCATTTTTCTTGCAAGTCAGTAGGAAGCAATGCCAAGATTAGCGATAGGGAGAGATTTTTTACAACATGGATATTTTGCTCACAGCCCATTGTCAGTTTGCTGCCACCTGTGACTTCTCTCCCTTTGGATCAATAGAGCAGTCTTACTGGCATAACTTTCTAATCGGGCTCTGCTGTAACTCTATGATGGGCTCTTTCCATTTTACTGCCTGAGCTAAATTTATTTCTCTTCTGACCTTTGCAAGAGTCTAATCATCTAGAAGAAAAGAATTTTTAGCATCCCTTCTACCACAGAAGAAGTGAAGCCTTGAATATTTGCTATGCGGGACACTTTCAAAATTTGGCTTTAGAATTTTTAAAAGTGGGAGGGCAGTCATTGCTGGCAAATGGAGATGAATCACTTGAGGTTTATCACACGATCCTAGAAGAGTGAGAAAAAACGATGAACACTTTTTAAAAAAAGTCCTTGTAGCTAAAATTGGTAGCTTGAGAAATAACTGCCACCCTTGTACGGTTGTCATGTTTTTTGTTGGGAGCGTAGGTAAATGAGGAAACCCAATTCTATTCTCAGGGATTGGACATAATTCCAAGGTTCCATACAGTCTGGGCCAATCATGTCACGCTGGAATACCTTTTTGGACCTAAGGCTCTGAGAGGCCACTGAAGCTCCATTTGCATCCCCAGGGGGCTGTACTGACCTCTGTGTGGGGATAATACTGTAGATTTTCCCTGGGTGAGATAAAATAAAACATGAACTCAGCACTGGGCCCCACAGCGTGAGGAGGTTTGGTACCAGGGCAAGGTGAGAGAGTGACAATAAGGTACTTGCTTCAAAAACAAAATTTCAGGGGACACTAAAAATCTCAGCAATTAAATCATATTTTTAAATATCAAAATTAAAAATTCTCAACCAAATATCAAAAATATAAATAACAAGAGGTTGTCATGGTTTGTTCCCTTTATGACCTTGCATTATTATACAATGGGAATAATTAGTCCCTATTTCTCAGTCTGAGTGGCTGTCATCCCCCCTCCAACTCTCGTAGGTGTATCAGAATTGAAAAATGGCCTATGAGCATATTAGCTAATATGAGACTTTATACATAAAGTCATTTTTTAAAAAATTTTAGGGCTTTTATTAACTTTTTTGCACTTGGTTCAAACTTTGGGAGATTATTTAATCAGTGCATATAGGAGCACATAAATTTCCTTTTGCCTCAGCCTCTAATGTGGCTCCAGAGTACTATATGATGTTATCATAACAAATGACTAAACTCTTAGTTAGACAAGCACAAACACTAGAACAAGAATATTTGAGTAATCTTTTATGCTGAGTTCTGGAGGTACAGTAAAATCAACAGAGACCACAGAGGGTAAAAAGGCTGGACTGGCTTCTATACTGCTTTGCTCAGCCATGCTCCTAGCTTCTCCAACAGACATGGAGTCTTGCTGGTCACGAAATCTCTTGTTTCATACATGTTCCTCCTCTTCTCCTGTGACCCTGGGGTCCCTCAGTCTGCAAGGAGTTGCAAGCTCAAACACCTATAGCATGAGAGCGGGTTTCATGGTAGGTTTGGTAAGGACTGTATTGAAGGATAGCCTGAGAGTGCTATTTAGGCTGAGTAAAATGTCAGTGGACACAGGGACCCAGTGTCTCCAGACTTTCTAATTCTTTAGGTGGGAGAAATGTTCTGATTGTTAAAGGTTGACAACTAATTTAAAAATGTATAACTCAAGCCACATAAGACATAGGTGAGGGCAGATGTGACATCTTGTCTTAACCCTTTGCCTTCCTTGCCCATAATCCCCTGATTGAGGGAGAATAGGAAAATAGGACAGATCACTATCCACAGGGTAGAAAGGCCTCAGACAGGATTCCCTAAAACAGTGCTCTCCAGGGCAGAGATGTTCAAGTCCAGGATAGAAACAAGACACCACATGGGGTATAGAAGAAAATGCCAGGATTTCTATGTATGATGATTTTTCTCATAAAAAATAATGTCAGTTGTTAAAGTTTACAGTGTACATACTATCTTAGTACATAAAATATGTATGTAACTTAAATATGTATGTAGTAGAGATGCATGCTTAAAACATAGAAACAACATAAAATAAGTAAATAAAACAAGTACAGAGGATTGAACTCAGTGAAATTAGATTTGCCTCCTGCTGGAATACCTCTTGCATGTTACGATGCATTAATGAGTGGCAGTCTTCTTTTTGTTCATTGGATAGCATTACCAAAGACCTCATTTCCTCATGCTGGCTTCAGTATGTACTAAGTTCTGGGATGAAAGGGATCTGAGGATTAGGAGAGACAAAATGTTCTACCTGAGATGGTATGCTTTGAATTATTTTTCAGGAATGAAAGTAAGTTTGGAATTGCTACACCTACTCTTACTTATGTTGCATCCTTCTTTGTGAAGTATATGCTATCATTGAGGGGCCATATTGGTTCAGTAAGTGGCTTGACATGTAATAATGTGAAATGGACCCTCACAACATAAAGTTCCTTATCAGGACCTCATCTAAAACCATGTAACTACCATTTATTGAACATTTTCCATGTGCCCGGCCCTGTCCTACATTCCTCATTGAGACAGTCAATCCTTAAAATGATCCAGTGTCAGTTTCGGGTATTATGTCTATTCTTGAAGGTGGTGACACTGAGCCTCAGAGGAATAAGTGACCTCCCCAGCCAAGGTTCTGTAGGTACAGGAAGTTGTTTCAACTCAATTCTATCAGAATGTCAAACCTATACTGACACCCACTCCACTCTACAGTCTTCTATGATACAACCAGCTTAGCATGCTTGGTGCAGAACACTAGGTGCATGGCAATTAAGATGTGTCCCTGTTCAGAGGGAGGCTCCATAGCTGCTGGGTTTCTCTACTAAAGTCTAAAAGACATGAGAGTATCATCACGAGATAATGGACAGCTTGCTGAGAGACAGGTCAAAATTATGAAAGAAGACTATATTATTTATTCATTTTTATAAAAAACTTTGAATTTCAAAACCTCGACCAAGGTTTTCAGCTTTTCATCAGGGTAGATGAGTTAACTTGGCAAGGATACTTGGTAGTAGTTTGACACTCAGCATCAGTATTCCACTTTCTCCAGTAGCCCTTCAGTGCTTCAGGAATAAGGAAACATTTAAAAACTGCATTCCTCAGATTCCCATGTACGACATGTGCCTGTATGTTTTTAAACAAATACATATATAAGTATATATAGATTTACTATATTTTCTTAATGGTGACATAGTTTTAATTTATTCTTCATGCATTCAACACATATTTATTATACACCCTTTATGTACCCCATACTGTTCTGGAAACATGGTCTCTGCATTCATGGCACTTACAAGCTCTCTGTTATGAAAACAGACAATAAGTACATTTTAAAGTGTGTAATAAAATATGTATAAATAATAAAAATGTATACATTAGCTAGCAAAATTAATAACAATATTGATATAGTAATAATCCAAAGCATAAATGTACCAATATTTACATAACATCCCTCTAGTGATAAACATTTAGGTTTTTTTCAGATTTTTGCTTTTAAACCACAAAATGATGAGCATCCTTGTGGCTGCATCTTTGCTTTCATGTGCAAATGTGTTACTGTGAAAGAACTTTCTAAAGTTTCACAATGGTGGGTTTTATTATTTGCAGGAAATATTCACATACCAGATGGTTATTTGGACTATGAAATGTAAGGCCCTGCCAGACTGTGAGACTTTTCTAATTCCAAGATTTAATATCTTGAAGAATTTCAGACCAGTGGTTAAAGGGATGGAGAGTGAGATGGGTCCCAGTGCTGGGTGTGCCAGGCAAGCCTTACCTGTCCCTCTGCCCCAGGAGGAGTCTTCGCCAAAATTCAAGGAGGCTCCTTTCCCTCTTAACACCTTCCCCTGCCTCTTCCTTTCCCTCTCTCCCTGCTATTATTAATGGCAGGCTGGCTGCAGTGCAGGCAACATTATTGTTACCTTTCTTGGCCCTTGTCATATTTTATTCTGGAGCTTGAAGTTTTGCCGATGGTTAGTAGCTAACAGGTATAAAAATAGCCCACTTGTAATGAGGAACATAAAAATGCAAAGAGGGTTGTGGGCTCACAGAGCTGGCAGGTTAACCTTTGCAGGATTTGCTGTAGAGTATTGACCACAGCATAATAAAACTTGGGTGAGTAAAAGAGGGACAGAAGAGAGCACTTCGATGACAAATGATAGATCAGTTTACTCTTCAGAGAGGTGGGAAAGAGACTGAGTAGGTTTGCAATCAAACTCTCATTTATTCTTTGCCTCTACCTTAAAAAGAAGCAGGCTGGATTTTATTTTCTTTGGAATAATTAGGTTGTTTTTGCCTCAGTGAATAATGTTTTGCTTTATAGGCAAACTAGCCTTTCCCGTTATGCTTAAGAGACTTAAAGGTGATGGAAGATTGAGGAGTAATTGATCATTAATATCTCCAACTATTTGTATCTCATACTTGCTATGGATGAGTCGCTGAGTTGTCACCAGACATAAACAAGACATATGGTCCCTGATCTCATGAAACTGAAGGTCTGATCTGAGAAATGGACATTACGCACACAATTGTATAAGCAGTAAAGGAAGCACTGAATGGAAATATGTGTTAAGGGAAAATAATAGGTTCATATAAAAGAAAAAAGGGGAGGGAGCATCAGATTGCGTTGTAAGGAAAGGTGATGCTTGAGCTGGAACTTAAAGATGAGAAGGAGCCAATCATGTGGAAATAAGAACATTTTGGCAGAGGAAGAATATATATCAAGGTCCTGAGACAGAAGAGAAACTGAAAGGTCAGTGGGACTGGTATATAGTGAGCAAGAAATAACATGATTGTAGGTAGGCTGTGACCTGATTCTGGAGGGTTTTGAACCATGGTAAGAGCCTTGGGCATGTTCTAAAGGAGTGGAATGTTATTGAAGAGTGTCAGGAAAAAGCCTAACATGATCAGAATTAGGTATTTTTCAATGTTATTCTGGTTGCTCTTGCCTGCACTGATTGAAGTGAAACAAGGATGGACACAAGGAAATTACTTGGAAATGTATCACTGAACAAGAGATGCTGATGACTCAATCTAGAAGGGTGGTAGAGGACTTGGAAACAAAGAAGTTCAACTCAAGATAATTGTTTTTCCCCAGAAAAAATCAAGGTGACTTGATGGATTGAAAGACAGAAGTAAATAGGAGGAAGGCTTTGTGGAATGGGAACTCAAGTCACTGTGATTTTAGTGAAGTAATTCATAAAGCAGTCATTTTGAGGCAGCTTCATAAGTACTTTTCAAACCTATCCTCTTGGAAATTGTAGGATGCTTTTTTAAATTTACCTTTTTCATTGCAGTGTAACTGCAGGATGCGCTATATAACATAGTTAACTTTTCAAATGTTATCAATGCTATAGACCCAGTGTTTTCCTCCAGAGTTTCCTTCCATGTGTCCTTCCATGGTCTCTTTTGCATTTGGAAAAATGGCTTGCCATAGGAGGGACTGAATTTTCATTTTGCAGATTATCAAGTATTTCTATTCCAGGTATAAATTAGATCAGTGGTTTTCAAATGAAAGCAATGTTGTCTTCTAGGGAATGTCTAGCAATGTCTGGAGTTGATTATCACAACTGGAGAGGTGCTAATGGCATCTAGTGGGTAGAGGCCAGGAATGTTACTAAACATCTTATAGTACACAGGACAGCCCTCACAACAAAGAATTCTTCAGTCCAAAATTTCAGTAGTGCCAAGGATTAGAAACCTGAACTAGAAGAATGTTTATTGGCTTTGTGTTCTGCATGTAGCTGGAGAGGACTTGAGCCTGATCTGTGTTTACAGTCTGTTATGGGCGGGGTAGGAAACACAAAAAATCTTAAGTTCTTTTTTGTAAGTTTCTGATAAGAATGTTCAAAACTATAAAATTTACATGTGACAAATCAAATACAGAGCTGTAGACTATGAACAAAAATCTAAATATTCAATTTAATACCTTGTATTTCAAATTTAGATCATGTGTTAGCAAGCCTAACACTTAGAGTTTATACCCAATAGATACCTCCTCTAATTTCTCCCAAATTGGATCTTTACTTCTTCCCTACTTGTTAATGTGACTTCATGAGAAATACTCAGAACAACCCTATGGTGAAATGAACAAAGTACATGAATAGACAGTTCAAAAAGAAGAAATGTGTGAAACTCACAAACATGTAAAATATATTCAAAAATTTCTCATAACCACCAGAATGTGTTCCTCTTTTTTGGGGGAACAGTGGGTTGGGAAAAGTGTTGGAAGAGTAGAAGTATCCTCGAGGCATTTTTTCTCTTTTTTTGTGTGTGAGCAAGAACTGTACCATGCTGTTTTCTAAGTCATATTACTGGGGAGTAGGAAGTGATGAGAATAAAGAAAGGCCCCTTTCTACATGACTCCCCTACACATGGAAATCTCCAGGAAGCTACACAGAGGTGAGTACAGTTTTGTACAAAATTCAGGCAAAATAATGGCCCACACAACACCAAGTCATGATGGGTATCCCAGAAATAATTTACATAGGAATTTCCACCACTCTGTGAAATGGTTGGAGCATAAGTTACATACTAATGAATACTGTTGAAACACACATACAAACACACACACACACACACACACAAACATATGTGTGGGTTTTTTTCTTGTCTCCCTCATTTCTAAAAATAGCTTACTATGGATGCATTGTCTAGTCTTTCCCTTTTCCCAAATAAGATGTTGCATTGACCAATATGTGCCAATTTCAACAGTATGCATTTTTGCCTGTGTTTTAATGATAATTAAAAAACAAAAAGCCACACTGGCCAACAACTGGCAATAGTGTCATGCCTCTAGTTTGCTTCTTATAATGCTGAGAATTGCTCATCCAACAGATTGGGTTTTCCACGGCATTGTATTAATAGGTATCCAATGCCATTATCACTGGAAACCCATAGAGAGTGTCTGATTTCAGAATAACACACATGCAAAACAATGTACAATGAGAATGGAAACTTTTAAAACATTCACCTACAGGGTCAGGCTGGAAAGCATCTAGCAATTTTAGAAATTCTTCCTGAGCCACAGAGACTTTTGAATATTTTATGTATCAGAAGACCTCCTGATGGCATTTTTGTTTCCTGGTTTTCAAGTTGACGTTTATTCAATCTAATGGGAAGCCAGATTTTAGGAAATATTTCTTCTCTCTTTGGGTTCTGCAATTATGCAGGGCAAAGAAGAAACAGTTTTAATGCTCCACTGGATATTTACAGTTGGATGATATTTTTCTTGTTCAGGGGCTGAATATACCCTGGTGTGCTGTTTTAAAAATCAATCATAGATACATTTACATAGTTAGTACAAGCACAGGCAGTCCACAGAGGGGGAAAGTTTCAGTGTTGGGGAAATAAGAATTAAGAATAGAATTCCTACCAGCAACATTTTGGACCCAATTTCTACCCATTTTTCCTTTAATGCAGAGAATTTTTTAGAGTGAATTAGTTTTCCCACTGCATTGTATTAATCGGAATAAAAGTCATTATTAGAGCAAACCCATAGAGCAAGGTTGCTTAATTAGGAGGCAGTTCCTGGAATTAAAGACACAGACTTTCATAAAAACCCGATACAGTATAACAAAGTGAAATTTTAACCAATTAACTTACATCTATACAACATTAAGCAGACATTAATTGTGTACATACAGAATTCGAGGGACTATCTAAGTGATGTTTATACAGACATAAGTGAGAGGGAAATGGAAAGGAATTTACATGTTGGTATTTTTGAAAGTGTTATGTTTAAAAATATAAGTGCTGGGTTCCAATACTACCACATTCATTTAGGGATTAGATTACTAATTTAACTATCATAAGCCTTGGTTCCTGATTTGTGTCCCCTTCTCTCATCATCCCCCCCCAAAAAAGAACCATATCTGGATACTGACTTCTTACATCTCTTTGTGATAATGAAGATCAAGAAACAATGTGAACAAATTTTATGAATGTAATGCAAGGAATGACGATCCCAGGAGGATTTCAGGCACTGTTAGCAGGGTCGATGAGAGGGTATCCTGTGTGCCTGTGTGTGGAAAGCGGGGAGTGGTAGTCATGGAAAAGAAGGTTAGGAACAAAACCATGCTCACTTATTTTTTCAACAAATAATTATTGAGGCCCCTGCCAGGTGCTAATTCCTACTCCAGAGGAAGGGATGTGATAGTGAACAAAATAGATCTCTCCCTCTCCTGCCAAGAAAAACTTTCATGAACCTTACATTCTGGTGGAGGAAAGGTTTGACAAAAAAATAGATATACAAAACATATAAAATATCAGGTGTAAATAATAAAGTAGGATGATATGGAGTGTGTATGTGTGCCTTCTAATTTAAATTCAGAGGTTAGCTCTAGCTTCAGGCATGGTTAGATCCAGGAAACTGGTAAAATGATGTCATCAACATTTTTTATTTCTCCATCTGATGCTTGATTTCCTCATTACACCATAGGCCCTCTCATTATAGTAACTCCAAGAGTTCCAAGCTTATATTTTCACAAAGCTAGTGATTTCAGTGGATAAAACTTCTGTTTTCCGCGTAAACCCAGGAGGCGGAGCTTGCAGTGAGCCAAGATCGCGCCACTGCACTCTAGCCTGGGGGACAGAGCGAGACTCCATATCCAAAAAAAAAAACTTCTGTTCTCCAGTAGTTTTACCATACATCTGAAATGTTAAGTCTTGTTAGTGTGATTCATGTCGACTCCCTAACATAAACCAATCACTGGTGGAGAGAATATGTTGATAAGAGTAGGCCTGAGTCATGTGAGCATTTCAGACACCAAAGGGTTCTCCAAGTGGAAATGCGAATTCTCCTACTATAGTATGGCAGAATAAGTGTTTGGAAAGCAGAAGCAACAGATACCTAATACACTTTAACTTGCTCATCCTGCTTTTATTTTCTGATGCAACGCAAAACAGAGCTGTAGTGTTTGCATTACCTGTGTAGGGGGAAAGGGTTGTTTATATTTAGGAGCATCGTACCCCTCCCAGCAGAGTTGCTGGGAAGTGATGGGCACTCAAATAGTTGTACTAAATAAATGAGTGAGAAAATGAATGAATGTGTGGTTTTGAAACCTAATTATGGGTGACCTGCTTAAATAATATTTTCAACCACTGGTAGCATAATGAAAATTGTAAAGCATTTGTGTGTGTTTCACTGCCTTACAGTGTGAATAAAGAAACATGGCTCAACCAGTTGTAATATGGTTGGATGCTATTAGATCCTTAATTGAATAATTACTGGTGTGAGTGTTTTTTTTCCTTTACTCTGATTACTTACGTGTGGTCTATATGTAGTCTTAAAAATTCTTTATAAAGGAAAAGTGAATTTCCTTCTATTAGGTTGGTGCAAAAGTAATTGCAGCCTTGCCATTACTTTCCATTTAATAATAAAGAGAAAGATTGACATTATCTGTCTACAATGTCTGTGATGTTCCATTGAATATTTATAATTTAAAATATGCATTTTAGTTTAATAAAAATACGTGATCCAACTGGTAAATATCTTAAGTAAAGAAAACGCATTTTTGATGATTTCTATACAAGAATTTCATGGCTGAAATTCTTAGCTGTGTTTACTGTACTTCAGAAATGATTCCAGGTGATTAAATTAGTGTTGTTAGAAAGATGAAAAGGAACACTTTTTAGTACGTCTAATAAACTCTGCAGGCCTTTAGTCCTTAAATTATTCCCCAGAGAACTTCATATATAATAGGGATGTTTAACTAATGAGAAATGAAATCACAGATGGTGGTTGTAGAGGAGGATGGGCAGGGTTTCTCCATGACTGTGTAGTCTATTAAGGAGACAGTGATTGGTATTGGTCCATAGAAAGAGCCACATTAGCAATTTCATTCATAAATTGCACTTGGAAACTGGAAAGCTGAGTTGCTTTCCTTGCCCCAAATTGAACTGTTCTCTGGTGTAACTCCGTTATGCACAGATCAGTCATACCCAGAATGATAACACTGAAGTTTAACCATATTTCTGCTGGTCTCCTTTAATATTTCTTTACACTTACTTATTCTGCCATCCATTCTTTATAGTATTTTTTTCCAAAAATTTACCATGGGGCAGAAACTGTGATGAGCTGATGAGCATTTTATTACACCATCCCCTACTGTTGTTATCTCTGCTAATATTGTGACATTCTTTATCTGCATTGTCTATTAGGGAGCATTGCCCAGTGCATTCTTCCTTAGAAGTAGTATCTGCATTTTAACAGTGGTTTATCGTCCTAACTTAGTAGTTCTCAAATTTGAGTATGTACCAAAATCACCTGCAAGACTTGCTAAAACAAATTTCCGGACCCATTCCTAGAGTTCTGACTCAGTAGATCTGGGGTTATGCCCAAGAATTTTTAACCAATTCTCAAGAGAGGCTGATGGTGGCAGACCACACGTTGAGAAGCAGTGTTCGACCTCAGAATAGAAGATTATGCTGAATATCTGTTTGACGCTGAGGAGAGTTAGAGGTAGAGTGAAAAGTGCTGAGTTCTCCCCAGTTCTTTCATTTAGGGAATAGATTGCTAAATTAACTATTCCCAGCTTTGCTTTCTTGAATTGTTAATTTGTGTATGTACATGGGTAACTTCTTAGGGATTTTTGTGGAAATAAAAGTCAAGAAAGGGTATGAAATACCTTGGAGAACTCTTAGTATTATCTGGAAGAAAGGTACTGAAAATAATTCTTACACCTTCCCAAGACTAAACCAGGAAGAAGTTGAATCTCTTAATAGACCAATAACAGGCTCTGAAATTGAGGCAATAATTAATAGCTTACCAACAAAAAAAGTCCAGGACCAGATGGATTCACAGCCAAATTCTACTAGAGCTACATGGAGGAGCTGGTACCATTCCTTCTGAAACTATTCCAATCAATAGAAAAAGAGAGAATCCTCCCTAACTCATTTGATGAGGCCAGCATCATCCTGATACCAAAGCCTGGCAGAGACACAACAAAAAAAGAGAATTTTAGACCAATATCCCTGATGAACATCGATGCAAAAATCCTCAATAGAATACTGGCAAACCGAATCCAGCAGCACATCAAAAAGCTTATCCAACATGACCAAGTGGGCTTCATCCCTGGGGTGCAAGGCTGGTTCAACATACGCAAATCAATAAATATAATCCAGCATATAAACAGAACCAACGACAAAAACCATATCATTATCTCAATAGATGCAGAAAAGGCCTTTGACAAAATTCAACAGCCCTTCATGCTAAAAACTCTCAATAAATTAGGTATTGATGGGATGTATCTCAAAATTATAAGAGCTGTCTATGACAAACCCACAGCCAATATCATACTGAATGGGCAAAAACTGGAAGCATTCCCTTTGAAAACTGGCACAAGACAGGGATGCCCTCTCTCACCACTCCTATTCAACATAGTGTTGGAAGTTCTGGCCAGGGCAATGAGGCAGGAGAAGGAAATAAAGGGTATTCAATTAGTAAAAAAGGAAGTCAAATTGTCCCTGTTTGCAGATGACATGATTGTGTATCTAGAAAACCCCATCGTCTCAGCCCAAAATCTCTTTAAGCTGATAGGCAACTTCAGCAAAGTCTCAGGATACAAAATCAATGTGCAAAAATCACAAGCATTCTTATACACCAATAACACACAAACAGAGAGCTAAATCACGAGTGAACTCCCATTCACAATTGCTTCAAAGACAATAAAATACTTAGGAATCCAACTTACAAGGGATATGAAGGACCTCTTCAAGGAGAACTACAAACCACTGCTCAATGAAATAAAAGAGGATACAAACAAATGGAAGAACATTCCATGCTCATGGGTAGGAAGAATCAATATCGTGAAAATGGCCATACTGCCCAAGGGAATTTATGGATTCAATGCCATCCCCATCAAGCTACCAATGACTTTTTTCACAGAATTGGAAAAAACTACTTTAAAGTTCATATGGAACCCAAAAAGAGCCTGCATTGCCATGTGAATCCTAAGCCAAAAGAACAAAGCTGGAGGCATCATGCTACCTGACTTCAAACAATACTACACGGCTACAGTAACCAAAACAGCATGGTACTGGTACCAAAACAGAGATATAGATCAATGGAACAGAACAGTGCCCTCAGAAATAATGCCACATATCTACAACTATCTGATATTTGACAAACCTGACAAAAACAAGCAATGGAGAAAGGATTCCATATTTAATAAATGGTACTGGGAAAACTGGCTAGCCATATGTAGAAAGCTGAAACTGGATCCCTTCCTTACACCTTACACAAAAATTAATTCAAGATGGATTAAAGACTTAAACGTTGGACCTAAAACCATAAAAACCCTAGAAGAAAACCTAGGCAATACCATTCAGGACATAGGCATGGGCAAGGACTTCATGTCTAAAACACCAAAAGCAATGGCAACAAAAGCCAAAATTGACAAATGGGATCTAATTAAACTAAAGAGCTTCTGCACAGCAAAAGAAACTACCATCAGAGTGAACAGGCAACCTACAAAATGGGAGAAAAATTTTTAATCTACTCATCTGACAAAGGGCTAATATCCAGAATCTACAATGAACTCCAACAAATTTACAAGAAAAAAACGAACAACCCTATCAAAAAATGGGTGAAGGATATGAACAGACACTTCTCAAAAGAAGACATTTATGCAGCCAAAAGACACATCAAAAAATGCTCATCAGCACTGGCCATCAGAGAAATGCAAATCAAAACCACAATGAGATACCATCTCACACCAGTTAGAATGGTGATCATTAAAAAGTCAGGAAACAACAGGTGCTAGAGAGGATGTGGAGAAATAGGAACACTTTTATACTGTTGATGGGACTGTAAACTAGTTCAACCATTGTGGATGTCAGTGTGGCGATTCCTCAGGGATCTAGAACTAGAAATACCATTTGACCCAGCCATCCCATTACTGGGTATATACCCAAAGGATTATAAATCATGCTGCTATAAAGACACATGCACACATATGTTTATTGTGGCACTATTCACAATAGCAAGGACTTGGAACCACCCCAAATGTCCAACAATGATAGACTGGATTAAGAAGATGTGGCATATATACACCATGGAATACTATGCAGCCATAGAAAAGGATGAGTTCATGTCCTTTGTAGGGACATGGATGAAACTGGAAACCATCATTCTCAGCAAACTATTGCAAGGACAATAAACCAAACACCGCATGTTCTCACTCATAGGTGGGAATTGAACAATGAGAACACATGGACACAGGAAGGGGAACATCACACACTGGGGCCTGTTGTGGGTTGGGGGAGTGGGGAGGGATAGCATTTGGAGATATATCTAATGTTACATGACAAGTTACTGGGTGCAGCACACCAACATGGCACATGTATACATATGTAACAAACCTGCACGTTGTGCACATGTACCCTAAAACTTAAAGTATAATAAAAAAAAAAAGAGCACATACAATGCTGAGATAGGGTCAGTCAGGGTGTCTGTCATAGAGTGGATGGTAATAAGAAGGGAAATTTGGCATAGGATGATCTCTTTTTTATCCTCCATTTATTCAACAAATATTTATTGATCACTCTGTGTTAATGGACAGATGCCGTTGTGAATAAGAGAGACAAAAACCCATGCTTTCAGAGTGTTTACATTCTAAAAGGGAAATACGACAACAAAGAGGGTAAACAAATAGCACACTCAGTGATAACAAGTGTTATCAGGGCTTGGGTGTAAGAAGAGAAGCAATTTTAACTTATACCTAGTACATGGGCTATTATAATAATTAAAATAGCAGTTTCCAAAATTTGCTGTGCAACATAATCTCTTGTAGAAACTTGATCAGAATACAGAATCTCATACTCCACTCATAGGTATTCTTATTCAGCAGATCTGGAAGGGAGACTGAGAGTTACCCTTTTGACTGAAAGATGGCTCTGATGCAAACAGCTTTTTGGGATTCACTGAGAAATAGTAAACTAGAGGGTGGTAAGAAGGTTTAGAAATGTAGCTAGAGAGGGTTGGCCTAGAAAGGCGCATGAAACCGAAGGAACAGAAACAAGGAGAAAAAATGAGGACTAAAATCCCAATAGAGAGATGTACTGAAAAGCCAAGGCAGTACATCAGGGTGGAAAGAAATAGGTGGTAGGTCAGAGTGACCGAGGTTTGATTCTGGATTCTGACTCTTCCTCATCGGTTAGGTGGCCCTGGGCATGCCACTCAGCTTGGAACTTTAGTTCCGTTTCTTTGTGTGTGTGTGTGTGTGTGTGTGTGTGTGTGTGTATGTGTGTATGGGTACATGCACACTTGCATGTATATATATTCATCGATACACATACTCTTTGCTGACATTGTTTTAAAGCTTAGAGATAGGCTGGGCATGGTGTCTCTCACCTGTAATCCCAGCCCTTTGTGAGGCTAAGCTGGGAGGATTGCTTGACCCCAGAAATTTGAGCCTGCAGTGAGCTAGGATCACATCACTACACTCCAGCCTGAGTGACAAAGTGAGGCTCTGTCTCAAAAACAAACAAGGCTAGAGATAGAAAATATATGCCAAGTGCCAGGTACTGCGTCTGGACAAAATGTAGCCATGACAGTGATCTTTATTTGCAGTCATATGCAGTTCAGTTAGAATACATTCTCAAAACATTCTATGAGGACTAAGAGAACCTAAAAACATAAAAGCTGTGCAAGGAGAATCTTGAGACTTATCATGTTCTTCAGAATATCTTTTGAATGTAGGCATATGCCAGGAAAATTTTCATGTCAGAAAATAGTTTGGAAATAGTCAATTTGGTAGAACTCTCGGGAGCTTTGCTGCCACTGAATTCTCTTTCTCTGTGTTTTTTGAGTACTTGTCAAAGACCTAAGGAAATCAATAGTTCTGAGGCCATCACTTGGCACATAAAATATCTAACATAGTGGAACTAAGAGTTTTTACATTATTTCATGTGTACCATAAGGGCCGCTTTCTCTTTCCAACTGAATCCCAGGATGGATGAAACATTTCTTTGCCTGCTGGAAATTAACTTTATTTGGCATCCTTTCTGGCTTTTGTTGCCTATTCTGAATGTTTATGTTTTTACAATAAGCATTATATGATGCCCTTAAGAGCATCCATCGTCGTGTTCAGTGTTTGTCCAAAAGAGAACCAACTAGGCTTTTTATTCCTGAGACTGAACTGAATCTCCAACACAGTGAAAAAATAATACAATGGCAAACTCAGTGTGTTAGTGGTTTCATGGGACTGAAGATCAGAAGAAATGCTCTTAGTTCTTTCCTACAGATGAATAAATTACAAATTTGGGCTTTTAAATAAACATGTCTTTAGTTCAATTTTTTTTTCCTGACATTTTTCAGATATCCAGCATTTGTTCCAAGTAATCTGTTTTGTGTTTTGATTCTAACTGTAAGAATGTTACTGCCTGATTAAGTCCGTAGGATCTAGACACTGGCCCCTTGGGTCCCACTTTCTGACTTTATGCCATCGGTTTTTTAAGTGACATGTCCATTTTTTTATCCTGCAAAAAATATAAAGTGCAGGAAATTATTTTTTGCCCCCATGGCCTCCTAGCACAGAAATGGGCACATTATTGGCATTAGGTAAATTATTTGATTAAATTTCACTGATTAAAACAAGGAGTTAGAGTCCTTGTTAGCTCCTCTATTTCCTCTGCAATGGAATTTTCCTAAATGTGTTCTACAGAAGATTAGTCCTATAAAGTTCTCTGTTAAAGAGGAGTTTGTGGTCATATAAGTTTAAAAAACACTGTGTGTATTGATCCCCTCGTGGATATTCATAGCACACATTGGATACAAAGTTCTGAAAAAATTTAGCATTAAGGATCCTATTTAACATCATATAATTAGTTGGCTTCCCAAAAAAAATTGAGCAAGCAACCCCTTATTTTTACTTTATTTTTATTTTTATTTTATTTTAAGTTCCGGGATACACGTGCAGAATGTGCAGGTTTGTTACATAGGTAAATATGTGCCATGGTGGTTTGCTGCCCCTACCAACCCATCACCTGGGTATTAAGCCCCGTATGCATTAGCTATTTATACTGGGCTCTACCTCCACCCCTCACCCCCCACAGGCCCCGTTGTGTGTTGCTCCCCTCTCTGTGTCCATGTGTTCTCATTGTTCAGTTCCCACTTATAAGTGAGAACATCCAAGCAACCTCTTTCTATTGCTTCTTCTTTTTTTTATTTTTTTATTTTTATTTTATTTTATTTTTGGCTGTGAGAACTCTTTGAGAAATCCTGCTGTACCACACTTGAGCATCACAGTCAATTTTCTAATATTATTTTTAATTTTTATAAAGACAAGGTCTAGCTTTTGTTGCTCAGGCTAGTCGCTAACCCCTCGCTTCAAGCAATCCGCCCGTCCTAGTCTCCTGAGTAGCCAGGATTACAGGTGTGAGCCACCATGCCTGGCTCCAGTTCAATTCAATAAATGTTCTCTGAGAACCTACTGTATGCAAAGTAGTATGAATGTCTAGTCTCTAGAATTTCCCCATCTTTATATATAGGTAATAATACTGAATTATATGGAATCAAGTGCTGATTTCATGTGCTGTAAAACAAACATGATTGATAAAGAAGAAAGACAATCTTATAGGCAGGGGCAATTAGAGAATGGTTGAATACTGGAAAGATTTTTAAACAGGGTTTGAAAAATGGAAAAGGCTTTGTACATTAATATCAATGATGATAATAATAGCAAACACTTAGTGCTAGGTACTGTGGTGAGAGTGCTGTGGGTCCTTTGATCTTCCCAACTACCCTAAACATAGGTACTATTATTACCTGTATTTTACAGTTGAGAACACTGAGACAGAGAAAGCTTAAGTAACTTCCCAGGTATGTGGCTAGAAGTGAAGGATGTGAACTTGGGAAGGCTAACCCCAAAGCCCATGTTCTCAACTACTGTGCTAACCAAGACGGTTCCACAGTGGTCATTATGTTCATAAGTTAACTGCATCTGTGATCATTGCCTGGTTACTCCCTAGTATCTTTTTCAAGAAATAAGGAAGATTGCTCAAGAATCTAAGTTCCAGTGCTGCTCCAACACTTACCCAGCTGTGTAGATTTTGCAAGGTACTTACTGTCTCCGAGTCCTAGTGTTCTCACTTCTGAAACAGGTAGGTTGGCAGTATCTGCCTCATGCAGTCCTGGTAAGGAATGAAAAGTTGCACATGAAGTGTTGAACATAGTTCCTGGTACATATTAAATGTACAATATATAGTGGTGACTGTGAGAAAGTTTTAAATGTTAGATTTTACATAAAGCAGCATCTAATTTTGCAGAAATTAAATTCTTCACTGGTTTGATAGGTATACCTCTTCTCTATCCATATGATTTACCCTCTCTTTTTAAAATAAGGTTCTGAGATGAATATAAAAAATGGAAAAGAATTTAAGTAAATACCCCTCTGTAATCCCTGAACACATCTGACTTTACATTTATTTTGATCCATAGATCCAGAATCACAAACTTGCCTGTAAAGGGTCAAATAGTAAATTTTAGGCTTTGTTGGACATAGTGGCTCTGTTGCAAACTATAGTCATCCCTCAGTATCAATAAGATAATAGTTCTAGGACCCCTGTGGATAACATAATCTGAGGATGCTCAGGTCTTAGAGCCGGCCCTTGACATCCACACGTTCTGCATCTGCAGATAAGGACAGGCAACTCTACATGACTCTGCCATTGTAGTACAAAAGCAGCCAAAGATGGTATTGAGTTGGTTCAGTGGGTACAAACATACAGTTAGACAGAAGGTACAAGTTTTAATGTTCAATAGCAGAGTAGGATGACTGTACTTAGCAACACCGTATTCTATATTTCAAAACAGCTAGAAGAGAGAACTTGAATTGTTCCCAAAACAAAGAAATATTCAATACTCAAGGTGATCGACATCCCAAATACCCTGTCTTGGTCATTTTACATGCTATGCATGTAAAAAACAACCAGATGTACCCCATAAATATGTAAAATATGATGTATCACTAAAAATAAATAAAATAATGAATCAATAAAATGAGCATAACTATGTTCCAATAAAATGTCATTTACAAAAACAGGCAACAGGCCAGACAGTTTGGTTTACAGACAGTTTTATCAACCGTTAGTCTAGAAAAACAAAAATTTTCATTAAAATTTATCCCGTACTTGTCTATTTGTTCATTGATTTAATTGTATTTCTTGTGGTAAAATATCCACAACGTAATATTTACTATCTTAACCTTTTTTTTCCTACTCTCTAAAGGGAAGGGAGAAACTAGCTATTCTCACGAAACTTGCCTTTTTGTTAAATGCCTTTACTCTCTAGATTTTTTCCTTATATACTATTATTATTATCTTTTTAAGATGACAAATAAAAATTGTATGCATTTATGGTAAACAACATGATGCTTTGAAATATGTATACATTGTGGAGCTAAATAACATATGCATTACCTTATATGCTTATCATTTATTTGTGGTGGGAACACTTGAAATCTCTTAGAAATTTTCAAATACATAATGCATTGTTATTAATGATTTGTACAATAGATCTTTTGAACTTATTCCTTCTGTTTAACTGAAATTTTGTACTCTTTGAAAAACATCTTCCCAACCCCACCCCAGCCACTAGTAACCACCATTCTACTCTCTGCTTCTATGACTTTGACTTTTTTAGATGCTGTGTATAAGTGAGATCTGCAGTATTTATCTTTCTGTGTCTGGCTTATTTCACTTAACATCAGGTCCTCCAGTTTCTATCCTAACCATTTTTAAGTGTACACTTCATTGATATTAAGTACATTTAAATTATTATGAAAGCATTACTACCACTTGTCTCCTCAACTCCTTTCATCTTGCAAAACTCAAACCCTATACCCGTTAAACAATAATTTCACCTGCCCCTCAGGCCCTGGCAACCATCATTCTACTTTTTATCGCTATAATTTTGACTAAGTACCACGAACAAGTGGGATCTTACGTATTTGCTTTTTTGTGACTGGCATATATTTAGCATAACGTCCTCAAGGTTTATTCAAGTTGTAGCATATATCAGAATTTCCTTCCTTTGAAAGCTGAATACTAATTCCATTGTATGGATACCCACATTTGCTTATCCTTAAATGTGGTTGCTTCCACATTTTAGCTATTGTAAACAATGCTGCTATAAAACCTTGGTGTATTAATATCTCTTCAAGACTCTGCTTTCCATTATTTTTTGAGTATATACCCAGAAGTAGAATTGCTGGATTATATGATCACTCAATTTTTAAGTTTCTGATAAACCACCATACTATTTTCCACAGTGGGATGTTCCATTTTAGATTCCCACAGGCAGTATACAATTCCAGTTTCTACACATCCTTGCTAACACTAATTATTTTCTCTTTTGCTGATAGTAGACATCCTAATGGGTTTGAGATGGTATCTTATTGTAGTTATACTTTTCATTTCCCCAATGATACTGATTTGGGGCATCTTTTCATATGCTTATTGGCCATTTGTTACCTTCTTTGGAGAAATGTCTGTTTGTGCAAGTCTGTTGTCTAATTTTGAGTTACTTTGTTTATTTTTAAGTTACTGAGTTTTAGGAGTTCTCTCTATATTCTGAATATTAATCCTTTATCAGAAATATGATTTAGACATATTTCCTCCCATTCTGAGGGTTGCCTTTCTTTTCTGTTTTTTTTTAGAGGTGGGGTCTTTTTATGTTGCATAGGCTGAAGTGCAGTGGCTATTCAGAAGGCATGATGATCATAGTGCGCTACAACCTCAAACTTCAAGGCTCAAGTGATCCTCCTGCCTCAGTTTTCCAAACAGCTGAAATTAGAGGGTGTATAATAACATACCTGGCTTTGTGGGTTGCCTTTTGACTCTGTTGATAGAATATTTAATGCACAAAATTTTTAAATTTTCTTAAAGTTACATTTGTCTGCTTTTTTTCTTTTCTTGCCTTTTTAAAATTTTCTTGCCTTTGCCTTTGGTGTCATATCCAAGAAAGCATTGCCAATTTCAAGGTTGTAAAGCTTTTGTTCTATGTTTTCTTCTAAGAGTTTTATAGCTTTAGCTCTTGCATGTAGGTCTTTGATCCATTTTGAATTACTTTTTGTATATGTGTTAGGGAAGGAGTCAGCTTCATTCTTTTGCATGTGGATGTCCAGTTTCCCCAGCACCATTTGTTGAAATGATTATATCTTCCCTATTAAATGATATTGAAACCTTTGTCAAAAATCATTTTACCATATATGTCAAGGTTTTTTTATTCTATTTTATTCCGTTGGTCTATGTATCTGTATTTATGCCATTATCACATTGTTTTGATTATTGAGGCTTGGTAGTAAGTTGTGAAATCAGGACATATGAGTCCTTTAGTTTTGTTCTTCCCTTTCAGGATTGTTTTGGCTCTTCAGGATCTCTTAAGGTTCCATGTGAATTCTAGCATAAATTTTTCTACTGCAAGAAAGAAAGAAAAGAAAAGAAAAAGATATTCTTGAAATTTTGATAGGGATTGCATTAAATCTGTAGATCATTTTGAATAGTATTGACATCTTAACAATATTAAATCTTCCAATCCATGAACATGAGGTGCGTTTCCATTTATTTATGTCTTTTTAAATTTCTTTCAGAATCGATTTGTAGTTTTCATTGTAGAAATATTTTACCTCTTTGGTTAAATCATTTTGAAGTATTTTATTCTTTTGATGCTATTTTAAATGGAATTGTTGGTATTGTTTTCTTTCATTTTTGAATTGCTCATTTAAGTGCATAAAAATGCAAATGATTTTTGCATGTCGACTTTGTATCCTTTTACTTTATTGAATTTGTTAGTTATAACAGAGATTTTTTGGTGGAATATTTAGGGTTTTCTACATATAAATTATATTTGTGAACAGAGATAATTTTATTTCTCCCTTTCAAATTTAGATGCCAGCTGGGCACAATGGCTCATTCTTGTAATCCCAGCATCTCAGGAGGCCGAGGCAAGAGGATCACTTGAGGTTCGGAGTTCAAGACTGGCCTGGTCAACATAAAGACCAAGTCTCTATAAAAAGTAAAAAAAAAGCAAAATAAATTTGGATGCTTTTTATTTCCTTTCCTTGCCTAATTGCTCTGGCTGTGACTTCCAGTTCCACGTGAAATAGAAGTGGTGAAAGCAAGTCTTCTTGCCTTGATTCTAATCTTATAGCAAATGCTTTTATTCTTTTACCATTGAGTATGATATTCACTGTGGGTTTTTCATATGTCTTTTATGATATTGAGATAGTTTCCTTCTATTTTTAGCTTGTTGAATGTTTCTGTCATGAAAAGGTGTTGAATTTTGTCAAATGCTTTTTATGTATCAGTTGAGATGATCATGTGGTTCCTCCTGCTTCATTCTGTTAATACGTTATATCAAATTGTTGAATTTTGATACGCTAGATTATTCTTGTATTCCAGGAATAAATCCCACTTGGCCATAGTTTATAATCTTTACAATATACTTTTGAATTTGGTTTGCTAGTATTTTGTTGATAATTTTTGCATTAATATTCATAAGGAAGAATTATCTGTAGTTTTATTGTAGTGTTTGTCTGTCTTCCATATCAGGGCAATGCTGACCACATAGATTGAGTTAGGGAGTGTTCCCTCTTCTTCAATATTTTGACAAAAGGTTGGAAAGGATTGCTATTAATTCTTTAAATGTTTGATAGCATTCACCCAATGAAGCCATCAGGTTCATGGCTTTTCTTTGTCTGGAGATTTTGATTATTGATTCAGTCTCCTCACTAGTTATATGTCTATTCAGATTTTCTATTTCTGCCTGGCTTAATCTTGGTAGGTTTTGTGTTTCTGGGATTTTGTCCATTTTCTATAGGTCATCTAATTTGTTGGTGTACAATTGCTCATCATATTCTCTTTTTTATTTCTGTAGCATTTGTACGTACCACTTTTATTTTTATTTTAGAAATTTGAGTCCTTTTTTGCTTAGTCTATCTTGCTGAAGAGTTGTCAATTTTGTGGATATTTTTGAAGAACCATCTCTTGATTTCACAGATGTTCTGTATTATGTTTCTTTTCTCTATTTCATTTTTTCTTTGCTCTAATTTTTATTATATCCTTCCTTCTGCTATCATTGGGTTTCCTTTATTCTCTTTCTAGTTTCTTAAATCATAAAACACTGTATTTTCCTTCCATTTGGTCTGGAGGTCTCTCATAGGAGAAGTGGTTATGAACTCTCACCCTGCACTGGCAGGGATCCAGGGGATTTGCTAGTGGATGATTACAATGTGCTTTTCATGGAATACTTCTTTATCCTAGCAGATGGCCTAACGCATAAATGTTTGACCATGACCTGCTGTTCCTCACAGGAAAATTGTACTGGCAAACCCAATATTAGCTCTTATTTAACCTATATCTATTTTATTCCTACCAAAATATCCAATCTCTAAGAGAGGCCTGATGAGGAAAGAAGCTAGTTTTGGATGTGTCAGTCAGGTGACAACCAGTAGAAGCAACTCAACAAATCACATAAAATAACAGAAGCAATGTATTACTTACAAATCCCAGCTAGAGCATGCCTCGCAGGGCCAGTGGGAAAAGGGAGCCTTCTAAGACATGAATGTTAAATCAGATGGTAGGAAGCAAGAGAGAGAGAATGGGACCTGTGAGCCAGAGCATCTGTTGGGGTCTAAGGCATTGCTCAAACTGATTTCTCATGGGGCATACTAATTGGTGGTTTTGGAGCAAGCAGGCACAAGTTCTGTGGAGTCCCACTGTGACTGAAAGGTGATCACTCTGTTATATCTTCACAGTCCATTCAGAATGTGGGGGTCAGTGGAGAAGGTCAAGTGGGTTGTACCTAGCTGTCCCATGGGGAGGTGGATGTATAAGGCAGATATCTCTATCAATCACCTTGAGGAACTGGAAGGAGGCAGAGAACTAGAGACGGTGTCAAAGGTGACCAATTCTTGATTCTTGTATAAGACAGTCCAATTTATTTTCAAAATGGATGTTGAGGCACCATAAATTGTAGGAATTCACTACATAAATTTAGGTTGTCAATAGAAGATCTTTCTTATTTTCTAATATAGGCATTTATAGCTATAAATTTACACCTTAACACTGCATTTTCATTTGTCTCTAAGTGTTTTCTAATGCCTCTTGTGATTTACTCTTTCATCTGTTGGTTATTTAAAAGCATGTTGTCTAATATTCACAAACTTGTGAATTTTTCGATTTTCCTTCTGTTATTGAATTCTAATTTAATCCTGTTGTAGTCACAGAAGATACTTTGTATTATATCCATTGTTTTAAATCTAATGAGTCTTAATTTGTGGCATAACATATGGTTTATCCTGGAAAATGTTGGAGGAGCATCTGAGAGGAATGTGTATTCTGTTAAATCTAGTTAGTTTACTGTGATGTTCAAGTCCTGTATTTTCTTATTATCTTCTTTCTGGTTCTGTCCATTACTGAAGTAGAAATGTCTACTTCTCCCTTCACTGTTTTCAATTTTTGCTTCATATGTACACATGCACACTATATATGATATATGAACATTTATATGCACATATATACACACACATACACACACTATATATAGTATATATGTACACACTCTATATAGTTTTCAAATTTTTAATTTTATGTGTGTATAGCATATAAATATATATATATATATGGGATATATTAGATATTTTGATACAGACATACAATGCATAATAATTACATCAGGGTAAATGGGGTATTCGTCACCTCAAGAATTTATCATTTATTCATGTTACAAGCATTCCACTGATACTCTCTTAGTTATTTTTAAATATACAATAAATTGCTAGTTCAACCATTGTGGAAGTCAGTGTGGCGATTCCTCAGGGATCTAGAACTGGAAATACCATTTGACCCAGCCATCCCATTACTGGGTATATACCCAAAGGACTATAAATCATGCTGCTATAAAGACACCTGCACACGTATGTTTATTGCGGCATTATTCACAATAGCAAAGACTTGGAACCAACCCAAATGTCCATCTATGATAGACTGGATTGAGAAAATGTGGCACATATACACCATGGAATACTATGCAGCCATAAAAAATGATGAGTTCATGTCCTTTGTAGGGACATGGATGAAATTGGAAATCATCATTCTCAGTAAACTATCGCAAGAACAAAAAACCAAACACCACATATTCTCACTCATAGGTGGGAATTGAACAATGAGATCACATGGACACATGAAGGGGAATATCACACTCTGGGGACTGTTGTGGGGTGGGGGGAGGGGGGCGGGATAGCATCGGGAGATATACCTATGCTAGATGACGAGTTAGTGGGTGCAGTGCACCAGCATGGCACATGTATACCTATGTAACTAACCTGCACAATGTGCACATGTACCCTAAAACTTAAAGTATAATAAAAAAATAAATAAATAAATAAATAAATAAATAAATAAATTGCTGACTATAGTCACCCTGTTGTGCTATCAAATACTAGATCTTATTAATTCTATCTAACTATATTTTTGTACTCAGTAGCTATCCCCCGCCCACCCCCAATCCCACAATTACCCTTCCCAGACTCTGGTAACCGTCCTTCTACTCTGTCTCTATGAGTTCAGTTGTTTTAGTTTTCAGCTTGCCCAAATGAGTGAAAATATGCAAAGTTTTTCTTCCTTTGTGTGACTTATTTCACTTAATGTAATATCCTCCAGGTCCGTCCATGTCACAAATGACAGGATCTTATTTTTTTTTATGGTTGAATAGTACTCTGTTGTGTATCTGTACCACATTCTCTTTATCCATTCATCTGTTGATGTACACTTAGGTTGCTTCTAAGGCTTGGATATTGTGAATACTGCTGAAGTGTCTCTTTAAAATACTAATTTCATTTCCTTTGGATAAATACCCAGTAGTCAGATTGCTGGATCGTGTGGTAATTAGATCTTTAAATTTTTTAGGAACATCCATACTATTCTTCAGAGTGGTTGTACTAATTTACATTCCCACCAACAGTGTACAAGGGTTCCATTTTCTCCATATCCATATCCTTACCAGCATTCATTATGGCCTTTTGGATAAAAGCCATTCTAACTGGGATGAGATGATATTTCATTGTAGTTTTGATTTGCATTTCTCTGATGATCAATGATACTGAGCACCTTTTCATATACCTGTTTGCCATTTGTTAAGTCTTTTTTTCTTTTCTTTTTTTTTTTTTTTTTTTTGGAGACAGAGTTTGCTCTTGTTGCCCAGGCTGGAGTGTTGGCCAGGCTGGTCTCGAACTCCTGACCTCAGATGATCCACCCACCTCAGCCTCCCACAGTGCTGGGATTACAGGTGTGAGCTACCACACGTGGCCCATTTATTAAGCATTCTTTGAGAAATGTCTATTCAGATATTTTGCTCATTTTTAATTAGATTATTAGATATTTTCCTATAGAGGTATTGGAGCTCCTAATATATTTGGGTTATTAATCCCTTTTCAGATTAATATTTTCAAATATTTTCTTTCATTGTTTGAGTTGCCTCTTCACTTTATTGATTGTTTTGACATGCAGAGACTTTTTAACTTGATGAGATTGCACTTGTATTTTTGCTGTGGTTGCCTGTGCATGTGGGGTATTACTTAAGAAATCTTTGCCCAGACCAATGTCCTGGAGATTTTCTCCAAAGATTTTTTAAATTAGTTTCATAGTTTGAGGCCTTAAATGTAAGTCACTAATCCATTTTGATCTTATTATTATATATTGCAAGAGATATAGATCTAGTTTCATTTTTCCGCATAGTGATATCTAGTTTTCCCAGCACCATTTATTGAAGAGACTGTCCTTTCCCCAGTGTATGTTCTTGGCACCTTTTTTGAAAATGAGTTCACTGTAGATGCATGGATTTATTTGGGGGTCCTATGTGCTATTCCACTTGTCTGTGTATCTGTTTTTATGCCAGTACCATGCCAATTTGGTTACCA
Organism: Homo sapiens; assembly: GCF_000001405.40. Classification (NCBI taxonomy): domain Eukaryota; kingdom Metazoa; phylum Chordata; class Mammalia; order Primates; family Hominidae; genus Homo; species Homo sapiens. The sequence goes on from NC_000005.10 coordinate 156,299,340, forward strand.
TAGCTCTGTAGTATAATTTGAAGTCAGGTTCTTATGGTTTTGTTCTTTTTGCTTAGGAGAGCTTTGGCTATTCTGGGTCTTTTGTGGTTCCATATAAATTTTAAGATTTTTTTTTCTATTTCTTTGAAGAATGTCGTTGGTATTTTGATGAGGAATTGCATTGAATGTCTAGATTGTTTTGGGTAGTATGGACATTTTAACGATATTGATTGTTCCAATCCACAAACATGGAAATATTTTTTCCATTTTTTGTATATCTTCCTCAATTTATTGCATCAGTGATTTATAGTTTTCGTTATAGAGATCTTTCACTTTTTTGGTTCAGCTTACTCCTAGTTGTCTTATTTTATTTGTAGTTGTAGTAAATGGGATTACTTTCTTGATTTCTTTGTTAGGCTGTTCACCGTTGGCATGTAAAAATGCTACTGATTTTTGTATGTTGATTGTATATCCTGTAACTTTAATGCATTTGTTATCAGTTCTAATCTTTTTTTGGTGGAGTCTTTAGGTGTTTCCAAATGTAAGATCATATAATATGCAACCAGGATAATTGGACTTCCTTTCCAATTTGGAAGCCCTTTATTTCTTTCTCTTGTCTGGTTGCTCTAGCTAGGACTTCCAGTACCATGTTGAATAACAGTGGTAAAAGTGGGTATCCTTGTCATGTTCCTGATCTCGGAGGAAAGGCTTTCAGTTTTTTCCCCATTCAGTATAATACTACCTGTGGGTCTGTCGTATATGTCTTTAATTGTGTTGAGCTATTTCTTCTATCCCCAGGTTTTTTAGAATTTTTATGATAAAGGGATGTTGAATTCTATCAAATCTTTATTCAGCATCAACTAAAATGATTTAAAATACATCATTAGATTATGTAAGTGTTTCCTTTTATTTATTTATTTATTTTTGTAGGCACTTATAGCTATAAACTCTCCTCTTAGTACTGCTTTTGCTGTATCCCATGGGTTTTGGTATATTGTTTTTTCATTATTTGTTTCAAGAAATTTTTCAATTTCCCTCTATAATCTCTTCATTGACCCACTCATCATTTAGGAGCATATTGTTTAATTTACCTGTGTTTGCATAGTTTCCAAAATTCCTCTTGTAATTGATTTCCAGTTTTATTCTATTGTTGTCAGAGAAGATATTATTTCTATTTTTTGGAATGTTTTCAGACTTGTTTTGTGACCTAACATATGGTCTATCCTTGAGAATGATCCATGTGGTGAAGAGAAGAATGTGAATTCTGAAACCTTTGGATAGAATGTTCTGTAAATATCTATTAGGGCCATTTGATATACAGTTCAGTTTAAGTCCAGAGTTTCTTTACTTGATTTTATGTCTGGATGATCTCTCCAATGCTGAAACTGTGGTGTTGAAGTCTCCAGCTATTCTTGTATTGGGATCTCTCTGTCTCTTTAGTTCTAATATTATTTGCTTTGTATATCTGAGCGCTCCATTCTTGGGTGCATATAAATTTTCAATTGTTAAATCCTGTTGCTGAATTGATCCCTTTATCATTATATAATCTTTGTCTTTTTTTATAGTTTTTATCTTGAAATCTATTTTGTTTGATAAAAGTATAAGGACTCCTGCTCTCTTTTGGTCTCTATGGCATGGCATATCTTTTTCCATCCCTCTGTTTTCAATCTATGTGTGTCTTTATAAGTGGAGTGTGTTTCTTGTAGGCAACATAAATCTATTTAGCCAGTCTATGTCTTTTAATTGGACAGTCTATTCCATTTATATTCAATATTATTATTGATAAGTAAGGACTTGCTCCTGCCATTTTGTTATTTATTTTCTAGTTCTATTATTGTCGTCTCTTACTTCCTTCTTTCTTTCCTTTCTTCCTTTTAGTGAAGAAGATTTTCTCTGGTGATATTTTTAAATGTTTTACTTTTTATTTTTTGTGTATGTGTTGTAGGTTTTTATATTTGAGATTACAATGAGGCTTGCACATAACAAGTTTAACCCATTATTTTAAACTGATGACTACTTAATGATTACTGTAAAAAGAAACAAACTAACAAAGAGAAAACTAGTAAAAACTTTATGCTTTAACTTTACTACTCCCCTGCTTTATAACCTTTGTTGTTTCTCTTTATATCTTATTATACTGTCTATGTTTTGAAAAGTTGCTGTAGTTATTATTTTTGATATGTTGATTTTCGTCTTTTCACTCAAGATTTGAGTAGTTTAAATACCTCAATTACAGGGGTTATAATAGTCTGTATTTGTCTGTGTGCTTACAGTTACCAGTGAGTTTTGTACTGTCACATGATTTCTTACTGCTAATTAATACCTTTGTCTTTCAGATTGAAGAACTCTCTTTAGCCTTTCTTGTAAGATAGATCTGGTGTTGATAAAATTCCTCAGCTTTTGTTTGTCTGGGAAAGTGTTTCTGTTTCATGTTTGAAAGATGTTTTCACTGGATATACTATTCTAGGATAAAAGTTTTTTTTTTTTTTCCTCAGCACTTTACATATGTCATGTCACTCTTTTCTGGCCTGTAAGGTTTTCATTGAGAGAAGTTTTCTGTCAGATGTATTGAAGCTCCTTTTTATGTTATTTATTTTGTTTGCTGTTTTTGGAATCGTTTCTTAATCCTTGATCTTTGGAAGTTTGATTAGAAAATGCCTTGAGGTAGTCTTCTTTGGGTTAAACCTGCTTGATGTTCTATAAGCTTCTTGTACTTGAATATTGATAACTTTCCCTAGGTTTGGAACATTCTGTTATTATCCCTTTGAATAAACTTTCTACGGCTATCTTCTTCTCTATCTCCTCTGTAAGGCCAATAACTCTTAGTTTTGCCCTTTTAAGGCTATTTCCTGTATCTTGTAGGTATGCTTCATTCCTTTTTATTCTTTTTTCTTTTGTATCCTCTGACTATACATTTTCAAGTAGCCTGTCTTCAGACTCACTAATTCTTTCTTCTGCTTGATCAGTTCTGTTGTTGAGAGACTGATGCATTCTTCAGTACATCAATTGAATTTTTCAGCTCCAACATTTCTGTTTGATTTTTAAAAATTATTTTAATCTCTCTCTTACATTTATCTGCTGGGACTCTGAATTTCTTCTGTGTTTTATCTTGAATTACTTTGAGTTTCCTCGAGGAAGGTATTTTTGTATTCTCTGAGAAGTCACATATATCTCTCACTCCTAGATTGGCCCACTAATGCTTTCTTTATTTTGTTTAGTGAGGTCATGTTTTCCTGGATGGTATTTGTTGCTTGTGGATGTTTGTTGATATTTGTGCATTAAATATTTAGATATTAGATATTTATTATAGTCTGGACTTATTTGTATTTATCCTTCTTGGGAAGGCTTTCCAAGTATTTAAGAGGAATTCAGTATTGTAATCTAAATCTTTGGGCACTGAAGCTGGCTTGTAGAGGTACCACCTTGGTGGTCTTGGGTTATATTTGGGAGAATTCCCTGTATTACCAACTTGTTATCTTCTCTTACTTTCTCCTAGACAAATAGAGTCTCTCTTTTCATGATGAGCTTCCTGGAGCTGGGGGTGAGGTTATACAAGCACCACTGTGGCCACCAACACTGGGATTGTGCTGGGTCAGACCCAAAGTCAGCATAGTACTAGGTCTTACCCAAAGCCTGCAGCAACCACTGCCTATCTACCACAGATGTTTACTCAAGGACCAAGCATTCTTCAGTCAGCAGGTGGAAAATTCAGCCAGACTTTTGTCCTTCCCTCAGGGCAGTTAGCTGCCCCAACCCTCCAGCCTTGGACATGTCCAGGAATGCCATCTGGGAGGTAGGGTCTGGAGTCAGGGATTTTAGGAATCTACTTGGTGCTCCATTCTACTACAGCTTAGCTGGCACCCAAGCATCAAGACAAAGTCCTTCCCACTCTTCCCTCCCTTTTCCATAAGCAGAGGAGTCCCTTCCCATGGCCACCACTGTCCCAGGCCCCTAGTGAATGCTACTGGGCTACCATTGATGTTCACTCTAGGCCCAAAGGTCTTTAGTTAGCTTGTGGCAAATGCTACCAGGCCTGGGTCTCTCCCTTCAAGGAATTGGGTTCACCTGTAACCAAGGGTGGTTCCAGAAATGCCATTCAGGAGCCACAGCTTAGAATCTGGAACCCCAGGAGCCCACTTAGTAATCTACCCCACTGTGGCTAATCTGGTTCCCAAGCTGCAAGACAAAGTCTCCTTTACTCTTTTCTTTCCTCAAGCAGAAGGAGTCTGTCCTCATGGTCACCATAGCTGGTAATGTACTGGGTCACACCTGAAGCCAGCATAGCCCTAGGTCTCACCTGAGGCCCTTAGCCACTGAGGTTCATTCATGGCCCATGGGCTTATTAGTCAGCAGGTGATGAATCCTACCAGGACTGGTAGGATTCCCAGGGAAGCAGCTTCCGTTATGGCCTAGGGTGTGTCTATATATGTCATTCAGGAGCTAGGGCCTGGAATGGGGGCCTCTGGATTCCACTTGGTAACCTCTTTTAAGGGCTGTGTTTGCACTAGTATCTAAGTTGCAAGGCAAAGTCCTCTTTACTGTTTCCCTTTTTCTCCTCAAGCAGAAGGAAGGAGTCTCTTCTAGAAATGTGAGTTGTACTGCCTATGGTTAGGGGAGGAGTGACACAAGCACTCCCTTGGCTGCCCTGGCTGGTGTCTCGCTAGGTCATAGGCACCCCAAATTCACTAGCTCTGAGCTCAGCAGAGCACCAGTACTTGCACAGGAATTGCAGTCCTTGTGGCCTAGACTGCCTTTCAAGTTTACTTTGGACCACAGAGCACTTTAGCCTATAGTGGTGGGCTAGCCAGAATTCAGGTTCTGATTGCTGAGATGGGTAACTTCCCTCTGGCTAATCTAAATGCTCCCTCTATTGTCACCCACTGAGTTCTGCTTTATGTTGCTTTTTGCTATGACAAGTTAGTTGATACAGTTTGACTGTGTCCCCACCCAAATATCATCCTGAATTTTCGTGTGTTGTGGGAGGAACCCGGTGGGAGGTAATTGAATCATGGGGACAGGTCTTTCCCATGGTGTTCTTGTGATACAGAATAAGTCTCATGAGATCTGATGGCTCTATAATGGGGAGTTTCCCTGCAAACACTCTCTCTTTGCCTATTGCCATCCATGTAAGATGTGACTTGCTCCTCCTTGCCTTCCACCATGATTATGAGGCTCCCCCAGCCACGTGGAACTGTAAGTCCATTAAACCTTTTTGTTTTGTAAATTGCCCAGTCTCAGGTATGTCTTTATCAGCAGTATGAAAATGGACTAATACACTAAATTGATGCCAGTAGAGTGGGGCACTGCTGAAAAGATACCCAAAAATGTGGAAAAGACTTTGGAACTGGGTAACAGGCAGAGGTTGGAACAGTTTGGAAGGCTCTGAAGAAGACTGGAAAATGTGGGAAAGTTTGAAACCTCTATAGACTTGTTGAATGGGTTTGACAAAAATGCTGACAGTGATATGAACAATAAGATCCAGTCTGAAGTGGTCTCAGATGGAGATGAGGCGCTTGTTGGGAGGTGGAGCAAAGATGACTCTTGTTATGTTTTAGCAAAGAGACTAGTTGCATTTTGCCCCTGCCCTGGAGATTTGTGGAACTTTGAACTTGAGAGAGATGATTTAAGCTATTTGGCAGAAGAAATTTCTAAGCAGCAAAGCATTCAAGAAGTGACTTGGGTGCTGTTAAATGCATTCAGTTTTATAAAAGAAGTAGATCATAAAATTTCAGAAAATTTGCAGCCTGACAATGCAATAGAAAAGAAAATCCCATTTCTTGAGGAGACATTCAAGCCAGCTGCAGAAATTTGCTTAAGTAATGAGGAGCCAAATGTTAATCCCCAAGACAATGGGGAAAATATCTCCAGGGCATGTCAGAGGTCTTCAAGGCATTCCCTCCCATCACAGGTCAGGAGGCCTAGGAGGAAAAAGTAGTTTCATGGGCTGGGACCAGGGTGTCTGTGCTGTGTGCAGCTTAGGGACTTGGTGTCCTGCATCCCAGTCACTCCAGCCATGGCTGAAAGGGGCCAACATAGAGCTTGGGCCATGCTTTCAGAGGGTGCAAGTCTCAAGCCTTGGCAGCTTTCATGTGAGGTTGGGCCTGCAGGTGCACAGAAGTCAATAATTGAGGTTTGGGAACCTCTACCTAGATTTCAGAGGATGTATGGAAATGCCTGGATACAGAGACACAAGTGTGCTGCAGGAGTGGGGCCCTCATGGAGAACCTCTGTTAGGGCAGTGCAGAAGGGAAATGTGGGGTCAGAGCCCCCACACAGAGGCCCTACTGAGGCACCACCTATTGGAGCTGTGAGAAGAGCACCGTCATCCTCCAGACCCCAGAATGGTAGATCCACCAACAGCTTGCACCATGGAAAAGCACATGGAAAAGATGCACACTCAATGCTAGCCCATGATAGCAGTCAGGAGGGAAGCTGTATGCTCCAAAACCACAGGGCAGAGCTGCCCAAGACCATGGGAACCCACCTCTTGCATCAGTGTGATCCAGATACAAGACATGGAGTCAAAGGAGAGAGATTATTTTGGAGCTTCAAAATTTGACTGCCCTGCTGGATTTTAGACTTGAATGGGGCCTGTAGCCCCTTTGTTTTGGCCACTTTCTCCCATTTGGAATGGCTGTATTTACCCAATGCCTGTACCCCCATTGTATCTAGGAAGTAACTAACTTACTTTTGATTTAGGCACAAGGGACTTGCCTTGTCCCAGATGAGATGTTTGACTGTGGACTTTTAAGTTAATGCTGAATTGAGTTAAGACTTTAAGGGACTGTTGGGAAGGCATGATTCATTTTGAAATGTGAGAACATTATATTTTGGAGGTGCCAGGGGTGGAAAGATATGGTTTGGCTGTGTCACCACCCGTATCTCATCTTGAATTCCCATGTATTGCGAGAGACACCTGGTGGGAGGTAACTGAATCATGGGGGCAGGTCTTTCCCATGCTGTTCTCATGATAGTGAATGAGTCTCATGAGATCTGATGGTTCCATAAGGGGGGGTTTCCCTGCACAAGCTCTCTCTTTGCTTGTTGCCATCCATGTATGATGTGACTTGTTCCTCCTTGCCTTCTGCTGTGATTGTGGGGCTTCCCCAGCCATGTGGAACTGTAAGTCCATTAAACCTTTTTCTTTTGTAAATTTCCCAGTTTTGGGTATGTCTTTATCAGCAGCATGAAAAGGGACTAATATAGTAGTGCTGTTTTCTATACAAAGTCTCACCATCACTGTATTCTGTCTCCCCCAAGCACACAGATTTTTCCTCCATGCCATATGGCCATTCCTAGGAAGATGGTAGAGGGGTGGTGTCAACTATTCAAGACTATCTTTTATACCTTCTTCAGTGCCTCCTTTCTTGCTATTATGTTAAAACCAGGTACTGTGATCACTTGATTTTTGGTTCTGGTGAAGATGCTCTCTTGTGTGGACAGTTGTTCAATTTCGTGTTCCTTTGTGGCAGGAATGATCACCAGAGGGTCCTATTTGGCCATCTTGCTCTGTCTCCTTTCCTATGTTCACATATTTTAATAGGCTATTATTAGGCACATAAATTTTTATAATCATCATTTTCTTGCTGTATTGAAACTTTTATTAATATATAATGGCATTTGTGTTTTGTGAATTCTTTTGAATTAAAATCCATTTTTTCTGATATTAATATAACCACCTGTGGTGTTTTTTGGTTGCTATTTGCACAGAATATAAGTTTTCTTTTTTTTTTTTTTTTTTGATTTAGAGTCTCACTCTGTTGACCAGGCTAGAGTGCAGTGGCACAAACACAGATAACTGCAGGCTCAACTTCCTGGGCCCAAGCAATCCTTCCACCTCAGCCTCCCAAGTAGCTGGGACTATAAGTGTGCACCAACATGCCCAGCTAAAATTATTTTTTGTACTTTTTGTGGAGACAGACTTTGACCATGTTGCCTAGGCTAGTCTTGAACTTGGGCTCAAGTGATCCATCCACCTTGGCCTCCTAAAGTGCTGCACAGATGTGAGCCACTGCACCTAGCAAATTTTCTATCTTTAAAATGTCAACGTATTTGTGTCTTTGAATGTCAAATGTGTAAATCAGACAGCATAACATTAGATCACATATTTAAATCCATTCTGCCAATCTCTGTCTTTTTTATTAGAGAATTTAAATCATTTACATTTCAAGTAATTGCTGATAAGCAGATACTTTGGTCATTTTGATTCTTCTTGTCTGTATACATTTTAACTGTTGTTTTTTTTTTTTTTTTTTTTTTTTGCCTTATTACCTGAATTTGTGTCTCGTTTTGTGTTTAACTGATTTTTTAAAAATAGTGAAACCATACTTAGATTTCTTTCTCATTTCATGTTATTCTTTAACTATTTTGTTTATAGTTACCATGGGAATTACATTTAACCTCTTAATATTATAACATTCCTATTTTAATTTATATCAGGTTAACTTCAATAACACAAACAAGTCTGCTGCTTTAACAGTTCTGCCCCCACTCTTTCAGTTGTTGATGTAACAAAATTATATATTTTCACTTTGTGTGTTTAAGAAACATAAACTGATAATCTTTTAATGCGTTAGTCTATTAAACTATATAAAAATGTGGAGTGAAAAACAAATGTTACAATAACACTAGCTTTTATACTAATTTTTTAAAAAAATATATTATTTTCCTAAATCATGTAGGAAACAAAAAATGAAGTTACACACCATTTTTACAATAGTACCAACTTTCCTAATTTCCCTTGTATTTACCTTTATTAAGAACTTTATTTCTTTATATGCTGTATTAGTCCATTTTCAGCCTGCTATAAAGAACTACTTGAGACTGAGTAATTCAAAACGAAAAGAGGTTTAATTGACTCACAGTTCTGCATGGATGGGGAGGTCTCAGAAAACTTACAATCGTGGCGGAGGGCAAAGGGAAAGCAAGGCATGTCTTACATGGTGGCAGGAGAGAAAGAGAGCAAAGGGGGAAGTGCCATACTTTTTTTTTTTTTTTTGAGACGGAGTCTCGCCCTGTCACCCAGGCTGGATTGCAGTGGCGCAATCTCGGCTCACTGAAAGCTCCGCCTCCCGGGTTCACGCCATTCTGCTGCCTCAGCCTCCCGAGTAGCTGGGACTACAGGTGTCTGCCACTACGCCTGGCTAATTTTTTGTATTTTTAGTAGAGATGGGGTTTCACCGTGTTAGCCAGGATGGTCTCGATCTCCTGACCATGTGATCCACCTGCCTTGGCGTCCCAAAGTGCTAGGATTACGGGCATGAGCCACCGCACCTGGCCAGAAGTGCCATACTTTTAAACAATCAGCTGTCATGAGAAGTCACTCACTATCAAGAGAACAGCATGGGGAAAATCCACACCCATGATCCCATCACCTCCCACCAGGTCCCTCACCTGACATGGGGGGATTACAATTTGAGATGAGATTTGCATGGAGACACAGAACTGAACCATATTGTAGGCCTTCAGTGTCCTTTCATTTCAGCTTGCAGAATTCCCTTTTATATTTTTCACAGAGCTGGTCTAGTGATAATGAAATTGCTCAGCTTTTCTTTATCTGGGGAAATTTTAATTTTTTTTCTCACTTTTAAATGGCAGATTTGTAAAATATTACATACTTAGGTAACAGTATTTTTTTTTATTTTAGCACTTTGAATGTATCCGCCCACTAACTTTTGATGAGAAAGTTGCTAATAAATTTATTGAGAATCCCTTGTATGTGGCACATTACCTCTCTATTGCTGCATTCAAAATTCTCTTTGCCTTTGGCTTTTGACAGTTTGATTGTAATTTCTCTGTGTGTGTCCTTTGAGGTTATCTCCTTGGGTTCGTTGAGCTTCATGAATGTTTATATTAATGTTTTTCATCAAATTTGGGAAGTTTTCAGCCACTATTTCTTCAAGTATGTTTTCTGCCCTGTTCTCTCTCTTTTTTCCATCTAGAAAATGATGCATATATTTATCTGCTTGAAGATGTCCCACAGATCCCTTAGGTTCTGTTGACATTTCTTCAATTATTTTTTCTTTCTGTGCCTCAGACTTGATCATTTTTATTGGTAAAGTCTATTGCTATATTTTCTTCAAAATTGCTGATTCTTTCTTCTGCTTGCTTAAATCTGCGTTTTAAATTCTCTAGTGAATTTTTCATTTCAGGTATTATACATTTCAGTTTCAGAATTTTATTTTGGCTTCTTTTTAAGTTTTCTGTATTTTTATTAATATTTCTATTTTGTTCATACATAATTTCCTTGACTTTCATTACATCTTCCTTTAGATCTTTGAGCATTTTTTTTTTTTTTTTTGAGACAGAGTCTCGCACTGTCGCCTGGGCTGGAATGCAGTGGCGTGATCTTGGCTCACGGGGTTTCACTATGTTGGTCAGACTGGTCTTGAACTCCTGACCTCATGATCCACCTGCCTCGGCCTCCCAAAGTGCTGGGATTATAGGTGTGAGCCACCACGCCCCACCCGATCTTTGAGCATCTTTAAGACAGTTGTTTTAAAGTCTTTGTTTAGTAGATCTGCCATCAGGTCTTTTTTTTAGTGATATTTTCTGTTGTTGTTGTTGTTTTTCTTTCTTTCAAATGGGCCACACTTCCCTGTTTCATTGTATGTCGTATAATTTTTTGTTGAAAAATGAACATTTGAATCTAATAATGAGGAAAATCTGGAAATCAGATTCTCTTCCTCAGGGTTTGCTGCCTTGTTATTGTTTTGCTTTAATTATTACAGGCTATTTTTGTACCCAGAATTAGCATAAGGTGTCAACTTAAGGTCTTTTTAAGTCTTTTCTGAGCCTGCAAATTTACCTGGGCATGCATAATGACTTTCTATATCCTCCCATACATGCAGTTGCTTTTGAATTTGAATATCCTAGTCTTTAATGCTTGACTCCCAATAGTACGAAAATAAAAAGAAATATAAAGTTGGTGGCGAGGCACTGGTCTTTTACATCCCTTGGAAGTCACTTTTGTCAGAGGAGGAAGAGCTTGCAACACTGGAGGGTTGTGCAACAGTTGCTGCTGTCTTTTTGTCTGCATCTCTGTGATGATAGTCAGAACACAGACTTCTTGATATTTGGAAGACAGGCTCCTTTTTGCCGGTCCTGGCTCCTGAAAGCTATGTGCAAGCTACTCCATGAACATCCCGCCAGTGTGCTGAGTAGTCAGGGGATGGGTAGCTGCTACTGTGTTAAGAGCTGAAATTGACCAAAATTAACCACAGTTTACTGTTCAACCCTCCCCTGGAAATAGCAAGCCTTTAGTAGACTCCAAAATAATTACATCAGGCAGATTCTTTCAGTGAAATTATTGTCTAGTTGAGGAGAAAGATTTCTGGTGCTTCTTACCTTACCATCTTCCCATAATCATCTTTCTCTATTTATTTTTGTGTGAATGAATGAACAGATTATTTGAGTGCTTGATATGTTTCAGACACTTACTATGCAATCCAGTGTTCAAAAATAAAAGAGAGAGAGAGAGACAATATTCTTGCTTTCATGAAATTTCACTTCCCTGGTAAGAGACAAACATATAAAACAGTCACAAAACTAATGACTTGTAATTCTACAGAGGAGTACAGGGTTTGGAAAGCATACCAGGGGACATGCTAGTGAGTGGCAAGAGAGGAAGCTTCCCAGAAGTGTCTTGTAGTGTCAACCAGGTAAAGAGGAGCAGTAAAAATTTCTAGTTAGAGGGAACAGCATCTGTGAAAGCCTAACATTGGAAGAAACTTGGTGAGTTTAAGAGGTGAATAAACAGAGTTGTGTTAAAGGTGGATGAAATTCAAGATGAAAAAAATGTTTTGTATAAAGTGGTTTTTACCAACTATAAAATGGTTTTTCTAAGAAATGTTTTCCTTTCTCTCCAATTCTCTGACACCTGCTATTTTACCACTCCCTGCTTGAGACTAGATTCCCTGCTGTCTTAAAATCTGTCATTTCATATGAAGTTTTGCAATCCTAGCCATAGATATGCTATGAAAGACTCAATGTCACCATGAGATAGTGTGGTTATTGACCCCGAACAGGAGTGGTCATTTGATTAGGCACACAATTAGCAAGGAGACTATGGCTTTTTAATATCCTTAATTTTTTCTATATTGCATTGGTTAGAAATCTAATTGGTTTACTAAAATGATATGCATATATAGAAGTAAATCTGTTTTAAAAATTATCAAATAAAAAAGTCTTATACAATCATAGAATACAGTATCTTAGAATAAGAGTCTTATAAAGACCTTAAGATATGACCTACTTGAATATGTTCTTCAGCAATGTCTTAGGGATCTACACAGAGGAGGGGAGGAGCTGGGGTTAGGGCAGGGCTCTGTGCTCCATTACCCTCCTCTACCAGCAGAGTTCTAATCATATTGGGTTTCTGTATTTAAGTTCTATACAATGTCAACATCAGTTGAAAAATCTTTTTTTCTTTCATAAAAAGTTTGGAAAACACTCACCTAATATCATAGTTTTACTTAGTGGTGTGCTAGACCCAGCTCTTACCCACTGATGGAAACAAAATGAGCTTATTTCTTCTCTGCTCCATGTTTGCTGACATCATGTTAGTTATTTGAAGTTAGCAAATGCTACAAACAGAGCTTTTATATTTTTTATTTTTTTCTTGAGAGCCAGTGTATTGACCTATAGTTACAAATGAATGTAAAGTAACAGTTCCATGCCATAGCTAGCTAAGGGCATGAGTAGGAAAAGAAAACAGATCTTCTGACCCCTATTCCAGGGCTGTTTCTGAGATACCCAGTATCACAGGAAGGCAAAGGAAATTTGCACTTGTTGCATGCCTACACGTACCAAAGGTACTCATGTAGGTTAGGTGGTTTTATTCTCACAAAGACTCTGAGAAGTTAGAATTCTGTCTCCATTTTTCAGGTGTAGACACTAGTCAGAAAGGAAATTTTTTGGTCCCAAAACATTTATTTATTGAGTGGCAGGGCCACAGTTCTCAGATACATAGATCCAGCTTTTTCCCTTCTACCATACTGACATTTATTTTGTGACCTTGAATGTCACTTCCTTGAACATAAATTTCTTTACTGATATACTTAGAAAAAGGTAATCCTTAGCTACCACATAGGGATTCTAAAACCCAAGTGAAACACTGTGTGTGTGAATACATTTTATAAATTACAAAGTGCTATTAAAATTACATTAGTCTATTACTCATATAAAATATTAAATCATGACACCACTCTGCTTCAATTGCATATTCATTAATAGCAATGAGAAGCAGTTTAGCATAGCAATTAAGGACACAGACTTTATCATCAGACAGGCTTGAGTTGGATCCCATCTTTATCTCTTACCCACTATTCCACTATGTGATTTGGGGCAGCTATGTAACCTCTCTGTACCTCAGTTTCCTCATTTATAAAATGGGGATAATTCTAACTCCTAACTCGTAGAATTTTTATAAAGATTAAGTAATACATGAAAAGCATTTAACATGGTTCCAGGTGAAGTGTTAGCTCTTAAGAAAATTAGTTGGAATTAGGATCATTATCTTACTCACTGCACTCACTTAACCAGCCCCATAAGAAAATTGTCTCAGCTCCCTATTTCTTACAGACACTGGATAGATGACTATTCGTTTATTTTTTAACTAACTTTGAGCTTAATTTGTTTACAAAGCCCTTGACAGTACTTCTCTTTCAATCCATATTTGTTTTGTTTTGTTTTCTGATTTTCTTTCTTCTCTCATCTTCTCTAAGCCATCTGTCTCAGAACTGTGGAAATCTAGCTTTGTCCCTCATGGCTTAAGCATGCTTTTATTTGCCTCCTCTTTCTTCTTTTCCCTCTGCCTTCTTGTCTTCCTTGAGAATTTGTTGACTGACATCACATCCATTTAACAAATAATGATGAGTTAATGATTCACAGTGCTTGAAGTTTCATATGGTAAAAAAAAAGCCTGTATCTTTCATCTTAAAAGCTGTGAAGACATTTCTCTTAAATTTTAAAAGATTCAGATTTAAAAGAGAATTTTAAAGTTGTACATAATTTGTACTTGATTTCTCACCTTTTTTTGTTTTCTATTTCTTTATTTTTTCTGCTTTTTCTCTGGAAGTAGTTGTCAACATCATTTTTTGATTTTGTGTGTGTGAGGTAAAGAGAGATACTGTCATTAAAGCAGCTAGTACACAGTGAGTACTTAGTAAATGTTGGCTGCTATGGTTATATGTAAATATTATGCTGATAAAGACAGCCTGTGCATCTTCTCCAATTCTAACCACAAAACATTATATCCATAAGGGTAAAGTCTCCTGAAATAAATCTAAGTACCTCCGAATGTCTGTGGGAAATCTGATTTAAGGTAGTAAAGCTATCTGAGTCTTAATAGCTGAAGGAGTTTGTTACTTAAATGGCTAGTTTGTTGGTTCATAACATTTTAGGGTACTAGGATCATAGTCTGCTGAAGTGGTAGGTATCTCCATTAAGTCAATGCCATTAACAATTTATTCCTTCTTGAATGTAGACTCCACAATTGGAATTTTAGATTTCGCTACTAATGTGTAATTTACTCTGGAATTTGTAAAAATGCTGTTCATTTTAGCTTCCTGAAAATATGCATAAAAATGCAGCACAGGCCGTGACATCTACTTTTTTTCAATTAAGTATTTGGGTATCTTTTCTATTATCACCTTTTTATACGTCCTGAAAATCTTAGCCCACAATTCCTGAAAATCTTCAGAAATTGCAATTCCATGATCATTGAATCTGTGATAAGATGGTTCATGATCCCTATAGTTACACACAATAAAGAGCAAAGAGTGCTTAGGGAAAAAGCCAGTTTAGTCAAAAATATAAAATTAATGAAACATAAACAAAAGGCCAAATCTATAGGAGGGTCACTGTATTGGTGAGGTTTATTCCAGTTGAACGTTAAGGATGTGATGTTCGAGGCTATACTAATCAGTATAGCTGTTTAAACATTTTCTGTCTTGTGAAACTTAGTCTATAAAGACTAAACCTGATAATAAAATTTAGATGTAAGCTGCATTGGTTGGTAAGCACTTTAGGTATTTAGGCAGGGCATAAAGTAAATACAAAATTTAAGATTAAGATTTATGAGTCAAAATTAACTATAATATAGACATTGCATTATATTAAACTGTCTATTCTACTAGTATTATAATTACCAATACCATCATTTTGGGTACAGTTTTCTGGTCTTCTCTCCATCTTTTATTCCATCATCTAACAATTATTATAGTGTCTACTCCAGCCTAGGCAGTATGCTAGGCGTTGGTGAACACAGATGAACAGAACAGACACTGTGCATTGTTCTCAAGAGCTGACAGTCTAGCTGTACATTCAGATAAACTAAGTGACAACAATAAATAATGGCAAGTAGTATGAAAGGAAAATCATAAGATTTTGGTAGAGAACATAGCAGAGGACTTAACATAGAACTGGGTAAAGAGGGAAGAGAGGGAAGAGAAGTCTTGTGGAAGAAGGGACCTGTCAGCTATTTCCTTCAGCAGTTATACAGGAGGCATAAGGTGCATTCCATTCAGTGCTTTATAATTCATATTAGTAAGACTACGGATTTTTTTCAGTTACATTACTTTTTCCCCTAGCTTCATTGAGATGATTGACAATTAAATATGGTAGATATTTAAAGTGTGCAATGTAATGATTTGATGTATGTATATGTTGAGAAATAATCACCACAATCAATCTAATTAACATAGCCATTACCTCACATAGTTACCATTTTTTCTGTTTGTGTGGTGGGTACACTTGAAATCTCTCTTAGCAAATTCCAAGGACAGAAAGCATTATTATTAATTACAGTTACCATGTTGTCCATTAAGTCTCCAATACCTATTCATTTTGTATGGGATTATTTGTACTCTTTCACCAATATCTCTCCTTATACCCTACCTACCACCCCCTTGTAACCACCATTCTACTCTCTGTTACTTTGAGTCTGATTTTTTTTTTTTAGATTCCACATATAAGTAGAATCATGCAGTATTTGTCTTTCTGTGTCTGGCTTATTTCACTTAACACAATATCCTTCAGATTTATCCAGGTTGTCACAAATGGCAGCAGGATTTACCTTGTTTTTAAGGCTGAACAGTATTGTACTGTGTGTATCAATCACATTTTCTTTAACCACTCATTGGTTGATGGATGCTCAAGTCATTTTCATTTTGTGACTATTATGAATAATGCTGCAAAGAACATGGGAGGGTAAGCATCTCTTCAAGATAGTGATTTTTCCTTTGGATGTATACACACAAGTGAGTTTATTGGATCATATGATAGTTCTATTTATATATTTTTTAGGAATTCCCATGCTGTTTTTAATAATGATCATACCAATTTACTTTCCCATCAGCAATATGCAAGGGTTCTCTTTTCTGTACATCCTTGCCAATGCATATATATATTTTTTGTCTTTTTGATAGTAGCCATCCTAACAGATGTGAGATAACTCATTGTGCTTTTGGTTTGGATATCCCTGATGATTAATGACTTTGAGTATGTTTTCATGTCCCTGTTAGCCATTTGTATGTCTTTGGGAAAATATTCATATCTTTGCCCATTTTTATTCAGATTTTTTCTTACCAAGTTTTATGAGTTCTTAAATATTTTGGATATTAACCCCTTATCAAATATATGGTTTTCTAGCCAGAGCAATTAAGGAAGAAAAAACATAAAAGTCATCCAAATCAGAAAGGAAGAAGTAGAACTGTCTCTGTTTGAGGAGTGTATTAACTTATACGTAGAAAGCCCTGAAGACTTCATCAAAAAAACTGCTAGAACTAATAAATGAATTTCATAAAGTTATAGGATGCAAAGTCAACATACAAAAATCAGATGAGTTTCTCTACACTATAGCAAACTTCCCAAAATAGGAATCAGAAAAACAGTTCCCTAGCATCAAAAATATAACTAGAAATAAATTTAACCAAGAAAGTGCAATATCTATACACTGAAAACTATAAAACATTGGCGAATGAAATTGAAGAAGACATAATTAAATAGAAAATAGCCTATGTTCATAAATTGGAAGAATTAATATTGTCAAAATGTCCATATTACCCAGAGTAATTTACAGATTAAATTCAATCCCTACCAAAATTTCAATGGTATTTTTTATAGGAATAGGAAAACACAAAAATAATAGGAATCACAAAAGACCTCAAATAACTAAAACAATCTTGAGCAAGCAGAACAAAGTTGGAGGCAGCACACTCCCTGATTTCAAATTATATTGTAAAGATATTGTAATCAAAACAGTATGATACTTGCATAAACACAGACACATAAGCCACATGGAACAGAATAGTGAGCCCAGGAATAAACTCATCTGTATGATGTGTGGTCAACTATTTTTTAACAAAGATGCCAAGATTACATAATGGAGAAAGGATAGTCTCTTCAATAAATGATATTGGAAAGTTCAGACTTTATCCTGTGAGAGATGGGAACTAAGAGTGAAACCTACACTGTCTAAAGATTAAAGAGTACATTGTCAAAGGGCTGAATGAGGGAGATTGGAGGCAGAGACAGTAAATGATTGTCCAACCCAGATGATTGATAATAGAGGCCTGGATTCAATTAGTTTTAAGAGAGGATCCATTGAAGAATTGTTATTGAACATTGTTTTCTTACTTAGGAAATAAACTAGAATGACATAGTTTTGCTATCTAGAGTTACAACAATGAGTCTGGTCTGTAAATGTACCCTCTAAATCATAAGAATTAATTGTGATAATTAAGTCACTGGAAAATGGCAAAAATAAGGGTAGAATTTGGTTGGCTTTGAGTGTAAACACTTGCTACCAAAGCGTACCTATTCTGAATCTATTTAAATATCAACTAATGGGGTGGCTCACAAAATAGATAATTTAGTAATATCTGCTAATATTTGAAGATTTGGTATGTAAGAGCACAATAAGCACTCGATGCATGTTAGGTATGGTTATGTATATAAGAGCCACTTTTACTGAGATTATTTTGTTAAGGCCTTGCACAACCATAGGAGATGGCTGCTGTTCTACTTTACAGAGGAGAACTCAGGGATAAGACAGTTTAATAACAGGATCTTCTGATGAAGAAGACAATAATCCAGACTGCCAAATTCCACACTAGAGCCAAGAAATTCTAACTTCTACAAATCACAAACATGATCGCAATTTCAAAAGTTTTGCCTTACACAGTTTTCCATAACTGAAGGTTAAGAATACCTTCAGGTTAATGGTGTTAAAACTAAAAGGCTATAGTTTCAAAATTACATAAAGTATTCACATGATGTGTTGAAATGCAGTGAACTCCAAAAATCTTTCCAAAACCCCAAATATAGTTTTTCAGTGTGGAAATGTTCTGTGTTTTGATTTTGCTCTTAAAAAGCAGAAATTGTGTTGATACTAATCATGTCACTACAAAATGATGTTTGACTTCATCTTTTACGTTGAGCTCAAGTACTGCTGTGGCTCTTGTAATAATAGAATATTAAAGTGTTTCTTTAGGATAAAATACTGATGTACGATAAGATCTTAGTGAGAGAGGATGAATGAAGTGGCTCAACACCCATGATCTCTTATAAATGTGACAAATGGCATGGGTAGAGAATTGACCCATTTATCTAACTGTAAACCCTTGCCAATTCATTATTCTATATGCTATGTCTGGGAATTTGAAGATATTATAGTAGTTATTTATGAGCAAGTCTCTTTCCTTGGAGTTCTCACAGAATGTCTTTCACAAGTTCAGTGAAGAGACTTAGAAAGCTGATTCTATCAACTCAGCAAGAGAGGTTCTATCTCTCAATGATAGACTCACACATTAACCAACTTCATGAGATTGATGTCTAAATTAGAAATACAAATTTTTAAATTTAGCATGAGAAATAGTATCACATGCATAGGAATAGCTAAATCTTCTCTTCCTCTAAGAAGATCTATGCAACAAGAAGGAACATAATGAAAAGGATAATTAATGCATTTAAACTCAGAAAAAGGAGAGTTAGATAAAAAGGATTCTTTAATGGCAGCAGGCTAAGTCAGCCCAACAGGTATAATTTTGTCAGTGGTACTAGAGACAGTGAAAGTCCTCCCCACAAAGTCTTGTAAGTACCTTGAGGATAAGGACCCTGTTTTGTATCTATCATATCTCCAATCCCTGGAACAGACCAACCACTCACTAAATATGAGGAGAGTTCATTGGCTAAGACTCCTTTATTCAGTGCTTGAATGAACTCTTCGTACTTTTTTATGGCTCTCATTCCTTCTATGCATCCATGAATGACCTCTTTTTTTTTTTTTTTTGAGACAAAGTCTCACTCTGTCACCTAGGCTGGATGGAGTGAAGTGGAGTGATCTTGGCTCACTGCAACCTCTACCTCTCGGGTTCAAGTGATTCTCCTGCCTCAGCATCCTGAGTAGCTGGGATTACAGTTGTGTGCCCCCTCGCCTGGCTCAGTTTTGTATTTTTAGTAGAAATGGGGTTTCACCACGTTGGCCAGGCTGGTCTCGAACTCCTGACCTCAGGTGATCCGCCTGCCTTGGCCTCCCAAAGTGCTGGGATTACAGGCATGAGTCACCGCATTTGGCCTCTTGGATGACCTCTTAAATGGCACATTCTTTCGTTAGATGTGCCAGCATAGTTGAGTTGGAGTCTGATATGCTCATCAAGTAGCCAATCTGTCTCTTTATGCTTTTTATTTCTGTTTTTGTCAATTTCTTTCTGCTTTTTGGCGGGGAGAATCAGGGCATGCCAATAAAGCCCCTATGTGCATTTTACATGAAATATATTTCTTTGTATCTATTACATCAGCACTCCATCCTAAGATACGATATAATGCAGCTCAGCCAGACTGGCCCAGTCTGTTGCTTCTAACAGTTTCTGCTAATTATGAGAGATGAGGCTCAGGATGTTAAAACTGTGTTGAAGTTGATCAAACTGGAAGCCTTGGGGAAAATCCCTTACCATTAAACCCTACAATCCACTGAAAATACAGGAATGTTTTTCTTCAATTCATTCCAGCAGATATTTAATGAGCACTTGATCTGTTAAGTGCAGGGTTAAAGGCAAATGAGACCATTTTTGCCTGCCTTTAACTTGGAATAACATTCTGTTTTTGGACTCATATTTTAATTTTTTAATAGCCTTATCTATTTACATTTAGTGTTTATTCACTTACCACTTAGGAATGCTAAAAAGGACTTCCTCATTGCTTAAGAAGAAGTAAGGAGAGAAGTAGGTAACCAGATAATGCATCTTGAAACACAAATTGTATTTTAGGAAGTGAAGCCCCAGCAGTAATTTCCCATAGTGAGTGAAGAGGTGATACAGTGAATCATCTCCTAGAATCACAATCTTTGCCCTACGAGGCAGCTAGGTATCAGAAAATGGGAATCTTTTGCCCAATTCCTCTATTACCTATCTGTGTGATTTTGACCATATCACGTCTTCTTTTCAGTTTTCAGTTGTCTCATACAAGTAATGAAAAGGTTGGACTTGATGACATATTATTTCCTTTTACATCAGAATACGCTACAGCTCACCAGTTGAGAGATTTAAAATTATATAAAGTTATTTTCTCTGCAATCCATTGCGGAAAGGATATCAGGAATTACTAGCAATGTTCATTATTAGTGAAATAATATTTATGAAGCAACTACTATGTGCCAGCCACTGTGCTAGTTGTGGATTTGCTCAATTATGTCTCTTTCACATATCTAATAAACCCCTTATAAAGATAAATCATTTGAAATGTATAATGATGAATTATTTGTCTTTGACAGCCTTTGATATGTGTGTGTGTGTGTGTGTGTGTGTGTGTGTGTGTGTACAATTGTTGGGTTTTAGGGTTGGATTTTGAGGCTTGGTCTTTAGTATTAACCAGCACTCCTCATTCAAGAAGTTTACCATTAGCTTGGAATTCCTGCACCCATCAGTTGTGTCTTGTACCACTGAGCACTGATATGATTGCAAAAATAAAGATGAGTGATGCTATGCATTTTTTAAGCACAGGTCTTATTTATTTCTGCCAGTAACTATGGAGTGCCTATCATGTAGTCTAGCTTCCTTTTATTGATCAATAAATTTTATTTCCAAATAAAAATGTGATATTTCAAGAGCTTACTTATAAGAAGCTATAATGCAATAAGAAATTATGGACCAGAAAGAACGTTAAAAGAATTGGTCAGTGTTTTTCACTGAAAAGAAACAGAATACATGGAGCCATCTATTCAGCTCTATCAGTATTTGCTTTGTGCTCTTTAATTAATTTCTTTTAAAAAGGTATGTTTGCAATACATTTCATTACTAATCACACTAAATTAATTTTCAAATGTATGAGTTCCTTCTGAAAGTAATGACTTAGTTTGAGAATCCCTCATTGTGTACCATGTATATATTTGAATTTCCGAAACAGAAGATGACTTCAGCTTAGACGCTGTGTCTGGCCAATAGAGATATTCTCAAAATGTTTGGGTCACTGTTTTGTCACTGAGCCAAACTTCCTGGTCCAGATTCATTCCACAGAAATGTCTCTTCAAAGTCAGTCAGATAATTTTGCCCTTGGCCATGGAAAAATAGCATTGGATTTACTCTGTTTTGAAGAGCCAGAGCAGAGTGAGTGTCACTTCCCATCAGGTATTATTTATGAAATGAACTCTCAAATGAAAGGCTGGCATCGTGCTACTGCCCTAATCATCTGCCATTAGTTTAAGTCTAACTCAACTGTTTTGGGCTTTCATAGAATAAATAAATACGGTTTCTATCCTTTGCCTAAATATTGCCTCATAATATTTCTAAAAAACAAATTAAAAACAAAAACAAAAACAAAAACGGCTGGGCGCAGTGGCTCACGCCTGTAATCCCAGCACTTTGGGAGACCAAGGTGGGTGGATCAGGAGGTCAGAAGATCGAGACCATCCTGGCTAACATGGTGAAACCCCATCTCTACTAAAAATACAAAAAAATTAGCCAGGCATGGTGGTGGGCGCCTGTAGTCCCAGCTACTCGGGAGGCTGAGGCCAGAGAATGGTGTGAACCCGAGAAGTGGAGCTTGCAGTGAGCCGAGATCGCACCACTGCACTCCAGCCTGGGTGACAGAGCGAGACTCCGACTGAAAATAAATAAACAAATAAATAAATAAATAAACAAATAAATAAAAAACCTTCTCTGGGCACGATGCTGAAGTGAGTCTTTGGTATTTTGTCATCCATAATCCACCTGATACTTTAATCTACCCACCACCTTTTCTCAATTTCCTAATAACCCTACACAGCCATTCTGGTAAGATGGAGGTGACCCTTTCTTTTTGCCTCCAGGGTTGTTATAGGAGCCAAATAGGATCAACATGAGGACACCATTCTCCTGGTCACATGGATGAGCATGTGGCTCAATCTGGAAAATATCTATTTTCCCAGGGAAAGTGAGCATGTGACTACCAATGGGTGTCTTACCACCCAAAGGAGAGAGCAAAACTGTGGGTGAAGCCTAGAGAAGAAGAGGGAGATAGAGTCTTGATTACATTTCAACTGTTACTCCCAGTCCTGCCTTCACATCCACTTCTTGGCTTTACAGTTTTATGATTGAGTACATCTCTCCCCCCATCCTCTTTTTTCCTTAGGCTAATTTGAATGAGTTCCATCTGCTGTAACCATAAGGGTCCCGATGAACGCCTCTTTTCAGGCTTTTGCTGTAACTGCTCTGTGGCCCTCTCTGTATGACCTTACTGTGTTACATCAGACTACCCCACCCTCCACCCCAAGTCAGTGGCACAACAGACCACACTCCCTATATTCACAGCCTAGCTTGTATTTCAGGCCTTACAGATTTTGCCTGACAACTGACTCGGTAATTTCTCACAAGTCTTTTGGATAAATGTACGAATGGCTTATTAGTTTTTGAGATTGTTTACATCTTATGAGACAAGTTGGTTTCCTAGTACAATACAATATTTTAACAGGTCAGAAAGAGTAAATGAGATCTAAAAAGTCAAGATATAGAAAGTTGGGTTATATGCATGTTCCTGTACTTGGATTTTTTTTTTAAACCTGCATTTACTTACTTAAAAATATCTATTGTGTACTTCCTACAAGCTAGGCATGGTGTAAGGAGTAAGACACAACCTGGGGAAAGCAGGCTGGGTCTCTGCCCTCATGGAGAACATTGTCTCTCAGGAAAGATTGACATGAATCAGATAAAAATACAAATATGTATATACAACTAAAATAAGTGCTAGTCTATAGGCTTATATAACAGGGGACTGTTGGGTCTCAGGGTTCAGGGAGAAATAAATTCTAGAGGAAGTGATAATGGAGGTTACATTTAAAGGCTGAATAAGAGATAACTGCATGAACACAGGCAATTTCTAGGAAACAGTAATATCTGTCCAGAAGGTGAGAACAGCTTTTCTTCAATCTCCTAAAGTGGAAAGATACATGATTTATTTGAAGGATTAGAAGAATGAGGGAGTGGCAGCAGATGAGGCTAAAGAAGTGTGTGACAGACCAGTTGAGGGTTGCTGCTGTTCCCTTTTAGGCAATGGTCAGCCATTTAAAGATTTGAGGTCAAAGAGTTGTGCAATCAGATTTATGTTTTAAAAGATCCTGTAACTTAGTAATCTTAAGTCTGGCTCACATTGGAATCATCTGAGGGGATTAAAAAATACTGTTGCCTGGTGGCCATCTGATTCTAATAGAATCAAAACCTCTGGGGTGGGACCCTGGCTCTAGTCAGCTTAAAAGCTACCCCAGGTGATTCTAATATAAATCTAGGCCTGAACATCATCGACATAAATGTTGTGGGAGATGAGGTTAATACTAGCACCTGTCATAGAGTGGTCCAAGCTGACATGACTCACTATGACTCCAGGTTACTACCTCCAAACCTAATATGTTCATGGATTGCATCAATAGAAGTATAGCTTCTGAATGAGAGAAGGAGTTGTTCCTCCTCTCTTTGCGTTAGATCCAGTGTACCTGCAAAGTTTGTTCACTTCTCAGCACCACACTCAAGGAGGAAATTAAGGAAACTGAAATATTCCCAGGAAAAAAGCCAATCAGGTGACAAAGGGAATCTGAAACACGATGGAGAGAAATGGTCGAGTAGCTCCAGATATGTTTAATCTACAGTAAAAATATCCTTTGAAAAGGATAATGTAGGAATCTCAGTTTTCAAGTAAGTCAAAAGATGTTATTTATTCAATGGGTAAAAATGAGGGTCTACTATATACCCATCCTAGACATTGGAAAAATGGCAGAAAATGAAGTAGACAAAAATCCTTGCCCGCATGGAGCTTATATTCAAGTGAAGATTGAAGTTTTCTGGTTCATATGATCTTCAGTATCATAATTTTTAACCGACTTCTGTGATTAGCAACCATAGAATATGTGATAGGGAGACATATTTTAGTTGTAATTTTAGAACATTAAAAGTGGAAGTCTGTGAGAAGCAAAGAGGTCACCATGTATGGAAGGATTCCAGCAGGCACAGCCATTGCAGAGGGGATTCAGGAATCTAATGGTAAGAATAAAAAGGTGTAATAGGAAGGAGACTGATGAGGAGTCCTTTGCAAAAGTGAGAACCGAGTACAGTCCTATCGTATTAAATACTAGCAGTGCCTACATAGTTTGAGCATTTACTGTGTGCCATGCATTTCGCTAAGTGATTATCACACATTATTTCACGTAATCCTCATAACACTCATATAGGTGGAAAGAATAAAACTGTCAAATTATACTTTTTAAAAAGTTAAAAACATGACATATAAATATGAAAAGCAGATATGTCAGATATTTTACTTGACTCCTTAATTAGTGGGGGAATTGGTGTGATGGTAAGACTGGTTCCAAGAACATTTGAGGAGCTCATTATTTATAGGTTTGTTAACAAAGGGATGCTAGCAGAGACTACATTAGGTACAAGACTGGTAATGTCCTGGAGGGCAACAAATCATCACATTTGAGGTTATTTTCTCTACTGGAAAGAAATTATTTGCATCTTTATCAGATAAAAGTCTCCAAGTTAACATGTACCTGTAATAAATCTGGAAATGTTTTTCAATAGCAAACTATCTTCAACAAATGACATTCCCCTTAAATACTTCTTGAGAGGGCCTGTGAAACAATTCCCGCATATGATATTGAAAAAAAAAAGACTACCTTTTGGCTATATTTTTCAAGTTTTGCATAACATTTCTTAACATTAGAAGAATTAAGTATGTTTTCAGGATTTTCTAGCTAGCAGTTATAAAGCTGGGTCTCAAACTGAGATCTCTCCAGATGCCCACATTGAAATGAGCCACATAACAAGTCTTTGGGGAGACATGAGGGCAGGGTCTCGTGAATCATATCAGCATTGTTTGATTAGGGCTGAGTATCAGCTTGAGTTTTTTTTAAATTGATTACCAGAACATTCAAGATTAACTTCTTCAACTATTTAAAACTTCTTTTTTTTTTTCCCTGAAAAGAAGCAGGGCATAAAACGTGAATAATAAACAATAAGCGGTTCATTAGCAATTTGCTACCACTGGCTCTCAAAGACTGTGGAACCCCACGTAGAAGTCTGATTCTTTAGAATTTGCAGCAGCTATTTTCTCTGAAAGATTTCTTCCTCAACTTGTGGGATTTTATTTTGCTATTATTGTTAATTTAGGACGTTGCCATTTCCAAACATGAACATTGTAATTGTTAATAGTCTTCTATTTATAGAATGATAATTTTGAGCTCTTAAGGTATAAAGCCCAGTTCTCTGGAATGACACTTTGTTCAGCCTCATGTAACTGACTGCAGATTTGATCTCACTGTTTTTCTTTTCTGTGAGTTAATCTCAAGGAAAGACTTCAGTGTTATATTTAGGGAATAAATGGAAAGTAGCGGTATAGCTGGCTTAATGTTCCAATAAGGCTTCAGGACAGTTCTCCAAGTTTAAGGTGACAGGCCCCTATTACATAAAGTTAAAGCAGCAGAAAACTAGCCACTCAAATACTTTATTCTAGAACTCACACTAGATGGGAGAGTACAATTTGGCTTTTAGGTTAGAGAAAAGGTTTGCATTTTGCTCCATTAAAAAAAAAAGTAAACTGAAATGTATTTATAGGCAGTCATAAACACTTTACACAGATTATCTCACTGAATCCTTAACAATTCTACCAGTAGATTCTATTATGGTTCCCATTTCACAGATGAGGAAACAGATCGAGAGAGGTTAAGCAAGCTGACCAGGGTTTATAGTCAGTAAGATGCAGAGCTAAGATTAGACCCAGGCTATCTGATTAGAAGGCTAGATGATATCACCTTCCCAAATTATGCTGCAGTAGAGAAAGCAGATAGAAAAAGAGAGCACCAATCCCATTTCTAGCTTCAGCTCTGGTATTAACTGTCTTTAAAACCCTGGACAAGTCATCTCATTTGTCTGGGCCTCTACTTCCCTCTGTAAAATGAAGGGTGGAAACAATTTGGATTGGATGATCTCTGGGGTGTCTCCAACTCCAAAGATCTGATTCTGTAATTGCATCTTGACCTTAGATGTGCACACACACCTCCCCACACCGCCTCCCACCCCACTGCTTCCCAAGGCGAAAATCTAATCCTGCTCAAAGTGCCCAGTGTAATTTGATGCTAAACTCACGACCCCACCGAATCCTATTACTTACAACATCCCCTCAAGAACATACAACACTTAAAATCTGGCAAGCCAGTTCTTTAGAATAAGTTGCCAATGGGGTGTGATTTTTGGAAGTAAAATGTTAATACCAAAAACAGAAAAAAGAAACAGTTCAAAACAAATGCTCCTCTCTCTTTAAATCACCTCTTTTCTACAATGTTACCTTGACAACTTTGCTCTGGCTCTTTAGATATGGGGGTTTTTCAGTGTGGGAGAAGAGGGGTGTCCTCCTGTTTTGAGGTTTCCTCTTGTTGCATGGAAAGGGAAAATGTCAAAGGTAGAGCATCAAATCCAGCAGAATGTACACAGGGCATCTTGAGGGAGTGTCATCCAGAAATAATCACAGGTGCACAGAATTAGGACGCATTCTGATTCAAAGTACATTCTTTTCTCTTTTCTATTTTCCATAACCATAACACACATTCCAACAGCCTATAAAATGTTACATTTTTGGACCAGCACTGTTGCAGAACAGAGAGCAACAAAAGTGCCTGAAAAATAATTGCATTATTTTTAGTTGCTGCAGCAAAAAATGTACATATCAGGTTGAGGGGACAGCTCCGAAGAACTGTACCAGTGTGGAAATGCTAAAAATATTGCTCCCCCTCAAGCAATTGAAATTTTGAGCAAAGATTTAGGAAGCGGCAGGTAGGGAGATCAAATTAGAATTTACATCTCTCAGCTGTAATAAGCTTGTTATCAGGACTGGCAAGAGCTCAGGGGGCTGACAGGGGTCAGCTGGGGACTCAAGTGTAAGGAGCAAGTGAAAAAGGAGCAGTGTTGAGCAGAAGAAAGAGAGGACTTATCTCCAGCATCTAGCACTACAGAGCAGAGGCTGTGTGGAGAATGGCTGAAAAATCAGAATTGGTTGTAGAAGCAGTTTTCTTTCTGGTTGTGAGTATGAGCCCGGCAGACACCATGAGCGCTGTTGCAGGGGAGTCGGCCTGTGCTTGACACATGTGTTTCCCATTGATAGCTGGAGACAGCCCAGTAGCTGTGAGTCGGTCTGACAAAGCCATATTGAAGTACGGAGTACGGTTTCAAAGCAGTCAGAAAAAGAACGGGAATGCTGTTCAGGAAATTCTTCAGGCATGGGCAGGGACTTGGCTGCAGTTCTGCAGTTGGAAAATCTGACTGGGGCAGCTTCTGAGCGCAGGCTGGGCCTGCACACACTCAGCGGGCCGAGTGGCCACCTCCTTCAGAGCTGCTCAGCACGCCCTGGGATCGCGGGCGGTTTTCATCGGCCGGTTTGTGAAACGGACAAGAGAGGTAGGGTACTGTTCAGTTCTTGCGTTTGCACGCGTCTGTTCACTTTCTAAGCTATCTGCCTGCTGTATTTGCAGGCACTCCGAGTTTTTAGTGTGTGCATGTGTGTGTGTGTGAATTAGCAAGTTAGAACTCCGTCATGTAAACAGTTGGCATGGGGCTCCAATCTGTGCTTTTCCCCCTTTAAGGTCTGATTTTCAGCAGGGCAGAGAGACTTCTTTTGAAAGTTAGGATTTAGCTGGCAACGTTATTGTGTAAAGAGGAGTATGTGAATTCCTTATGTTGTCACCCTGCTCCAACCATCTGTAACTTTTCCTTTCTGCGTGGAAGGGCCGTTCACTGGCAAGGAAGATAATTTCAGATGAAACTGTCTGTGTGTTTTGCTTCACTTCGCAAGAGTTTTAATGGGGAGTTTTTTGTTGTTGTTGTTTTTTAATAGTAGAAAATGGCTCTCATTTTAGGAGGGAATCAGAGTTTGAAGTTTCTACGTTGGATGACACTTTCAGAGTGTCGAAACAGATATGTGTGTATGGGTTTCTAAAATCTTTTATATAGGAGTTTGACTGTCATTATCTGGGATTTGACTGTCAGTGATATATTTGCCTAGAATTATGCTGGATCAACATTTGTAATTCTGTTTCTATAATCATTTCCAATTTTCTCACTTGAAGTAATTTGCAGTTTTACTCTCAAAAAACACTTCTGTATTTTAGGAAACATAGATAATAAAAAAGTAACAGAAAATGGCAGTTTACTCAAAATTCTTCTTAAAGGACAGAGACATGATGGTGTGAATTTTATTTCATTGATCTCTTGGTTTTATTTTACACCTTACTGCAAAAGAGCTTTTTATAAAAATCAAAGTTTTAAAAATTTTCAGCACAACAGGGATCTTAGTGTTCCTCTTCAGTTTTGGTTCTTCTTTATCAACTCTATTGCAGTATAGATTTTTTCCTCTCATAGGAAAGCTATACCTTGTTTTATGTACAGCATTTAGAAAACACACAGTACAATGTCATTGCATTTGAGAGACTGGTTCAGCCCAAAGCCGAGCTAAACCTTACAACTGCTTTACAATTACTAGCACAGCAATCTGTGACAACATTGGTTTTTTCCGAACGGGGCTTGGCCAAAAGTCTGGTTGGGGAGATGGATGAATGAATGGAATCTTGGATACTTCTTGAGTAGCTGAAGAGTGACTAGACCTCTTAGGGTGGATCTCTGTGACAACAGGTGTGCATTTACTTGTGTCCTACAATCTTTAAACAAGTAGCTAATAGAAGAGCCTGAAGTTAATGCTGAAAGAAAAGTGGAGAGCCAGCATTTCTCATTGCTTCCTCTGCATAAGACCTAGAATGAGAAGGCACACATTCTGTCCTGTTGGTAGAAGGTCAGGATTTTCAGCCAGCGATTTTCTTTTTTCTTCCAAGTGTTGTACTTGGAGGAGGGACCTGGGACAGGACTGGCAGCAGGATATCTTTAAGAGATGGTTCATGAACATTTTCTTTATTAGTTTCATCTTCGTGTTGGGGTGGTGTGGGGAGGGTTTGGGGACTGCAGGGCTTGAGGAAAGGAAGGGGGTGTAGTTAGAAGTCAGGATGGACTGTGACCTTATTTTTTTCTCTAAAGTGCCTAATGAGTGAGAAAAATGCCAAGACAGATTAGGAACTGGCATGAACCGTAGTCAAGCCCACTGCCAATGAAAAAGGGAGCCTTCCATGAGCTCGGGTGTCATACTCCTCTATATTTAGCGTGCGTCAAGCATTGAGCAGAAGAGGCGTGAAATAGCAACTCCAGGTTGCAGGATTATAAAGAGCAGTGCTTGAAACTTGGTAGAAACTCTATAGTTTCTCTCTTTTTTAGAAGTAAAGTAGGGAGAAGTCAAGCTCTCTTGACATCTGAAGAGAAAAAGTAAGCAGCGGAAGGGGGAAGGATACAGAGGAAGAAATCCAGGACAGAGGTGGAGGCAGTGAAGGGAGAGGAATGGCCACAACACAAACTGGGCAGTGAGGGTGGAGGGAGGAGCCCTTGGCACAGGAATGAAACACATGTATTAGAAATAGCCAAAGCCACCAGGCACTGATTTGTTGGACTGGAGGTGTGCAGATACTCAGTGGCCTTGGTGAAGAGAATTGTTTTAGCCACTTCACCACAGGAGACTGCATGGTCAGCCTGCCCTGCCTTCTGGAAGTAATCAGAAAGCACATTTTGTAAGAATGGCATTGCCTGAGGGTTCAGATTTCCTAGGCAAGGAGGGGGCAGGCTCTTCAGACCTTATTTTTAACCCATATTTGTTCCTTGCAGAGACATTACTGCCGGGAGTGTTGAGTGAAGGGACCAGGTGGAGATGGTGAGTAATTCCCGGGAGCGAAGCTTGTTCAAGGCCCTGCTCATGGTCATTTTATTATTAACATAAACTTTTGAAAAAGAGAACAAAGTGTTATATATGCCTTATCCTGATGAAGACATTTCTTTAATTTTACTTTTTTATTTTAAAAAATCTGCAGGCCAGGCACGGTGGCTCACGCCTGTAATCCCAGCACTTTGGGAGGCCGAGGCAGGTGGATCACGAGGTCAGGAGATGGAGACCATCCTGGCTAACACGGTGAAATCCCATCTATACTAAAAATACCAAAAATTAGCCGGACATGGTGGTGGGCGCCCGTAGTCCCAGCTACTCGGGAGGCTGATGCAGGAGAATGGCGTGAACCCGGAAGGTGGAGCTTGCAGTGAGCCAAGATGGCGCCACTGCACTCCAGCCTGGGCGACAGAGCAAGATTCAGTCTCAAAAAAAAAAAAAAAAAAAAAAAATCTCCAAGGGCACATACTACATCGTTGGTTGTACATGTGTTGAGCTTCCCAAATCCAAAAATCTGAACTCTGAAATGTTTCAAAATTTGAAACTTTTTGAGCACTGACATGATGCTCAAAGGAATTATTTATTGGAACGTTTCTGATTTCGGATTTTCAGATTTGGAATGCTGAATGGTAAGTATAATGCAAATATTCCAAAAATCCAAAAAAATCTGAAGTCAGAAACACTTCTGGTTTCAAGCATCTTGGATAGTTTCCTAAGCCACGTCTGACGAACGTGCTGGTACTGGGGGCAGAAGTGGGGTTGAGAGAGGGAGGAAAGGTAGAGGTGGTCAGAAATCTTAGGTCAGGTCCTGGCTCCATTCATCTTCAGATCTCAGGTTTCCTATCTGTAAGATGATCTGATACCTCTGAATTGTTTTCTGTTTTCACAACCTATGATTTTTGTAATCCTGAGGCTCTTCCTTTTCTTTAAGAATAACTCTTAGTCTGTCTCCCTTAAGGCTGGGTGTCTTGAGTCATTTCACCCATTTCTCCATCTTTTCCTGCACTCTTTCTTTACTCTTCTTTGAACATATTTCAGTGAGCCTTCTCCTGACAAAAACTATGGCTCCTTGAGCTCAACTTAGTCATCTGAACAATGCACATTCCATGGTGAGGACTTCATACATGTGTTAACCGAAAAGGAAGAGGGTGATTGTAGGGAGAGGAAGCACAGCAAGAAAGAAAAAAATGGAAGGTGGTATCATCTTGCTGTGGAAGAAAAGTGGTTATATTGTGAACTGAGCTCAGGGTCTGCCTCAAACGAAGACTGGGGTCCTGGCTGTGTGGCCATAGGCAAGTTACATCATCTCCAAAATGTGTCCCAATTTCCTAATCTCTAAAATGGACAAGACAAAAGTATCTGCCTAATAGTGTGTTGTGAGATTGTACAGATAATGCACTTAGCATTGTCTTTTGCACACAGTAAGCACTTAAATATGTCAAATATATTAATACATATAGTTAAGATGAACTGAGATAGCACCAGGCAAATCAACAAAGAGTGAAAAAGGTAGAGCAAGGTAAAACAAAGAGTTCAAACAATCAGCAAAGGAAAGGATGTTTTACTCTGAATTATCTGGGTTACTTTTCCTGTGTTGCCCAAATTTCTCTAGAAATTCCACATTTCCCTTTGTTTCACTTTTCTTGCCACACAGAAAGGTCTTCATTATTGTTTCAAATTCCTATTGCAGAGTGTGAACTGCCTCATACAAAGGAAACCATGTAAGCTGTAGCCTCTGACCTGCCTCTCAGACAGGTCTGTAGGACTGGGGAGGAACATGTCACCGTGGTTCACTTAGTATATAAATCCTGTGAGATTGGTTTGCTCAGAAAGCTTTGTTGGTGGTTGTATTAATGGAGCTCAGGATGTGTAGGAGGATATGGATGCAATCACTTTATTCTTCTTTTTCACTGATAAAGCAATGGCACCTATTAGAGCAAGCACAATTCCCTGATAAAAACTATATTGCCAGGGATTAGAAACTCCCTCCTTGCTCAGACCACTTTTCCTTGCCAGAGTGATAGGATCAGACTGTCTTGTGAGCACCTTGACTTCCAAATAATATATTGTGAATGCCTGGAAACCCTGCTGTTACTTGCTGGAGTTGACATATTCAGCCACTGAAACTATTCATTGAGTTCAGAGTAAATAAATACCAGGGTAAGCTCCTCTCTCCGAACGAATCATTCGACAAAATCTTGTACTAACCCTCATTGGGGTTGTGATATTGGCACTGTGTATTCAATGAAAGAAAATTGTTCCAGGATAAGGACAGCGGGGAACAGAGCCACGCTGTGTTCCTTTCATTCCTATCGTTACCTATGGTTGACTTCTCTCCTCTCTCTTATTCTATAATCTTTCTAGCCCTTTCGCTCTTTCTTTATTGGGTTCCATTCACCCTTGCAAGTTTCTTTTCTCTTTGTTATTTGTTCAGTGTGTGCTTACCAAAGTCCTTATCTGCTTCCCTCAGGGGTCAGGAATATTGGTAATAGGCCAGTGTCTGGACAGCATAATTTTTACCAGGTAGTGAGAAAGATTAACTCCTAGCATTGGCTGAGACCTTCAAAAGTTTGCGTCCCCACCCCTCTGATGTTACCAGGCTGCTGATACAAACAGCAGGTCATAAACCGGCAACCCAAAGGCTTGGACTATAGGTACATTTTGGTTCACAAAGTGTTTTTTTGTTTGTTTGTTTTAATTGACTTATGAAATATTTAAACATCTTAAGATATCATAATGTTGATCTTCTAGAAAAAGCTGAAGATGGGCATTCCCTATGTAATTTCTTGGGCACAGTGGCTGGTGGCCTGTGGTCAGCTCCTGTCCTTTTGAGAGGGCATATGCCTACCTCATTCATTGACCCCGCTATCTGACCTGTACATGTTTACATTTGTCTGCTCTATTTTTCTAGAGTTTCTCAACTGAACCAAAGAAAGCAGACGGTTATTTGAGTGACCATGTTCTCTGTTCTCTCAAGGGTGGTGCATATTCTAGACACATAGGAGAGAAGTTAGGGCATAATTAAGTTGTGGCTTCATTCTCTCAGAGAACACTGTTGAGATGGTCTAAGTCTCTGTTGAGCAGAGTCGCAGGAGGACAGTATGGTGGCCAAGAATCCAGACCTCAAAATTAGAACCACCTCATCGGATTATAGCTAAGACTGAAAACATTAAATGTGATAGATATCAGAATACTCACAATCTCTGGGGAAGGGAATTGATTAAGAGGAGTAATAAGAGAATTTTCTCGGGTGATAGAAATGTTCCCTCTCCTGTTTGAATATTGTTCCCAAAGATGTTCAGATTTGTAAAACTCATTGGGCTATGTAGCTAATATCTGTTTGTTTTACTAGAAGTAAATTATTCCTCAATAGATGTACATACATATATACATATCTACATGAAAGCATGCAAAGTGCTTAGAAAAATGCATGCTGTTTAGCTATTTTTATCATACTTGTTTCTAGAAACTTTGATTTAAAAAATATGTAAAATGACCAAAAACGAGATGAGCATTTCCTTTCCTACCACAGGTTTCATTGCAAGCATTTGAGAGCGCAGGTAATAGCTAAAGATTCTTGCCAAACACAATTGTCAAGGGAGAATCTACTGGATCAATTCTAATTTTATGAAACTATTGAATCACTATAGAAGGATGTGCCTAATTTGTTGTAGCTGCTTTTCATGATGCTGTAAAAATTTATAGGTTTTAGAGACATATCAAAGATGGTTTATTACCTGGGACAAAATGCCTATACTTAGAGTAACTTTCACTCTGGCTGGAATACAGTAGTCACTCAATAGGTATTCAATAATATGTCTTAAAATTAATATCCATATTAAGAACTTCTAGCTAATACAATCACAAAAATATTGTTTTTATTAGTAATCACATTGTTATAATCAATTATTCACATATATCTAGAAGCATTTAATATAAGAAATGAGAGAACAGGTTTTCCAGCCAAACACTCTGGATTCAAATGCTTGCTATGCCTTTAACAAGCAAAGAGATTTGGGGTAGATTACTTAACCACTCTTTCTCATTGGCTCAACTGTAAAATAGAAATGATTGTGAGGCAGGTACTAATTATATGTCTGTGAGGATTAAATACATGTAGAACAATGGCTAGTACATAGTACCATTATACAAGTGTTTGTCATTTATGTGTGCTTTCTTTATGTTAGAAAAGTGATTTTTTTTTTTTTTTTTTTTTTTTTTTTTTTTTTTTTGCTATTTGTCTCTAAGTATTGCTCAAAATCTGTGTGTAGATGGTTGGTGAAAGTAATGTGAAACCAGGAGTTCAAGCGGAAAAGACAGAAACCTAGAATTTATGGGAAACATACTGGTTTTCAGTTTAGCTGACTTTGGTTTTTTTTTACTGCCTTACTCTGTGACGTTGATTAAGTCACTTCACCTCCCTGAACCTTGTTTTATTGTCTGTTAAATAAGGATTTGGATTTTATATTGTCCATGTTCCCTTTAGGCCTTGTGTGTCACTCTGATCTCAAGTGTTTGAGTCATGTTCATTATTATTTTATTACACAGCTTGGTCCCCAAGTCACAGAAGAGCTGTAGTAGCTTGACTCCTATTGTCATTATCTGGTTCTGGTGGGAATCATCCATGGGGTTTTAGAAAGCACCGATCTTGTACAACACAAAGTAGCTGGTTTGCTAAGAGTATCTGCCACTACTATTAGGAAAGCTAACCATAGAAGTGGCCATGATGGGGTAGATACAGCATCCTTTGCATGTGAAAATGACACCATTAAATCTGCGATCAGATGTTTGAAATTATTTTTGCTGCCCAAGGGCATTCAGTTCACATATTCTTTTCTGGTCCTCACCTTGCAACATCAAGGACCAGGCTAGTTTTATATAGAGCCAAATCTTCAACAATTCTTGCAATGCCGTCAAGTCTTTGTTCAACTATAGCCTTTTCCATGAGGTCAACCTTTCCCATGCTTTTAAATATTGAGCCTGCTGTATTCCCCAGCCCCTGGTACTGCTGGTCTATTTTCTTTTTTTTTTTTTTTTTTTTGGCTTTTTTTTAGGAGGTGGGACTTTTCCTCATAGCATTCATCTCCTTGTGACATAAATATAATATTCGCTGGTGTTTATGTTTATTATCTGTCTCCCCATCACTACCTCTTTCCACCGCTGTGAGATCAGAGCTCTTTGTTGTTGCTCATTGATATATCCCAGATGCCTTGAACAGCGTCAGGGGAGGAACTGAAGGATGGCACATATTTGCAGGTGGTGGCAGTGTTTCAAATGCATTTCACACTGAATATACGTCTATGATAATTCTAAATACCTTACTTTGTATTCAGGAAAAGTTAAGTCTTTGCCTCAGCCTGTGAGTAATGGAGAGAAAACCCGGCCTGAGTTTAAGTTCAGACCCTAACCAAGTTACTAGTTAGGGGTCTTTGAGAATACTCCTGAATTCCTTAGGACCTCAGTTTCTTCATTTATGAAATGGTTTTAATTATATCGATCTCCCATAGTGTTGCAGGAATGTATGCACTTGTGTATCTGCTAATTCCTGGTAGAAATATGCATGTGTGTTTCACAAATGTATCTGCCTGAAAGCACCTCAACTAGTACCTCATACATCTGCATCTCTAGGATGGAAAGAATTGATGTTCATCAATGCTGAAATATCTTCTGGTTCATCAGAGATAAATATTTTAAACTTAAATACAAGGTATATTACAATTTGTGGGGCACCTTGATAATATTTATTTAAAAACTGTACAGATACACTTTGACCTGGCAATCTGGTTTCTCAGGACTTGCCTGAGAGGTATATTTGGACCTATGTGAAACATGTCTGCTCTATGTCTATGGCTTTCAATAATACTCATATCCTGGAGTCTTAAAGATTCATGTCCCGAAGCCCAGTCTTCCTTCCCCTTGAAGTCCAGATTCGTTTCCAAGTGCCATCATAGTGTTCTTGTTTATCTGTCTCCTTATCTCACTACCTCTTACCATCTCTTTGGAATCTCATGTGCCTTCAACATTAACACGCCTGTCTCTTCCCCTATCATTCCCCTGCACACTCCATCCCCCTCCTGCCCTCCAAGCCTTCTATCCTCACGCTGTTCCCTGTGGGGTACCCTTGTGCAACTGGCTGCTTATGCTGAAACCTTGGGGTTCTCCTTGACTCCTGTCCTTTTTGACGCCCCATGTCTCAAGCCACAGAGAATCCTGTTAGCTCTGCTTTCCCACAAGATTCCAGATACAGCAACTCCCCAGCTTCTCACCCACCTGTCTATAGGCCTGGGCCACTGCCACCTCTCTGAAGACGATTGCAGTAGTCGCGGGCACCTGTTCTCCACACTTCCATTCTCGCTCCTACAACCCATTTCCTAGAGAACACTAGAGTGATCCTGAAGTGAAAATCTGATCATCCCATTTCCATGCCTAGGTTCTGCAGTGGTTACTGTTGCTTTCTGTATCATACCTGAGGTTTTTACTGTGGCTCTGAGCTCCTGCTTCTTTCCCCTTCTGCCTGTGCCCAAGCTAATTTTCAAACATTCTCCTCCGGTGCACTCTGATCTAGCCACACTGTCCTCCTCACCTGCCAAGCGAGCTCCTGCCTCAGGGCCTTTGCACTTGCTTGTCCAGTTTCCTCTGACTGAAATATTTCCCCAGATATCCTCATGCTTTACTCTCTTGCTTCTTTGTGTTTCGTTCTCAGATCTCTCTGGGATGGTCAGGCTTAACCATCTCTTAAACAGGAACTCCTTAACACCTCAGCACTGTTCCCTTCTGCTGCTTCTGTGTTTTCTTCATAAGACTGATTTCCAAGAACAAGTAGAAAAAGTTACATTTTCATTATGATAGGTAACAAAAATGACTGGAAACAACCTCCTCGCTATTTGTCTCTGAGCTGGTTAAGTTAAATATCATAGATCCATACCATTTAAAACAGTCTAGCTATTTTTTTTTAATTTTATGTTTTTATGGGACTATCAGTTATGTTAAGTGGACCAAGTTAGATTTAGAGCATTATGTAAAATATGCTCTTGTTTGTGTAAAAAAAATATAAGTGTGCATATGCACTGAACATCTATATTGAATAAAGCCTGAATATGTATTAAACATTTCTGTAAGGATAAAAAATAAGCTGATAACACTGGTTGCCTCAGTGTGGGGAGGCTGAAGGTATGAATGAGAGAATTGTTTAACTGCATGTTCTTTGATTCTTTTAAATATATGCACTTGTTGAATTTGTTTTCGGTAAAAGTTTTTCAACACTTTGGTATTACATATTTTAGCTAAGAATTGGAATATATAACTATTAAGTTAATCTGAATATTTGTTTAAAAAGAAACTGCCATTCCTGGGCTAGTTCACATAAATAGGTGCTTACTTTTCTGGATGAATTTTGTAAGAAGCAAATGTTGTTACATCAAAACTAAAAGTGATGAATTTTTTACCATTGTCTAAATTGTGCCAAATATTTGTGATCCCAGACTAATGCCTGGTATGGATGGCTGACTAAAAAACAAACCTTGAAAGCAAACAGTTTTACCTAAAAACTAATATGGCTAATGGATTTCTATTTCTGTACCAGGATGATTCAAAATGGCTTAGATTCCACAACAAACTCTAGAAACTGTAATGAGCCTTTGAGGGAACCTATGCCTCCTATTTATATAAACTGGTTACAATCTCATAGTTACATAATTCATGTTTACTTTTAAATTCACCCAATTTTAACCTGTAGCATCACCAAGAAAAATAAAAACTTACTTGATTTGTATCACTTGTCTTATTCTTAAATTAGCTAATGTAGCCATCAGTCTTGCTGTATTTTTCTCTACTCGTTAGAACCTAGGAGGTGCCCCACCTCTTTCTACAAACTCACCTCTCACCCTCTCCTCTGAGCTCATTCAATCCAACTCTTGAGCTTCAGTTCTTCAGGCCGTAGTGCTTGCTCTGCCTTCTGCTGAAAAGCTTGCCCCCACTCCCAAGTATCATCTTAATTGTCTCCTTATCAGAATGACCTTCCATGACCAGAGTGGTTCACCTTCTATTCTCTATTACAGGTACCTCTTCGTTCTTCCTAGCACCTAACTTTAGTTCTAGGGGTTTCATTATTGTCCATTATTGTTTATTGTCCATCTCTCATTAAAATATGAGCTTGATGAAAGCAGAATATGATCATTTTCATCCTTTTGAAGGCCTTTATCTCTAGGACCTACTGACATATATAGTAGATGTCAAAATATATAAATATTTTACTGTTGAAAAATAGATTGGGATTGGAATTTTTTTTGTAAGTCAACTCTGTACTTTGCCATGTCTCTCCCTGACAGTGCATAACTGAACAGAGAACTGCACTCACAGCACCTACCCCCATAAATTCCTTTATGGAACAAGAGATTATGAAGAAGCCTAGTGGGGAGCAGAGTCAAACGTTAGTAAAATGCCTGTCAATGCCCCTTCTTTTTCTCAGCTCTGCCTTATGGTAGAGTTGATCATGGCCCATACAATTTTACAGGCCCAAAAGAAAGATCATTAGGAAACTTGATGGCATTGATGTGTTTTTAGGAAGTTCACTGGGTTTTTTGTTTGTTTGTTTACAAATCATCCCTGAAAACATAATGCATTTTTGCACAGCAAATTGGTAATGTAGATACTGTAACTATTTCCAGGGGGCAAAAAAGGAAAACATTTGTTCTTCTCCTGAAGAACAGCCCTGTGGGAACAAAGATGCAAACAAAAAGTGACCACTTCAACGGTATTAGACTAGAATATGTGCTTAGCCTCACAAAGCGGACCAGCTGTGGATGCTCCTGACCCATGACCCTTTTTCATCCCTATGTCTTCTCAATGACCTGTAAGAAGAGGAGCAATAAGAGATTTTCACAGTAGCCATTTGATTCCTACCAAGTGTAGGAAGGAAAGTCAGCATGGTATAAAATTAATGACCATCTGAGTCTAATCAGAGCAGTTTCTCTGTTAAGATATTAAAGATCTGTCGAAAATGGCAGACTTATCACTTTGAAGCTCACGTAGCTTCCTTAATTAGATGGACAATGGCTAGGTCCAGGTATCATGTAGGTTGGGCCTGGTTCAAAGATCTCGGTGACAACTTCACAGTGGGTAGGATTTGCATAAAGTTAGCAGGCTTCTCAGACTGGTGTTGAGCCCTGATGAGGCTACTGGAGGTGGCTGCATGGTCATCACAGAGTCACTGAGGTGTTGGTGGTGGTTGAAGTGGTAGAAGTTACACAGGGCCACACAGCCTCAAAGGAGGTTCTTCACAAGTCCAAGTCCAAGTCGATCCTTGACTTCACAAGCCCAAGTCCAAGTCAACTCTTGAGATTGCTAGATTAAATTAATATCAAGTCTTGACTCTAATGCTATGCAATCCCAGTTAGGAACATTTGCAGTCCCAGGTAGGAACATTTGAATGCCTGAGACCATGAGGTTACAGCTCTCCAAAACATGCTTTAGTAATATGACCATTCAGAATGACCTTCTTGGGAAACTCTACATCTAAAATATTTGACCACTATTTAATTAATTAATGATTACAGGTGGTTATATTATATGATAGCATTGTCTTGTCTTTTGGTAGTTTCTTCCCATCTAATGGCAAAACAACAGAAAGTTTTACTGTATTCACTCTTTGGGAAATATAATCCTCTTACATTTTGTGTGCAAGAAACAGATGATCCTTAAGTCAAGTGGATTTGTTTATGAACAGGTCAACATTGAAAATAGTTTTATGACGAAGTAATGCTTTGGATTTAAGCCTGCTTAGCATTGGTATAATTGTATGTGCCTTTGGAAAAACAAAGTTGTATAAGTTTTTACTTCTTCTGATATAGCTAGTTACTTATTACTAGAGAATATACTTTACTGTTTAACGTTGGCTTGATTTTTATTCATTTATTCATTCATTGAACAAATGTACACTCATTCATTCATTGAACAAATGTTTTGCTAAAAAATGCATTTGCTTTATTTCCATTAAAACAAACATGACAATAAAGTGAATCACATAAATGTTTGGGTTTCACAGTGCAGATAAAGTTTATGTTTATACTGTAGTATTC
Organism: Homo sapiens; assembly: GCF_000001405.40. Lineage (NCBI taxonomy): Eukaryota > Metazoa > Chordata > Mammalia > Primates > Hominidae > Homo > Homo sapiens. The sequence goes on from NC_000005.10 coordinate 156,339,665, forward strand.
TATTGTGCAATAGCATTATATCTAAAAGTACATACCATAACTTAAAAATACCTTACTGCTAAAAACAATTGGGATAAGAAAAAACTAAAAATATTAGGAATACAAACAAGTTAACAACATGAATATATACTTAGAATGAGAAAGGAAATTAAATTATTAATTTTTAAAAGATGACATCACAAAATCAGGAAGGATAATATTGCTAATAATTAACTGCCTCACATACATTTTCTGTACTTTCTGGTTGTATAGCCTTTAATTGTCTCTTCATATGACAGCTATATGCCATTATCACTTTCTGTATGGACAATGGAAAGATAATTATTTTTATGGCAATTTTGACAAAACTTTTTAAATATTGATGGTTGTAATGTAGAATGCACACAACTTTACACAAAGTTACACATGGTATACATAACCTACAAACCCAAGTATTCTGGTTAATTATATTTTCCACAATTCTCATACAAAATAAAACACATATGGAACATTTATGATTATATATGCCAAATTCAATGTACAATGTATTATTGACAGTAGAGCATTTGTTTTGATGAGGCATCAATGACAGTTGAATTCTACATTTGACATTTTACATATCTCATGATTATCAAATAAACTTTTGACTAGCTTCTGTCTTTTCTACTACCCATGTATTTCTGGTGCTGACCATTGTAGGTCGTGTTTATATCGCATCGTGTCCTTTGGTCCTCTTCCTTCATGTCACCATGCTTGGTGAATTGGAGCTATGGGTGGAAGGAGTATTCCTAGAAGACATTCCTATACCAGGAGAGCTAGCAGTAATGTACCTCTACTGGGAAGTGCTGCAAACCATATAAATATATTCTGCATTCAAACTATAGGAACCACTAAGCCAACTTCTTCTTAGATCTCCAAAATGCATGTAAATCCTCCAGAGCTAACACGAGGGGAAGTCAGAATAGAAAAAGATAGGGTTTAGCGAGTTGCAGTTAAAACATCTTTTAAAAATGTTATAAAATTGTATGACTATTGTCATGATTTACTGGGGCCTCTCCTGGGGTCTTCAAAGGCCTGGGGTCTGCCCAAGTGAGGAATTAACGTTTTAACTTCAATTCCCCGGGCAGTACATTTGTTCCGGGAAGGAATAAGAAGAATGATAGATTGGAGATTGTCATTCATCTTTGTTTTTATCTTTCAACATGTTTTAATTTTTGATTAGAAAAATGAACGTACTCAGCATATCTAAATTTCCCTTTCCATGCAGGATTCTTTATAACAGATGTATCCATTACCATATGTTTGCATGGAAAGGCCTCCTTTTATAATTATTTGTCAAAAAGTGCTCATCCCCTTCACTGTTTCTTTCTTATGTATTTTAATGAGTTGGAGACTGGAGTATTCTGTTTCATGGGACTCATTAAAGAGGGTGTGGTGGAGATGACATGCAATAAGCCACTATACGATGCAGCAAAAGATCCAAGTTATAATTCCTGCTCAGCTTCTAATTTGCTGTGTGACTTGAAAAGGAGCTGCTTCCTCCTGGTCTTGACTTCCACAGCTGGTCAATTTTGTCTTGGACAAAATTAGTAGTTCCCAGGAGCAAAGGATTCTGCAGAGATGCCTCAAAGGTAGCCAGACCCTGCTTTAAGCAGAGGAACTCCACTTTTTTTATTTTTTATTTTATTTTATTTTATTTTTTTGCTATTTTACACACTAGAGTTTCTTGCAAGACTTTGTCTTACAATGATTACCCTATGAAAAAAAGTGAAAGCCATTTTTTAGATGTTGTCCCAAATGCTTAGAATCATCTGGGAGATTTTTCACAATGTTCCACCCTGAGCTCCAGATTCTGAAAATGGAGCTCAAAATTTGTACTATATTTGTTCAGTTTCTTTTGTGTTTCGGTGCATAATTAGGGTTGAGTGGCATTATTCTAGACCAATGGCATGTAATCCTGTCTACTCTTAGAATTATCTGGGAAGCTTTAATAAATACTGATGCCTGGGTGCTACCTCTGTGATTGTTACTTAACCTGAGTACAGATGTGTGTTTTTAAAATTTTATTTACTTATTTATTTTTTGAGACGAAGTCTTCACTCTGTTGCCCAGGCTGGAGTGCAATGGTGCAATCTTGGCTCACTGCAACCTCCGCCTCCCGGGTTCAAGCAATTCTCCCTGCCTCAGCCTCCCAAGTAACTGGGATTACAGGCACCTGCCACCATGCCCAGCTAATTTTTGTATTTTTAGTAGAAATGGAGTTTTACCATGTTGGCCAGGCTGGTCTGAAACTCCTGACCTCAAGAGATCCCCCTTCCTTGGCATCCCAAAGTGCTGGGATTACAGGTGTGAGCCACCATGCCCGGCTGAGTACAAATGTTTTTAACAGCTCCATCAGTAACTCTGATGTGCATCCAGGGCTGAGAACCCTTAGTCAAGAGAATCACTGCATTCTGCCAAGTTCTACCAGTATGTGTATGAAAACAAGAAATCACAAGCATGCTACCTATACCTCCATCCTCTTATAAACATTTATTGAACATGTCATTTCCATTTTATAGCTACGTTTATGTAATGACACCATCGATTGGGTTGAATGACAGAGAAAAGGCAACTGATATAGTGGCAATATCACCAGCTTCTGCACACTTATTTGTAAAGAATTTCTCACTGTTTATCTTGCCTATGACAATTCCAGATTATTGTTCAAGACCTTACCCTGCCACAAATCCTTTAGCCCTGCACAAGCAGGTTAACTTCTCTAATCCTAATTTGGCTCATTCACAATTAGTTGATTAATATCAAAGGAAATTGCACACGTGATTCTAAGATTCTGTGATCATTTTCTTATTTCATAGAATATGATCTGATGGAAAATAAAAACCTAATTTATTTCAGGCTTATAAAGCATTATTTTTACTTTTATTTGATCTTCATGTTTAAAAAGGCCAGTGATTGATGACTTTGTTGTGTTCCCGTCTTCTTATAACACATCCCTGATCTGCAGAGGAATTATCAGAAGCTGAGATTTAAAACTGAGATCCTCTTACACCACAAATCTCACTGCCTGGCTGGGAACCCAGTGCTTTGGGAGCCTGAAGTGAAAATTTGCAAGTATACAAACAAGAACTTGCCCATGGTATTTAGCTTAAACCTTTACATACCCCCAGACAGCAGCAGAGCTGGTAGCAGATGGGAAATCATTCATTGGGTCATCATTTATGCATTCTGTTTTCCATTCAATCATTCCACACACATATTCCAACATATACTAGGTACTGATTTCGGCACTAGGGTATGTGTTTGGAATGAGACAGATGCCATGTAGGCCTTCATGGAGCATTTCAGTTAGCCATAAGGAAGAATTCACTCAGTTTTTCAAATGGAATTCCACTGATGCCTAACGGCCATGAGTTCTCTAGGGGATTTTTAGATTTTATGTGTCCATTTTAATGATTATCTAAAAACCAAAAAAAAAAATCATATTGTGAACCATCTGGAAGATATCCTAATAACCAAGGATGTGATTTTAGGGCCTGCATTTTGGTTTTCATTATGGCCACTTTGGCACCACATATTACTAATTTATTGCTATTGGCTGAGAAGAAAATAAATGGAGTAGGTCTTATTTGTAGGGAATGCAGTGTGTCTACATGACAGCCAAATGAAGTAAAAATAAGGGCTGTACCATTATCTGAATGGAGATAGGCAGTGGGGGTCCTGTTATCACATGGCTTATGACAGAGTAGAGATGCTGTGCTCAGGAGACCTTGTGCCAGAGACCTTGGTACCACATTCATATGATTTAGTTTAAGGCAAATCATCCTTTGTAGTACTTTGTTATTTTCCAGTTTGAGTGATAGGCATTTTCTAGCTTTATTTATATTTAATTTTAAAATTTGTTTTGGTTTTAGAATTGGATAGAAGTGATATGTTTACCTACATTTGTGTTGACAATTAGTAATTCTAGTATAAAGATAATTTGTGTCAACAGCAGGGACTTGGAAAACCTTCCTTATTCTAAAGGGCATCAACGTATTACTTTATAATATATTGACAAATCCTTTTCTAATTTCTCTCTCTCTACTGTGCTTAGCATTTAACTAGTTCATCCTCTCATTAGCCTACGAGCTAATGTTCACATTTTACTTGACTTTGACCCTCCTTTATGTTTCTTAAATAAGTTGCCTGATAACGGTTAGAATTGCCTAACTCACAAAGACTAACTCAGGGGGTAGTTAGGTATTTACTAGACTATCACTTGCTGAAGATTCCCAAATCAAGTGGGGTTCCAGCTGTGTGTCTGTAAGGACCCCCCTTTTAAATCTGAAATAGAGGAGCAGTCAAAGCTGCCACGGTTGCCACTGACTGGCAATACAGAATGATAGTGTTCAAAATTTTTTAACCACCCCCCCAAATAAATTGCCTGAATAATATTTTTATATTACTAAGGTGAACTGCTGGGGTTACCTTATTTTCTTCAGTAATTCTAAATTTTTCCTTCGGTTTGGTAGATCTTTGAGCATCTCCCCCACAAAGATGTTGGAATTCTGAGTCATTTGGAAAATGGCCTCCTAGGAGTCCCTTTCCACCCATTATGTGTGTGACTGTGGCTGTATCAGTGCACATCAGAAGTCATGGCTGTGTTAAATGAGAAGCCTCAAGCTAGCATCCAGAGAAGTCACTTTTGTCCAGAGGAAACAGATTTTTAGAGTTGTCAGAGGGTATAAAAGTAGACAGCAGCCAGCCATATCTCTTCATCAGTTGATTTTTTTTTCCTTTATTTTTTTTCTCTTCTCTCAGCGGTTTAATGTGAGTGCTTCTCTCTTGCCTCGTTTATTTCAGATGCCTCAGGAGCAGTACACTCACCACCGGAGCACCATGCCTGGCTCTGTGGGGCCACAGGTATACAAGGTGGGGATTTATGGCTGGCGGAAACGATGCCTGTATTTCTTTGTCCTGCTCCTCATGATTTTAATACTGGTGAACTTGGCCATGACCATCTGGATTCTCAAAGTCATGAACTTCACAATTGTAAGTAAAACCATCTAGGTTTGTTTAGCTTTCTTCCGGGAGGGGAAGCGTGGGGCAAGATGATGAAGGAATGTGGAAAAGTGATATTATTACAGTAGGACTCAAAAAATCTGTAACCTCGTGTTTTGGTGAAAGAGCATTTCTGTTCAGATTGAATATGGATATTGACTTCTATCTAATCTCAGTTCTTCGGGGGCTAATACTCCAACTTAAAGATATTTCCCTCCTTTAGAATCTCCTGTATGTTATCCCTCCATTTTGATAACTGTTTCTGTAGCCTGTAGCTTTCAAGCACTTTGATTAAATAATTAAGCAATAGAGAATAAATTCAAAGTATTAAGTTTTCAGCAAGTGTAGTGATTATAAAAGGTTTTTTGAAGTAGAGAGTTGAAACATTTGAGTAAAATTATACTGTGAGCATTATCTATCTAAAAATTTTAACTATTTATGCTTGATTATCCATCACTCTGGTTAGTTAAGAATATCCTGGGTTTTTCGGAGGACGATCCTCTTTGCCACTAGTCTGGGTAAGATGGAAATTAGAGGAATGTAGCTGTGTTTCATTTTTTTTTTTAAGAATTGATGTTTATGTTTCTTCAATGAAACTTTTGCTATTGGTGTTTGGGGTCCCTGTACAGACTGGACATTTACTGTTGTAGTTCAAATGAAAAGAAAATCCTGAAAAATGACTTTTGGAGTTATTTAGAGGTTTTATACCTAGAAATTCTGATCTATACTAGTAATGTAAGTAGTCTAGCTCATTAATGAGGAAATACTGGGCAGCAGTCTGCTGTATTGAGCATAATTTCCTTTCTTGTTCTGATGTCAAAAGTGAGTAATATAGATTGGCAATAAAAATAACTCCTAGGTCAGGCACATTGGCTCATGCTTAAATTCCAGGACTTTGGGAGGCTGAGTTGGGAGGATCACTTGAGTCCAGGAGTTCAAGATCAGCCTGGGAAACATAGCAAGACCCGATCTTTGCAACCAAGCAAACAAACAAAAACCAAAAAACAAATAACAAACCAAGAAACAAACCAAATAACAAATACCAAAACCCTCTTGTTTGATAAATAAACATGACCTTTACAAAGTAACAGTAAAATTTTCATGTGACAATCCCAAATATCATAGTGGATATTTGCATTTTCTAAATTACAAAGTTCATTTTTATCCTTGACATCCTATGCATAGTCACACTTTCTTGCCTTTGCTTGTACATTTTCTTCTGCTTGGAGTGCTTTTCTCTGTCTTCCCTGTCTGGTAAAACTTGTCTTGCTACTCCTGTAGTTCCATTTATGTATCTCTTATTATATTTACCACTCCAGATAATAATTTTTACATGTATTTCCCAGACAAACTGAACTTTGAGAAAGGCAAAGGCTGCATCTTTTCTGTGAATGGCTTTGTCCATCACTCATGCTAGGGCTTCTTGGTGCTTGACTTAATTAGCACTCTATAAACCAAGGTTACAGATACTGCTTCAGGCCTCAGAATGGCTCACTTTTTAATATTTGTGGTAACAGGAAACCATAAAAACAAAAATATTACCTTGATGTTACAAATTTCTATCTTGAGAAAATAATTCAGTTCTTTCTAAAAAAATTTTTCTTTCTTTATATATGTATTTATTTATGTATAGGCAGGGTCTCACTTTTTCACAGACGCTGTAGGACAGTGGTACGATCATAGCTCACTGCAGCCATGGACTCCTGGGCTCAAGCAATCCTCCCATTTCAATCCCTCAAGTAGATAGAACTAGAGACACACACCATCATGCTTGACTAATTTTTAAATTGTTTGTAGAGATGGGTGTCTCACTGTGTGGCCCAAGCTGGTCTCAAACTCCTGACCTCAAGCAGTTCTCCTACCTCAGCCTCTGACAGTGCTGGGATTAGAAGCATGAGACATCACATCCAGCTAAGAGTTCAGTTCTTTTGAAAAATGCAGAAAATCTATATTGCAGTAGTAACTTTGGAAGATTATATGGTCAGTTTCCATGGGGTTGTAGGCATCCAAGGTAATAGTTCTAGAGTATTAGAGCACATTAGCTTCCATTTCTGAATTAGACTCAATCAATACTTCTCAACTTGGGCTTTACTTTATTTTTTTATTTTTTTTATTTTTTTATTTTTTGTGAGACGGAGTCTTGCTGTGTCACCCAGGCTAGAGTGCAGTGGCACAATCTCGGCTCACTGCCAGCTCCACCTCCCGGGTTCAAGCCATTCTCCTGCCTCAGCCTCCCGAGTAGCTGGGACTACAGGTGCGCACCACCACGCCCAGCTAATTTTTTGTATTTTTAGTAGAGATGGGGTTTCACTGTGTTAGCAAGGATGGTCTCGATCTCCTGACCTCGTAATCCACCCATCTCGGCCTCCCAAAGTGCTGGGATTACAGGCGTGAGCCACCGTGCCTGGCCTGGACTTTACTTTCTTTAAAGACAAGCAGAATTCAGAGAAATGTTTAATCAGGAGAGCAAGATATAATCAGATTTACATTCTAGAGAGCTTGCCTAGGTGATGAAGCAATAGAATGGGGAAAGTTTGTTAGAGCTGAGGGCTCTGGAGGATGCCTTGGGTCCATTTGGCCTTAAGTCCCAGTGACCACAATTGCCATCTGTCGATGTGCATGTTCTGTGATGTTGTTAATTTGTATTTCAAAAACTTATAAATTAGTAAAACTTCTCTGTTGCAATATTAAACAGGAGAATACTGAAGCTAGGGCAGTAGTATGGACCTTGCATTTAAAGACATTTAAAAGATGGAATTGATATACCTTGACTTCTGGTTGGATGTAGGGTTGAGGGATCAGAAGACATTTTGGAAGATTTCTGGTTTTAGGATGGTGAGATGGCTGGGTGGTGGGTCCTAAAAAGCAAAATAGAATTTATTACTTTTCCACTAGAACTTGGCTAGTACTCATGTATACCTTTAGTCCCCTATTTGAAGCTATCCTCTTAATCCCTTATTTTTGTGATTTTTACCAAGACTGTCACAAATTTAATTTGTAGAACCTGTAAGATTTAGGGGTAGAGGAAGTGGAAAATATGAGCTGAAACTTTGATAACTGTGATATTATACCAATACTGCTTCTAGAGTATGTTTTATCTGGAAGACTTAATAGAAGTATATGTAAATGTATATTGAGTACCACTTATATGACATTAAGGTAATAATCTATATGAAATCGGCTCTTTCCTGCAGTTAACTAAATTGATTGCCAAAATTGAGAGTCCTTAAAGCTTTACCAAACTTACTGAGATAAGAATAATGCTGTTATTAGGCATAATTGGTACTTTATAGCCAATAATGCATTTGAGCAAATAGAACTGAAGTGTTAGAAAATTGGTCTTGCCCTGCAAGTTAAAAGCATATTTTCCATCAATCATGGTATAAAGGATATTCTTTTAGAATTATAATTCTCTTGCACAAATAAAAATTTACTGACAGTGGAGATCGTGGGGAAAGAATGAGGTATTAAGCACTGTTACGTTGGAGAAAGAGAAAAAAATCAATGAGATGGCAGTAAAGCAGTTTATGCAGAGATTTAAAAATATATGTAGGGGAAGTCCTAGCCAGAGCAATCAAGAAAGAGAAAGAAATAAAGGGCATCCAAATTGGGAAAGAGGAAGTCAAACTGTCTCTGTTTGCCGATTACATGAGCATATACCTAGAAAACTCTAAAGGCTCCTCCAAAAGACTCCTAGATCTGATAAACTAAATTCAGTAAAGTCTCAGGTTACAAAATCAATGTACACAAATGAGCAGCACTGCTATATACCAACAATGGCCAAGCTGAGAAATTAAGCACTCAATCTCTTTTATAATAGCTACAAAAATTTTAAATACCTAGGAAGATACTTAAGCAAGGAGGTAAAAGATCTCTACAAGGAGAAATACAAAACACTACTAAAAGAAATCGTGGAAGACACAAACAAATGGAAAACCATCCCATGCTCATGAATTGAATGACTCATTATCATGAAAATGACCATAGTGCCCAAAGCAATCTACAGAGTCAATGTACTTCCTATCAAAATATCAATGTCGTTTTTCACAGAATTAGAAAAAACATTTCTAAAATTCATATGGAACCAAAAAGAGTCCAAATGGCCAAAGTAATTCTAAGCAAAAAGATCAAATCTGAAGGCATCACATTACCGGACTTCAAATTATACTACAAGGCTATAGTAACCAAAACAGCATAATACTGCTATAAAAGTAGACACATTGACCAATGGAACCGAAGAGAGAACCGAGAAATAAAACCTAATATTTAAAATCAGCTGATCTTTTACAAAGTATACAAAAACATAAATTGGAGAAAGGACACTCTAATAAGTGATGCTGGGAAAATTGGATAGCTACACGAAGAATAATGAAACTGGATCCTTGTCTCTCACTGTATTGAAAAAGTTAACTCAAGATGGATGAAAGACTTAAAGACCTGAAAACTTCTAGAACATAAAAATTCTAGAAAGAAAAACCTAGGAAAAGCACTTCTGGATGTTGGCCTAGGCAAATAATTTATGACTAAGACCACAAAAACAAATGGAACAAAAACAAAAATAAATAAATGGAACCTAATTAAACTAAAAAGCTTCCGCACAGTAAAAGAAATAGTAATCAGAATTAACAACCTATGAAGTGGGAGAAAAAATTTGCAATTATGCATCTGACAAAACGACTAATATTCAGAATCGATAAGGAACTCTAAACAAGAAAAAAAAACAGGTGATCTCATTAAAAAGTGGGCAAATGGCATGAATAGAAATTTCTCAAAAGAATTGATATAAATGGCCAAGAAACATAAAAAAAGTACAACAGATCTAATCATTAGAGAAATGCAAATTAAAACCACAATGAGATACCACCTTACCCAAAGCAGAATGGCTATTAATAAAAATTAAAAAAAATAGATGTTGGTTTGGATGTGGTGAAGAAGGAATATTTATATACTGCTGATGGGAATGTAAATTAGTACAATGTCTATAGAAAACAGTTTGGAGATTTTTCAAAGACATCAAAGTAGACCTACCATTTGATCCAGTAATCTCACTGCTGGGTAACTACCCAAAAGAAAAAAGTCATTATGTCAAAAAGAGACCTGCATATGTATATTTTTTTTGCAGCACATTTCACAACTGCAAAGATATGGAACCAACCTAAGTCCCCATGAACAGGTGAGTGGATAAGGAAAATGTGATATACATACACCATCAGCCATAAAAAAGAATGAAATAATGGCTTTTACAGCAAGTTGTATGGAACCAGAGGCCATTTTTCTAAGTGATGTGACTCAGGAATCAAAAATCTGATACCACATGTTCTTTTTGATAAGTGGGAGCTAAGCTAAGGGTATGCACAGGCATATAGAGTGGTATAATGGACATTGGAGACTCAGAAGAGGAGAGGGTGGGAAGGGGATGATGAAGGATGAAAAACTACCTGTTGGGTAGAGTATACAGTACTCGGTGGTGGGTACACTAAAATTCCAGAGGTTACCACTATATTATTGATCCATGTAACCAAAAACCACTTGTATCTCTAAAGCTATTGAGGAAAAAAAATTATATATATATATATATGTACACACACACATATACCCACACATTTATGTAGGAAAGAGTGATTATTTTGTATGTTTGGTTTGTTCAACAATTTGAGATTTGGGAAAGCTCACACTGTAATCAAACCCCCTGTGTAATGACGAACTATAAGAACGATGTCATCTGAAAGTGTTTGTGAAACCTTGGTGATCTATCCAAGATTGAAAATCTGGAATTTTACTTTTTTTGTCAGTCTTGCATTCTGTGCTATCCCCAAGGATACATGCTGGAAGAGCCTTTCCAGTAAAGCAATCTGGACAAGCATCTTACCAAGTTTTCTTTGTCTCAGAGGTAAATCAGAAGAAAAGTTATTTTGCTTTCTTCTGCTCTTAGCAGAATATTCCAGTATTCATTACTGGCAGGAGATTGAGACTACATATTTCATTTTCCCCATACATTGGAGAGTGTGTGTTTTACCTACACTGTAAACACCCACAAATAGACCTTAGTTTATCACACATTGTGCTTATACAAACGAGCTAATATTTATTAAATGTCTCTTCTGTGCTACTCACTGTACATGGCCCTTAAAATCTTTTAACTTTCATAACTCTACAAATTTAATATTGTTATTCCCACTGAAAACCCAAGGCTCAGAGAAGTTGAGTGACTTGCTGAAAGACAGCTAGTAAGTAAAACGCTGGTGTTTGACTTCCTGTCTCAACCTTTCCACTACACTTTACCTCCTCCTCCAAATTGCAATAATGATCTGGCTCTTCAACAGAATTCTGAAGCTGGAAAAATAGCTTGTTATCTTTGCCAACCCTGTGTCATAGGTCACTTTCATCTGAGGTATCCAGTGACGTTTTATGTTTAGAGTAGTTCCCTGGTAGTTCCGAATGTTTGGTTTTTATCTAATTTCTCTTTGCTGTGTAGCTGAGGACCTTCTCCTTGCATTGTTCCCACCTTGTGTTTTGTCCATTTGATGTGTTAACATAAGCATTTAGTATAAACTTAATATCTACCCATAGGTTGGTGGAAGACCCAGTGAGTTAATTCATGTGAAGCATTATTAGCAGAATCTGACACATAGGAAGAGTCAGTGTTGACAACAGAAAGTCATGAGAGACCCTTCATGACAGTATAGTAGTTCAGGGCTCAAACTCTGGAGACAGATGTTCTAAGTAAAAATCTGGATTCTGTCTCTTACTATGTGATTTTTGATAAGTTTCTCAACCTCCCTGTGCTGCCATTTCCTAGGAGTAATGACAATACCTACCTCCTAGGATTGTTGTAAAGATTAGAGGAGGTGATAAATGCATTGTTTAGTGCTTGGCACATAGTAAACACTTTATAGAAGTGTTTGCTATCGTCGTAGTCATCATCATCATCATCATCATCATCATCATCATCATCATCATTTACTGCAGGCTTATTCTCTGCCAGGCACTACACTGTCGCAGTTACAGTTTGCAAATATTATCTAACTTAATCATTATCCAGGCTGCCACTATTTGGATACCAATTTTACAAGGGAGGGAGTGGCTCAATAACTTGAGATCAAACAGCTATAAAGCCTCAGAGTAGAGATTCGAACCCAAGCAGTCTGACTATGGATCCTGGTCTGTTGGCTAGTTTGTCATATTGTGGGGCAGTGCATAATGCCATGAGTGTCAGAAACTGGATTCCCAGCCCTAACTGGCCATGAACTACATTGCCTTTCTCTTCTGGAACCCAGTATACCACTAAATGCATTGGACTAGATGTCATCTCGGGCATCTTCCTGTTTGCACACTGATTTTTGTCATTTTATATTTCCCTAGGCTGTATGAAGTCTCATTCTAATAGAGAGCTGTTACTTTTGCTAGTGCATTCTACCAGCCCAATCAGAATAACCTGGCCTCAAAGACCTTCCAAAATACTGTAGTATTGATCATGTAGACAATCATTTAGCACAAGTGGTTATTAAGTGACAAAACTACAAAAGGCTTAGGAGTCATCAGTGGATGGCATGATATCTTATCCCAGTACTTGTAAAATTAGATGAAATAGGAACCTTAGGAGTCACCTCATCAGACATCCTTATTCTACAGATGTTGGAACCAAAGTAGATAGCAAAGTTTTCTGACCAGCTTGAGCACCCCAGCTGCTCTGGAAACTTCTCTCAGTAGCAGGGATTATTCTCTATACATTTTTGTAGCCCTGCTCAATGCCTGCTATTCAGTAGGCTTTCAACATGTGTTAACTGTAGATTGCCTTTTGCAGACCACACAAAGGAGATAATGGATATCAAGTATCTGATCATGTTGCTGACATGGTAGGACCTCAGTAAATGATAGCTACCTATACCTGTAGTATATAGATCTCCTGATTTCTATTTTAGTTTCTATTCGTTAACATTACAAAATCCAAACTGTTGTCACTTGTGATCATGTAAGAAATGAATTTCCATTTATTTCATAAAAACTCATACAGGATTAACTTTATAAGGTTTTCACATGATGCACATAAGAACCCTATGAGCTAAGCACCCTTGTTATCCACATTTGACAGAGGAGGAAGTGGAGGCTCCAAGAAGTGCAGTAACTTGCCCAAGGTCACACAGTCAGTGAATGATGAAACTGGGATGGGTTGCAGGGAGTCTGGCTCTACAGTCACTGCTCTTCTTCAGTACACAATGCTGCCCATTTTCCAAGGGCTATTTTTCATGAAGACAAGTTGAATTTGTTCAGTGCAATGTCTAAAACATGGTTTATTTACCCTGAAGTAAGATAAAGATCCACTGAGGGTCAGAGGAAGGCATTCTAATGCTTGTAAATTGGACACATTGTAAAACAGTAAAAGCCAGAGAGAACAGCCAGCATGTTCCATAACTCAGGACCCTGACACATCATCTGTTTTGAGTAAGCTCAAGGAACTGCGACCCAGTCAAACTAACTCAAGTTGAGGGGAGTGAGGATACATATAAAGTACATGGCAGACACTTAGAATATGTTTATTGAATAAATGAAAGGGAGAAAATTATGAATAGGCAGTCACTTTAAATTAAAATGTATAAAGATGGGTTAATAGAGCTTTATATGACTTCTAAAATGAAGTATTAGTTGATTTATTAAGGTAGATCATAAATGAGATGAGTGCTTGAATTTGATTATGAAAAGGTATTTTTAATACAGACACTCGCTCTGTGTATCAACTACCTGCTACATTTTAATTACATGAGAAAAGAAGGGTAATGATGGAGTGTGAAATAGATTAAAGGTAGGAGACTTCATCCTAGCTAATATACAGATTTGCTTAGTAAATGGGTGAAAGTGATATTATTGGCATTAGTTATACTTTTCATTTAACACTGTTAATATATTGTGAGTTTGAGTAGCATCCGCTTCAATGCGGGTGCCAGCTTAGCTTGGGGACTTGGAAGTGCTTCCTCTACTGAGAAAATCATGCTTCCATCTCTCAGTGCTTTGACTGTGTGGTCACTTTTAATCCATTAGCTCAATCCATCCATCTGAAAAATGGCCAAAATGTTGTTTTTTAAAAGCACCATAAAAATTGTAATGCAGAAAAACAAAAAACAAAAATTTATTTTTATTCCATGGTCAGTCCTAGGATATGGCTCTCTAATGTCCTATTTGGTTTGAAACTTCCTGTGTTTTATACCTTTGTGAGAATGTAAAGCATCAGGGATGATTTGGGTATCATAATTACTGCAAATAACATGAATCAAAGCTGCTGTAAAGTTATACAATCTATTGGGCATATCTGCTTCAATTGAATCAGTATTTCTTAAGCACACAGTTGAGTATACTATGCTTTGTGTAGAAACTAAAGATTAGAATAAAACAATTCTATACTTTAAGTACTCATAATTTACTAGGGAAGAAAACACATGTATAATTTTAGTACTTTCCACAAATTAAATGTTTTAAAGAAGTATGAAAGTTGCGGAAAGAATAAATTAGCTAAAGTTAGAGGGCACTGGAAGGCTTCTTGAGTTGTGTCACCAAGGATGGATAAGGCCTTTTGTGTGGTGGTGGAAGCAGAGAAAGCAGTGTGATTATAGTCTGGAAGCTGGTAAGTTAAACTTGATTGGGGAGCCTCAGGCATAATGGTTCTAGTATTGAGAGCTTAGGCCACTGGAGGGGAAAGAGGGGATGGGGAAAGATGAGAATAGGAGCTGACATGAGTAAAGTCAAAAAGGCTGCAAATTATAGACTTTGGAGAGGTCAAACTGAAAAGCTTGAATTCCAATTATAAAGAAATTACTGTGCAACTTTATCCTATTATTTGGACAATATTCGTGACCTTTTCCACTTACGAGAGTTTTCATACAACTAAAGTTATTTTTATGTCCTAGAATTGAGAGGAACAATGTTAGAAAATCTTCCTGGAAATATTTTTTGTCTTTGTATATCACACATAGCCATTCACACATGGAAACTTCAGTTCTTACTGGTCATGTTGCTGTGAGCTCTGAATAACTCTCAGAAATCTGAACTTGTGGCCACATCACAAGGATCTGTTCATGCTGACTGAGTTATTAAGCAATCATAGAAGAGAAGCAGCAAATCCCAAGGGCTTGCTGCCACTGAGAACCTGCAGGTCAGTCCTTCCATGGTAGACAGGGGTGGGGTTAGGTGATTCAAACTGTAGAAAGAACCAGTAAATATGAGTTGGTTTCCCATCAGTTGGTTTGCCTGAGAATCATTAGTTAAGATTTCTAGGTTCAGAGTTGTTTGTAAATGATCTTTCTAGAATGACACTGTCTATTAAGGATTTAAAATTAACATTGAAGATGTCTATTTAGTCACACTTGTCATGTCACAATGTTCAACAGCTACACCTGGCTAGTAGCTGCCATCTTAGAGCAGATACAGTTTATTTCCATCATCACAGGAAGTTCTTTGTTTCAAAACTGGTCCAAAATCTAATGTCCTACTTCTTAGCTACATCTTGGATGGCATGGTAAGGCCTGTGAACCAAAAAGTTCTTTGTGCCTCACCATACAACAATTTTTGCCTTTCCTTCCTGTGCCCCAGGCACTTTCCAAGACCCAGAGCTGTGGGATTAAGGTAGGAAAACAAACCAAAACCATTTTAATATAAAAAGGAGAAGAAAATTTCTCATAATCTGATTAACAGCCAAGATAACTACTATGTTTTTTAATCAGCTTTGTACCTTTTCCACACATTCATTCTGTCTCATTTCTTCCTTTCAATATTCTTAATTGGAAAAGTTCTGAGACTGTGCTAGATTTTTCATCTTGCCTGGGAGGAGCAAGGTGGACTTTTGTTGGGTGAAGAGCTGTATTCAGGAAGGAGTTGCAGGGACTGTTTCTGAGCCATATTCTCCCAACTTGTAAAATATACAGTTGGATCAGATGATACATAAGGTCCAACACCCTCAAATAATTTTTGTTTTTCTGTGAGACAGAGTCTGACTGTGTTGCCTAGGCTGGAGTGCAATGGTGTGATCCCAGCTCACTCCAAAGTCCGCCTCCCAGGTTCAAGCGATTGTTGTGCCTCAGCCTCCTGAGTAGCTGGGATTACAGGCATGTGCCACCACGCCTGGCTAATTTTTGTATTTTTAATAGGGATGGGGTTTCGCCATGCTGGCCAGGCTGGTCTTGAATTCCTGAACTCAAGTGATTTGCCTGCCTCGGCCTCACATAATTTCTGTGTGTGATCACTGGGTCCTCCATATTCCCTGACCCAGAATGAGAAAGATGGACATCTTTTTTCTTCTAGAAGTGTGAGGGTGTGAGTGTGTATGTTTGCTTACTCTGTATCTGCTTAGCCAAAGATCCAATATATTAAGTGCCAGGGAGTATATCTTATGTGCCTTTATAAATTTCTAATCTTCATTCATTTAATTACTTAATGAATAATTGGTCTGATTATCTATTGCTACACAACAAACTACCCCAAAACTTAGTGGCTTAATAAAACAGCAATAATTTGTTTTACTCATGATTCTGCAGATTGGGCAGAGCTCAGGGGAGATGGCTTGTCTCTTTTCCCTGATGTCTAGCACCTTAGCTGGGAGACTCAAAGGCCTGGGGTATCTCAACAGCTGGGACTGGAATTATCTCCAGGTGTGTTTACTTACATGTGTGGGTGGTTGATGCTAGCTGTCAGCTGGAACCTCAGCTGGCCAGAACGCCTACACACAGCTCTTCCCTATGGGCTAACTTGGGCTTGCCCTTAACGTGGTTGCTAAACTCTAGAATATATGTTCCATTTAAAGAAGATGGAAGTGCATAGCATTGTTATGAACCAGACTCAGAAGTCAGATTGCATCACTTCCACTCTACTCTGCTGTAGGCAGACACAAAGTCCTGCCTAAATTCAAGTAGAGGGCATATGGGCTCCACTTCTTCATGGGGGAATTGCAAAGTTCTAGAGGAGTACGTGGGATGGGAGATTGTAATGGATTGAATAGTGCCCCCCTACATTATATGCTCCTAATCCTTGGAGCCTGTGAGTGTTACCTTATTTGGAAAAAGGGTCTCATCTAAATTAAGGATTATGAGATGAGGAGATAATTCCTGGATTACCCAGGTGGGCCCTCAATTCAATGACAAGTGTCCTCATAACGATGAGGCAGAGGAAAATTTGACACAGAAGAGGAGGAGGCAATATGATCAGAGAAGCAGAGGTTGGCATGATAGGACCGCCAATTAAGGAAAGTTGATAGCCACTAGAATTGGGAAGAGACAAGGGATAGATTTTCGTCTAGAGCCTCCAGAGGGCTTGGAATTCTGGCTTCTAGAACTTTGAGAAAATTTATATTGTTTTAAGCTGAGAGTTTTGTGATAATTTGTCATGGTAGCCACAGGAAACTGATACACAGATACTGCTATGGCCATTTTAGGAAAAGTACAATCTGTGCAACAGTACCGCCACCATCAATGCTATTAAGCGTGCAGTCACCACACCTGTATTGAACATTGTTTGAACAATGTTAAGTGCCTGGCTTTGTTTTCTCTTACTCCTCACAATGACCCTGTGAATGGGGACTATTATCTCCTCTTTCTATGTAAAGAAACTGAAGCATAGAAGGCTTAATTCACCTGTCCAACCTTTTTAGCTAGTGGGTAGCCAGGTCAATATATAAACCAAGATATGTCTAACTTCAAAGCTTATGCTTTTAATTTTCTCTGAAAACATTTAGTGTCAAAAAGGAAAATGAATGTCTTATAAACAGTAATGAATTTACTTGTATAATGTTCAGTGGCAATGGTGGTCATTGTATAGCTAGGGTCAATGAGGAATGGGCATTTTAAAATGACTTCAGTATTGGCTCAGCCATTGTCGACTCAAGCGGTTTTATTCTCATGAAAAATTTTAAGGGGTCATACTAACTACATAGCTTGTATTTATGTTAGAAGAATCATAATTTTGTTGCTTTTCAGTTACTTTTGTGCTTCACTCAGTTACATGTAAACTGCTTGTTGCTTTGATAAATAAAGTTAAAGAATAGGCAAACAGTTCTCAGTAGTAGGGCAGCCTTTCTGTTTATTGTAGAAACCTCACTGAATGCTTGTGTAGATAAAAATTATGCATTTTGACCGGCTTTTAATTACCAGCCAGCTTTATTAAGTGGAGTACTTCCTAGGTCTCATGCCTAATATGTACTATGGTCAACCCCCCAACTTTAGAATAAATAAGAATGAGCAATGGATAACAGAACTCGGCAACACTGACTTTCTGCAGAATCAGGCAAGTCACTGAGCCAGTATTCATGAGGTAAAGGGTTAAAGTCTCAGTACATTCTGGTCCCTTAGCTAATCATCCAGTTTGGATTGGCCGATGTATGGGAGTTTTGACCATTATTACATGAGGCTGTCATCTGCCATGTTAAGTAACCATGTTTTCTCTCTTTCTCTCATAATCTCTTAATTATATGATAAAATAGGAAGTATTGTCCATAAAACCCAAAGACAGAGGAAAAGTATCATTTGGGTCACTCAGTCACTCCCTGGGTAAAATCAGCTTTGTGCCATACATAGTTGCTTGCCATTTAATAAATGAATGCTTTATAGTTCATATAAGCAATTTCAGGTAGTCTGAATTGAAACCTGCATTGCAATCCTTGGCAGGGAGGAGACAGCAGAAATAATTTGTGTCTTGTTCATTCACTAGTGGAGAGCCTTGTGCTTCTGACTTATTTCCTAGTCTCAGTTAAGTGAATGGTTTCTATTGGAAATCCTCACCTCTTCAAGTCAATTATTACTATAATTATGATATATTGACAGCCTTATGAATGAGAAACAGTTGTTTATTCAACACATGCTTGTTGAGTTCCTACAGTGGGCCAAGGACTATACTAAGTGCTTGAGATATGAGAGTGAAGAAGAGCAAATGCCGTTCCTCCCTCATGGAGCTATCTGTCTAATGGGGAAGGGATTGGAATTACTAACACAATCAAATAAATGTAAAAGAACAGTCAGGATAAGTGGATGGTGTAAAGAAGGCAGGAAGGGGTGATTTGGCATAATTGAAGAGGGGCTTTCAAGTCAAGATGATTGCACAGATGTTAAAAATGAAAACTCAACAAAGGAAGCCAAAGTAAAATGAAGAAATGGGCATCTAGTAATGTTGTATATGGATCTGCAGAAAATCTGATGTTTCCTCTGGGAGAGGAGTTGACTGGTGGTGGTGGTGGGTGGGGAGACAGGTGGGAGAGGGGTGGAAGGCAACTTTTCCATGCTACCTTATGCTGTTGAACATTTGGTGAGGAGAATGCACTTATGTAACACTTGTGGGATTCAAGAAAAATTAAAAATAAGAAGCTAAAAGGGAAGAGAAAAGAATCATAAATAGAAATAGGGAAAAGTCATGACAGTTGGTTTCTTAAGGACTATTTGGCTACCTTGTGGTATAATTGGGGACCTCACCTGTGAGGATAGAATCAGACTATAATTACTCATAGTGAATACAAATACTGTATGTGTTATGAAAAGGAAACTGGTTTATAACAGGTCTTTTGCTTTCTTCTTTGGAGCTGGTTTATAACAAGTCTTTTGCTTTCTTCATTGGCACAAAACTGTATCTGGCCACTTACAGGTATATCAACATTGACCTCAGGATTCACAGGTTGATTATTGTCATTAATTAATAGGATAACATGTATTAAGAGCTTATTCTGTGCCAGGTGTGATACTGAGCACTTAACATAGAACATATTATCTAATCTCTGTAACAGCCCTAGAAGATGAGTCCTATAATTACCCTCGTTTCCCAGATGAGAAAATTAATCTAGAGAAGAGGTCAAGCCACTTTCCTAAGGTTGCAGTAAGTCGCAGAGCTGGGATATAAAGCCAGCCTAGACCCAGAATTTCTAACAGCTGTTGCACATATCCTCCCTGATGCTCAGCAGTCTGAGAAGATACTGTCTCCATTCCTCAGAGCCTTAGTCTCTGTGCTTGTGGTATTATTAAGATGAGTCAACAGCAGGGCACATGAAGAATGCTGATGGTCTCCAGTATCCCTAAGATGCACTCATTTCTGGAACTTTCTTAATGCACACATATGAAGATGAATACTTATTCACAGCTGGTGCTATACCTCCCATACAGCTTACTGAGAAATTGTTTTCTCTTTGTGTTTTCTAATGGACCTTATTGATTCTTTTCTGTCATATTGTATGAATCACCTACTGAACTTAGAAAGGTTAAGAGGCCTCACAACTGGTGGACTTAATTATGTTGGAGCAAATCCTCTCAGTCCAGACTTCTCAAATTCTTGGTTCATTTTCCATTTGACTCTCATTGTCCAGGGTTGCCCTGATCCCATAGTGCAAAGTGATAGTGACAGGAGCAGCCAAATGTCCAGGCAGACAGGGGCGGGTCCCCACTGAAACCCCACCTCCAAGCTAAAGACAGTTTAAAGCCTGAAAGCAAAGCTACAACTTAAATCCTCAGATCAAATTCAGAACTTGTCTTCCTGTTTGGTGTGCTTTCCTCTGGTTGATCCCTACCCTTCGCCTATTTTACATATACCTACCCTTTCCTAATTTTTTTTTTTTTTTTTTGGAGACAAAGTCTTGCTCTTGTCACCCAGGCTGGAGTGCAATGGCACAGTCTTGGCTCACTGCAACCTCTGCTTCCCTGGTTCAAGCAATTTTCTTGCCTCAGCCTCCTGAGTAGCTGGGATTACAGGCACCTGCCACCATGCCTGGCTAATTTTTGTATTTTTAGTAGAGATGGGGTTTCACCATGTTGGCCAGGCTGGTCTCAAACTCCTGACCTCAGGTGATCTGCCTGCCTTGGCCTCCCAAAGTGCTGGAATTACAGGCCTAATTGGTTTTTTTACACTGTAGTGTCCACCTTTGAGTGCTGTCTTCACTTTAACCTTTATTGCATACTCACAACCCAATCAGCACACACTTCCCATCCTGTGCCTATAAAGACTCCAGACTCAGTCAGTAGAGGGGGAGATGGCCAGACTTTGAGGAGACCACTGGACTTTGGAGAAGAGATGGCCAGACTGTGAAAGACACAGCCTGACTTTGGGGGAAGACGACTCACCCTTCCCATCCCCTCTCCAGCTCCCCTTTCTACTGAGAGCCATTTTCATCACTTAATACAAATCTTAGCCTTCACCATCCTTCAGTTGTCTGCATGACCTCATTCTACTTGGATGCCAGACAAGGGCTTGGCGCCCACCAAGAGTAGGTACCCAGAAAGGCTGTCACACCAGCCGTTTGCTCTCACTGACAGAGGGCAACTGCCCCACATGATTGAGGCAAGGGGTCAATTGAGCTGCTAACACACTGCCACCTGCAGATGGCAGAACTAAGAGAATACTGTAATGCTGTAAGCCCCTCTGGGGCTTCGGGGTCATGGGCACCCTAACCTGGGTGCTGCTGCAGGCCCCATATGGAGCTTGCTCCTGCTGGAGCCTGGAGCGCCCAACAAGATCCTGTAGTTGCTTGTTCATGCGCTCCCTCCTGCAAGGGGTTGAGCACAGTGGGCAAGCCAAATAATAGGGCACCCCTGTTGCAAGTCCAATGAAGGGGCCAAGAAAAATCTTGCACCAAAAGGATGATTCGGAAAAATCCTGATGTGCACATACATGTGATTTTAGGAGAGAAGCAGTGTAATTTACCAGGTTTTGAAGAAGACAGACCTGGAAGCTTCTGCTCTGTTACTGATGATCTAGACAATTATTGGCAAAGTACCTAATCTTCTCTGACCCTTCCTTTACTCATTTGTACTAGTGAGATTAGCAATACTTGTGTTGAAAAGTTGTAATAAAGATTAGAGATAACCAGAAAGTAGAGTATGGTAGGCACTCAGTGCTAGTTTTTATCCCTGTCAACTTAAAACATTTGGAGAATTGTCTTACAAAGAGGAAAATAAGTTTCAGTTGCTAAAATTCAGCACAGAGTCATAAGCTCATGTTTAAAGGAATGACTAATAGAGTCTTAAAAGCATATGTAACTTGGGTGTTGCTGAAAATCATCATTACTGTAAGAAATACGGTGACTCAAATATTTTATATGTACACATTATTGCTGGTTCAACTTAAAATAGGACTCTGTGAAACACAGTAAACTATAGCTATTCTGGTGCATGAGATGGCCTATAAAGAGGTAAACTAAAATAATTATTGGTTGTGATGCATCCTCTGAAGTCTACAGAGAGAGATGACAACGTGAAATTGCATGTGGATTACTTTGGACATGGATCAGCATTTGCCTCCCTGGAAAGGCAAATTTTAGTAGAAGCCTAAAGGAATGATACTGAGACAGTCATGGGAAGAGCTGGGCAAGATTTTAGGCCGAAGGAAAAGCAAGTTCAAAAGCCCTGATTGAGAAAGGACTTAGAGTAGGCTGTCTATGTGTAGTGTCAAGAAAAGGGAATTGCCATTCAGACAGTCTCCACTGTAGGAACACACACCCTAAGTAGGAGCCAATGAAGAAGCAACACACATGTACTTGAGTCTCCACACTGCACTATGTCATTCATGAGAGGCCATTTGACCTTTACTGGCTTATTTCTGATTTGTATGGTGTGATGCTTACATCAGGTGGTTCAAAATCTCTGCCTTCTTGGAAGCCCTCTTCAAAGCCAATATTCCTATTTGTCAATAAAGGTTGAGTGTTCAAATGGTTTAGAAATAGCATTCGAGGCTGGCACGTGGTGGCTCATGCCTGTAATGCCAGCACTTTGGGAGGCCCAGGCGGGCGGATCATGAGGTCAAGAGACTGAAACCATCCTGGCCAACATGGTGAAACCCCATCTCTACTAAAATTATAAAAATTAGCTGGGAGTAGTGGTGCGCATCTGTAGTCCCAGCTACTCGAGAGGCTGAGGCAGAAGAATCACTTGAACCCGGGAGGCAGAGGTTGCAGTGAGCCAAGATCACGCCACTGCATGCCATCCTGGTGACAGAGAGAGACTCCATCTCAAAACAAATGAAAAAAACAGAAATAGCATTCCATAGTGTGACTACTGTGAACCTCGTGGCTAGTCTCTGGGATGGACCACTATGGAGAACTTTTCCAATAAGGGATACTTGGGAGCATTTCATGACATATACTCTATTTGCTTTATTCAGAGTCACAGCAACCTTCAAACATTGTAAATGGACTCCACTATCTAATCAGGGAATTATAGCAATATATTAATTGCCATTTCTGATTATTTGCATTTAATTAAGGGGTACTCTTGAGAAATTGAAGGACAGCATAACCTCAAAATATGGCTTTACATCTGGGATAATTGACTATAATTTCTGTCTTTGCAGCTTTCCCTAAATTGTTTATTTCTCCAGATGGTTTCTAAAATCTATGATTTTACCTTTTTTTTTTAATGGGTGAGTAGGGTTTTCTGATAAATGCTTATATGGTTTAGTTTTTGCAGCTAAATTAAAGCTTAATTAGTCAAAAATCCAGATCTGTGATATGTTTATGAAGTTTATACAAGCATAATTAATTTCAGTTAATTGCACAAATAGCTTTCCGTGTAAACAATAACCTCTTCACTACTGACCTCTAAATGTCAGATTTCAGTTTATCTACATTTCTAGCCTTCCATGGTAACTCACGTATTTCTAAAAGTATTGTTCTTTCCTTTGATTTATGATTTTATTAAGGGAGTCAGTGATTACCCCTGCAACCCACGTTTCATGTTTTGAAAATGCAGTGAAAAAAGTATAACATTGCTTTTGTTTTGATGGAAGCAGAAAAATAATTTAAAATATGATTTTGGTATGCTCTCCTAAGTTTATTTCTTCTCATTAAGTTACCTAGGTTTTTTTAGTCTATTTGAATGACAGCTCAAATTTCATTGATCAGCTCAATGTCAAAAATAATAGCTATTATTTTTTTAAATATCCTGATTGTTTCCAGGATTTCTCTTCCTGAGAAGAATAACATTACTGTAAACTGAGCCAGATTCTCTTGCTGTATAAGCTGTTGCCTTTGCAGAGGTATTTACAAAGCCATGCCTAATTCTAAGAAATTATTCTCTGTAAGTATGCCTTCACTTTTGATTGGCAATGAAATTTTCTTATTAGTTCCCTTATTTCCCTAATAAATCTTACATATAGATTGAAATTGATTAATTTTGTCTTTTTCTGTCTACCTGGTTGAAGGGAAAGGGGATGTCATTGCTTCAGGAGCTCTTTCAGAAGACCCAGAAATGTCTTTCCCAGGAGCACACAGAAAAACTCACTACCTGTCACATTGGCCTGACGGGAGTCACATGCCCAGGTCTGGACGAATAACTGTACCCAGGGAATGTGATTATGATCATTGGCTTGGTGGTCTCAGTCACAAGTCCCACACCTAATACTCAAGGCCTCTGGGCTGTGCAGGGAGGTATGGGCAGCAGAGTGAAAATGAGTCATTGCAAATGAAAGAGGAGGGGATGCTGAGAAAGCAGTCACAGATCTATCTCTCAGAACTGAATCTACTGAGTTATGCTGGGATTATGACAGCAGAAGTCTGGGGGAACCTCTTGACTTTAAAGTGACTTTTCCCTCAAAATGGTCAGTATATATGAATTTGGAATCTGTAAAGTGTTCTTCCTTGCTGTATTCCTCCAAGGTTCACTAACAATCAGTCTTATAGAATCAATTCAAAAGGACCATGTTTTTGGTGCCTATCTTATTATTAGTGTCAGGGCTACATTTTTTTTTTTAATGCGCAATGAAATCCATGAAATACTTAGCAAGAATACTTTGCAAATTTGGCTTTGGGGGCAGTGCATGGCTTATAGGCAGAAGGAAAAATATCTGACAATTGCATAAATTGAAAAACCCTTCATCCATTTCTAGGCTGCAGCTACCTATAAGCAGTTGAAAAAGGAGAAATCCAGTATGTGTGTGACTTTCAAGGAATCTTTAATGGTTCAATATCTTTTTAGTTTTGTACACAGACTATAGGAAGGTCATTTTTCCCTATGTGTATGAAGTTGGCCTCCCTCCCTTTGTGGGATTTTTGCTCATTTCAGAGGATAAGAAATGAGGACTGGCTATTGTTAGTGACAGGACAGTGCTTCAAGAATAATGAGAGTCACTCCTCCTTTTCCCTAAAGATTGGTAAAGCAAAAGTACACACTGGCTTGGAAACTTTTTCCAAATAAGTATCTTTGCCATTTTCTCTCCAGAACTGTAGAGAGCCTCCTTAGGACATTTGAGTTATGGTCTGGGCTTTTTCACAAGCTATGAGACCTTGGGCATACTACCTGTCGCCTCTGGGCATCATGGTGCATGTTGGTAAAACGGAGAGTTGCAAGGGCATACTCAGATAGCTTTTATCTCTAACACTGTACACTTCTACAATGGAGAGAAGTTTAAAAAGGGACTTCTGATTTAAAAATGACAGTATAAAAATGTGCAACTCAATTTAAAAATGGGCAAAAGACTTGAATAGACATTTCTCTAAGATGTACAAATGGTCATCAAGCACATACAAAGATGCTAGAAATCATAGTCATTAGAGATATGCAAATAAAAAGCACAGTGACTTATCGCTTCACACTCACATCCTCACACTCTCTTACCTACTAAAATGTCTGAAGATAAAACAGAATGAGGAATTATCTATTACCAAAAACTAGGAATTCCAATCAGTCTTTTCCCAGACTCTGGGAGGCGTCTTCATGAACCTTCAAGGTTTAGGAAACTACATTAATGGACACAGTTGAAGATAGTATATGATATGCTTTCAGAAACAGGTCATTTCCTCCCCTCACCAGGAGTTCTTTAGGAGATGCTTTATCTTCTGACCTGTATTTGTACCCTGGATGCAAAAATCCAGTGTCAGTAGCAACTGGAAAGATGAGCGTTTTCTCTTCTTTCTGCATGGATGTTGTTTTTGAGTTCATCTGCACTACAGTTTTCTTTCCCCACATACATATGCATACATGTATGTATACACATACATATACACAGATATACACAGAAGTATTTGTGTATCTGTGTATGCATAAATATGCCCATAAATATGGGCATATATGTGTGTATGTAGACATATATACAATATATACATGTATATATGTATACATACACACCTATTTACATGTATGTCTATATTTCCATGTGTATATGCATGTATACATAAATACATGTAAAATATACAGATATATTTAAATGTACATGTAAATATATACACGTGGGTATGTGTATACATTCATATATGCATATACATGTATACATATGTGTATACACATATATACATGTAAATGTGTATGTATGTATGCATAAATATGTACCTTCTATACATAAATCTCTGTAAGCAAGAGAAGGTACAAGAAGACATGAGTAGCCATGCAACCTAGAAAATGTTCTTAATAAATTTCATGTGTTCAGAATGTTAAAGACAAAAGCCTTCCTGACAAAATGAAGGCAACTTTGCAAATGTGAGACCATTCAGTCAGTGCCCCCATGGGTGCTCCTGAGAGCAGCATCGCGCTGGGATAAGTTTTTCCTCTTTGCTGTGTGAAGAGAGGGCATGTGGAGTCTACGGAAAAATACTACCAAGTGAGGAAGAGGAACATCATCCTGAGCACTTGAAGAAAGAGCACTCTGATGAAAACAATTCACAAATCAGAAGAAAGGTTTAGAAAATTGAGGTCAGGTGGTGGTGGAACAGGGCAGGGTCATTGTGATTTCTCCATGGCAAGAGTGGAAATTTGGAAGGACAGATCAGGCATAGATAGAAAGATTTTAAAATCAGGGGAAATCACCCAGGAAATGTACAGGTACTAAAAAGGCAATAGTCAAATAAAAACCCACTTTGGAATCAGCAAATACTTTGTACTGAGAAAAAGTAAATTAGCTAAGTGAAGAATAAGAAGAGGTGCTTTGCAGAAGAAAAAATAAAACTGGTTAAAGAAATACATGTGATTACTATGGAGGATGGAGAATGAGCTATAGAAATTCCTAAGAATGAGAGAAATTCTTGAGGAAGAGGCTAGAACTGGAGCTAACATAGCAACAATACAATGAAGAACATTCTTCTGAGCTGAACCTAGTGTCAGTTTTCATTGAAAGCCAGACAAAGTGAATGAAAAGATGACCACACCCAGATAAATCCTGGCAAAGCATATGTTACCAGTGTAAAAAAAGAAAAATCTTGCAAACAAAGTCATGCCTATCAAAGAATTCTCCTTTAGAATAAAGCAGAAAACAATAAAATATCTAGATACTTTTGAAGGGAAAAATGAATTCCAAGAATGTTTTAGTCAGATAAATGGTTTATCTTCTATAAAGAAATCTAAGATGCTTTCTCATGTATTTTAAGTGTCACAAAACATAACTTCTACACCCTCAGTTTGTGCCAGCCAACTAATAGCTAAGTACAGAATAGCCCCAAAATGAGAGACTTGTGCTATAAAATGACTGGGGGAGGTAAGCTCTGGAACTATTAACATATGAAAAATTTCTAAACATTTTCTGCAAATTATAAAATGCCAGTTGTAAACTGTTGAGAAACACATAAGATGTTTATCTAAAATTCAGTATCTAAAATGCCAGATTTACATCCACAAAGGTGAGAAAGGGGTAGAAAGAGGATGCAGGAAAGGGCATGGAGATATGAATTTCTGCAAAATGATGTGTATTATGTAGGAGCAATTTAAAAACTAACTTTTCAGTTTTTGATAGTAAGTAAAATGTGGATTGAATTTTTTTTAAAACAAC